>NW_016107298.1:336529-673059 GCF_000001405.40 Homo sapiens | reverse complement strand
GGCGGGAGGCGAATGCGCCCTCGGCGGGCTCTCCTCAGGTCGGCTTGGGGCGGCCAAGTGGAGACCGGCGGCGGCTTCTGCCCGGATTCGGCGCCCGCGAGCCCCGGGGGCCGTGCAGCTTCCCGGGATCTCACCGCCGAAAGTTGGCGAGACCGCCCTGTCCTCATCCTCCACCTCAGTTTCCCCAGGTGCCTCTAAGGGGCCAGGTGACGCCAGCGCACGTTTTCTTTTGCCCTCTTCTTCGTGCCCATCTCACCAAAGTATCGCCCTTTTAGCAAGATCAGAGGTCCCTGGAGCTGGCCGCACCCCCATTCCCCCAGCTTCTCCTCCCCCACCTTTCCTGCTCCTGGCTGCTCTCAGAGCTGCGCACCCAAGGCTGTGGGTAGCGGCACAGGGTGTTCCTGCAAGCTCGCCAAGGTGGCCCTTTGTGGGCCCGGGTGCCACCAT
Organism: Homo sapiens; assembly: GCF_000001405.40. Lineage (NCBI taxonomy): Eukaryota > Metazoa > Chordata > Mammalia > Primates > Hominidae > Homo > Homo sapiens. The sequence goes on along the minus strand of NW_016107298.1, from coordinate 672,612 downwards.
CACACAGGATGAAGCTGGACAGGCACCCTTGGAGTCGTGCGGCCTGTGGGATCCAGGGGAGGCCCACAGGCCACTCCCTCCGCAGGTGGTGTCCGGGGCCCCTCATGCTCCAGGGCCTGCGCCCAGCACTGCAGGAGCCCGGCTGGCTCGGGCTCAGTGCCTGTGCTCTTCGGGGCACCGACTGTTGCCCTACAGGATTGCGGTCCCAGTGTTGCCAGGTCGTCCAGTTTATCAAGAGCATTTTCTGTGAATCATCCTGATTTTCAGTGTGAGCAGCTAATAGCCAGATGCAGACGGAGGCTTCTCCTGGGCCACGTTTCTTCATGTGGAAGAGACTGTTCTGTTCCCAGAAACACTCAGTGTTCCCTTCAGCTTCGGGTTCCCTCCCAGTGGGCTTCAAGGATCTCGGGCTCCTGTTCTGGACCCGCCTCCTAGATCCAGCTGTTCAGTCGGCAGCCCCTGTGGCTAACCTCGAAGCTACTGCAAGCCCGATGAAGAAAGCGAGGGACCGGCACCTTTTCTTCCGCCAGCGCGCCAGGGTGTCATCAGCGCGCCAGTGTGTCATATTCGCTGGTGTACTTGAAACACTTGTGCTGTGCTCGGCAGGCTTATGTGGGTCGTCTCATTGAACGGGCGGGTGCAGGTGCAGCCCGGTCTCTGTACACCTCCTTCCTGCGGGCTCTTCTCCTTTCCACCTCACTCTCCGTGTCCCCTGGGACCGAGCTCCCAGGGTCCCCCCAAGGGAACCCTTCTTTGAACCCTCTCCCAATCTCTCCCCACTGCTAGGTTTGGTGTGTCCTGCTGTGCCCTCTGACAGGGCCTTCCCTGTGCCATCATGGGCATCGTGGCCTCCTGAGTACTGTCCTCCCTGAAGAGGAGCAGACAGGGATGTGGTTTTATCCAAGCCATCTATTAAAAACATGCCAACCTAGACTTTTCATTAAAGAATCTGAATAGCTAGCTTGGCCAACATGGCAAAACCCCGTCTCTACTAAAAATATAAAATTTATCCAGGCATGGTGGCACGCGCCTGTTATCCCAGCTACTCGGGAGGCTGAGGCACGAGAATCGCTTGAACCCAGGAGGTCAAGGTTGCAGTGAGCCGAGATGGCGCCATTGCACTCCACCTTGGGCGACAGAGCGAGACTATCTCAAAAAAGTATTAATGGACTATGAAACAAAAGTGTTAAAGTTGAATAACAGCAATAAAAATTGTTCTGACATCAACAGGAAAAATGGTAACAAAATATTTTCAGATCATGCCAAAAGCAGCACTTCGTTAAAAGGAAGAAAAAATTTCAAGTAAAAACAATAAACAGGTTTTTAGATTGCTCGATAATTCAATTAGTGAATCAAACAATGATAAAAGCTATATATTTCCTGCTGATTTGTCAGGAAATAGTGACACTGACAAAGATAGCATTACCTAAAATATAAAAGCAAAGATAGCGTTGCCACAGACTGCTTAATGTGTGTCATCTATCAAAGGGGTATATGTGATGAGAAGAAAAACTTGAAATGCCCTCAAATGTTTCAGTTCAGAAATGAAAAAACTTTATATTTTCCCAAATTTGACAATTCTAAAGATCGACTTCTTCAGTTATGATTTTTTGAGGCTAAAAGAAACTTCCTTAAACTGTCGGTAATAAAAAATCAGTGAGTCATGGCAAAGGGGAGACATTATCTTTCTGTTCTTGATATGGAAAATAATGTTGCAGAATCATTGTCCTGTGTGTGAAGAAGCGATGAGTACAGGACCAGAACTGTCCGGAAGACGTATTTCAGGAGACGCACATGGCAGTTAGGAAAACATTGTGTTGGTTTTCTGGATTTTGTGATATTTCTGATATTGTTCTTTTTTAACTTTAACGTGTAGCTCTGTACTTTCTCGGTCTAAAGCAATACTTGTTTTGTAGTCTAGTTTTGTATACGTAAAGAGGGCTTCCCAGAATTGTTTAAGCTCTGGCCCCATGAAACTTGTATCTGCCTCTGCCTGCAAGTGTTTCTGAGCCAGGAGAAGAAGCAGATGCTTCCAGGAAGAAGTAGAAGGGGATGTTTTTGATCGGGATCAGACACTGGCTGAAGGCCTTTGACCGCAGGGGTCATTCCGGACGTTTCCCTCGTTGGGCTGGACCCTTTGGGTAGCGTCACCATCCTGTCTGCCTCCGGCCAGACTCAGCCTTCAGGGGCCTCAGTCCGGCCCTCCCCTCACCCTCTATGTCTCTCTGCCCTGTTCCCAGGTCTTCTCGTGGGCACCCTGGACGTGGTGCTGGACTCCAGTGCCCGCGTGGCCCCTTACCGCATCCTGCACCAGACCCAGGACTCCCAGGTCTACTGGACAGTGGCGTGTGGTAGGTGCCCTGAGTGGTGAGGGGTGCTGGGCAGGGCCTGCCCTGGAAGGGCCGTTGCCGAGAGGAAGGGGTGTGTAGCCCACGTGTCTGGGTGGTATTCCCTGCTGACAGCATAGCCCAAGGCTGCAAGAGGGAAGTGGAGGAGCCTTCGCTTCCATCTTAGAAAGGCAGCTCCGTGGCCCGGTGCGGTGGCTCACGTCTGTAATCCCAGCACTTTGGGAGGCCGAGGCGGGCTGATCACGAGGTCAGGAGATCGAGACCATCCTGGCTAACACGGTGAAACCACGTCTCTACTAAAAAACACAAAAAATTAGCTGGGGGTGGTGGCGGAGGCCTGTAGTCCCAGCTACTCGGGAGGCTGAGGCAGGAGAATGGCGTGAACCCGGGAGGCGGAGCTTGCAGTGAGCCGAGATCGCGCCACTGCACTCCAGCCTGGGCGACACAGCGAGATTCCGTCTCAAAAAAAAAAAAAAAAAAAAAAGGCAGCTCCACTGGTCATGGGGACAGGGCAGGAGAGGACAGCCCCATGGATCCCCATGTACCTCTAGGGACGCAGGTGTGGGGCTAGCCAATGTCCACATTCTCATGCCACCTTTTCTCAAGGTAGACGTAGTCGGCCTCATTCAAAGATTCCATATTTGCAAATTGGCCTACTCAATAAAATGTATTTGCAATCCCCAAATCAATACTTCCAGCGATTTTGTGGTCATTTGGAGACACTCATGGACACATGCACGTTCAAAGCAGTGAAAAATTTGACTCGCCTGATGCCCATGTCCCCAGCTGAGGCAGAACAGGACGACGCTCTGCCTTCTTGATTCAGCTCTCATACTGCACTCACGTGTCCTGTTCACAGTCTCTGCAGTGCCATGTTTTTCCCATGTTTGTGCTCGTTGCTGATGACTTGGCTGTTTAAAATGGCTCCCAAGCATAGCGCTCTTGTTCCTAAGAGCAAGAAGGCTGAGTTGTGCCTTGTGAAGGAGATCTGTGCATGAGAGCAGCTTCATTCAGGCGTGAGTGATAGTGCTGCTGGCCGTGAGCTCAATGCCAATCGATCAGGAATACGTATTAAATAAGGCATCTTTAAACAGAAACACATGTAAAACAGTTATGTATCGGTCAGTCGACAGAAGTGTGATTAGAGGCTCCAGGAACCTAACCCTGTGTTCCCCCGGGGTACTGGTTCAGGATTCGCTAACTCAGTGTTCGCGGCCACCTTACAGAATCTGACCACCTGAATAACGAGAATCCGCTGTAGTTGTCCTCCTAGGTGGAAGCGCACTCACCCGTCCAAGAGTGCGGAGGGAAGTCCCCTTTCAGCGGGTACCTGCTGGGTTGAGTTTGCTCTGAGAAAATGACAGTCCTAGCTGACGCTCAGACAGTGCTTCCTGTGTGCCAGGCACTTGCCTGAACCACCCGGTACCTCCAGAAGGCATAAGTACTTTGGTCTTCTCTATGTTGAAGGTGAAGAAACTCTGGCCCAGAGGGGTTGAGTAACCTGCTCAGAGTCACACAGCTGCAGTTTGGACCCTCTCAGTACCTCTCTGAAGCAGAAGCCACAGTGCCCTTGTTCTCCAGGGTAGTGGTTTCCCTTGAAGGCCTGGGAGAAGATGATGAGACTCAAAAGTTTGTCAACCTCACGGCTGGAACCCAGCTTCAGGAGGGGAAGGGTCAAGGAAGTAAAAGCACAGGGCGGGCGGCACCCCGGGAATAGCCCCACTCCCAGGTGGGCGCTCTGCACGGGCATCCTGACCAGCAGTGCCCTTCTCCTTTGCAGGACTGAATAACTCAGTAAGAGTTAGGAAGGGGAGTTTGTCCAAGGCCAAGCAGGGAAGCCCAGTTAGACCCCCGATCTCTGGCTTCAGAGCCTGAGTGGACCCTGGGGGCAGCAAGAGTTTGCCAGAGGAGGGGCTTCCTGTGGGGAGGGGACCATTTCTGAGTGGGCCAGGAGGTTGGTGTGTGCTAATGAGGAGAGGAGCTGCTTTAACATGGGCCCTTGAGATTTCCATCTCTGGCAGCAAGAGCTGCCCGTCCCTGGGGAGAGAAAAGTACGAGGGGCAGAGTGGGAATCCCTTTAGTCACAGCAGGCCTGGTGCTGGGGAGGGGCCCAGCCACAGCCACGCAGCGGAGCCCATGTACGTAGCCCCGTGCCACACACTTGACCTCTCCCCTCCTGCCAGGCCCAAAGCCCTGCACTGGCCCTGGCTGTGCCTCCCTTTCCTGCCAGCCAGGCTAGGCCCCAGAAGCAACTCACCAAGACCAGACATGGCCCTGCCAGCACCTGCTTAGTGAGTCCTGACCCTTGAGCCTGGTGTTCGAGGACACCTGGGGGTCTGCCTGCCTCCATTTCTGGCCTTGTCTCCCCAGCTCACAGCCTGGCCTTCAGCCGGACCACACAGCTGCAGGGCCTGGAGGAGCCACACCCCTCCTGGCTGCTGTGCCTAGTGTCCGCCATGCCAGCTAACCTTCCCTCCCGCTCCTCTGAGAACTGCCCAGACTCCACAGACCCATCCTTCCTCCTTACTCCTCTGGACATGACGTGTCTGCACACGCTTTTACGTGGAAGCCCATGAGGCCGGGAGCTTCCGAGGGTGAGGGCAGGCTCTGCAGCCAGGCACCCAGGGTTAGGATTCTGATTTGATCACTTCCCAGCTGTGTGACCTTGGGTAACTTATTTCACCTCTCTGTGCCTCAGCTTCATCTGGTAAAATGAAAATAATGGTACCTGTCTCCACTGTGTTCTGAGAATGAAATAAGATAATCCATGGAAAACTCTGAAAACAGAAACAGCATTTAATACTCTAATTAGCTATTATATTATTTTTATTCCCAGCACCTAGCATAGAGATGGAATAGTTTCTTAGTATGAAATGAAGATTGAGTTACTTTTAACTAATATTTTTAATGCACATATGTAAAAAAAGAAATGTTTTTTTGAGGCGTTCTCTTTCTGTTGCCCAGGCTGGAGTGCCGTGGTGCAATCACAGCTCACTGCAGCTCTCTGGCTAAAGCGATCCTCCCACCTCAGCCTCCTGACTAGCTGGGACTGCAGGCCCACGCAACCATGCCTCATTTTTTCTATTTTTTGTAGAGACAGCCATGTTGCCCAGACTGATCTCAAACTCCTGGGCTCAAGCGATTCCCCTGCCTCAGCCTCCCAGAGTGCTGGGATTATAGGACTGAGCCACTGTGCCCGGCCTATAAATATTTTTAATTAAAGTGCTGACACATCCACACAGGCAGCGAGGAGGAGATTTCTTCTGTTTTAGTTTTCTAGGAATGTTATGTGTAACAGAAAATAATACAGTAGAGTTGCACCACATGTAAATTTGACTTCCAAATTCAACTGTGGGTTCCTGGCAAAGAAACCGAAAAAGAAATCTCTACCTACCAACTAGGCCTTGGCCTCTGTGCATCAGGGAAAGGAGGCTGTAATAGAAATGCAAAGAAAAATGAAAAAAAAAGTTTAAAGTGAATTATGGATGACTTAAGGGGCTTCCAGGAGTAATTCTGGGGGCCTTTTGTGACTCACTGCAAGCTGTGTGATTCTGGGTGGAATCGTTTTCCCGTGGGCATCCTCCCCCAGGCCAATCGGGAGGATCTATCCTGTGGCCTTGCTTCTTAGGTCAGGGTCTGCTTGAGGAGATTTGACAAAGCAAACAAATCAGTCCCAAGCAGAACAGCCGGGCTGTGACACAGCCTTGAGCGGGTGCCACGGGCTGGAGCAGGTGACAGGCCCAGCCTGGCCTGGAGGGAGGGTCAGAGCTGTCTCCAGCTGGCAGAAGAGCCTGGTCAGGGAGGGAAGGAAGGTGGTCGGGGCAGGCGTGCCAGCAGAGACGTCTGGTTCACAGTCACACTGGCCTCCCGAGCATAGTGCCGTAGTGCTCTTGTTCCTAAGAGCAAGAAGGCTGAGTTGTGCCTTGTGAAGGAGATCCGTGCATGCGAGCAGCTTCTTTCAGGCGTGAGTGATAGTGCTGCTGGCCGTGAGCTCAATGCCAATCGATCAGGGATACGTATTAAATAAGGCATCTTTAAACAGAAACATGTAAAACAGTTATGTATCGGTCAGTCGACAAGAGTGTGATTAGAGGCTCCAGGAACCTAACCCTGTGTTCCCCCAGGGTACTGGTTCAGGATTCGCTAACTCAGTGTTCGCGGCCACCTTACAGAATCTGACCACCTGAATAACGAGAATCTGCCATGTCTTGGCTGAGGCTGTCTTCATGCCTGGTGGGTGGGCCTCCTGTCCCACCCCCGGACAGCTGAGAATGATTCAGGGTGTCATTCACTCCTCATCCTTGTGTTCATTCAGTACAGGCAAAACCCCAGAAACAGGTGCTGGGGGTAGGGGAGCCAGGCCAGGCAGAGATCTCCCCTCATCCCTTTGCTCTTCCCCCGGGGCTTCTTCCCCGATTCCTTAATGGGAGCAAACAATTCTTCCAGCCTTTGAAAGTGGCATCGTGCTGCCTTCTCTACGTTTTTGTTTTGTGTGTTGTTTTGTTTTTTGAGACGAGGTCTCACTTTGTCACTCAGGCTGCACTGTAGCCTCCGCCTCCCAGGCTCAAGCAATCCTCCCACCTCAGCATCCTGAGTGGCTGGGACCACAGGTGCATGCCACCACGCCCAGCTAATTTTTTGTATTTTTGGTTTCGCCATGCTGCCCGGGCTGATCTCGAACTCCTGGGCTCAAATGACCCTCCTGCCTCAGCCTCCCAAAGTGCTGGGATTACAGGCATGAGACACGGCGCCCAGATTTTCTCTACATTTTTTTTAATTTCCGTTGGGCCTATGGAGGACAGGGACCCCCTCCCTCCTAGGTGGGGCAGACACAAGGTAAGAAGGTGGCCAGGAGAAACTGAAGAGAGGGACAGTAGCTACTCGCCTGCCCAGCAGGAGCCTCGCTGGCCAGGGGCCTGGAGTCTTGTAGGAAGCTCCGGCTGCTTATCTGTGGATACCTAGATGCTCAGGAAAGAGCTGGACTCATTTATACAAAGTATGACTGTGTCTGATTAATCACCTACATAGCAAAAGCCACATTAAGTTCTTTCAACTTGAGGAAAAGTGTAAGTTAGCAAGCTTGCAGGCACACAGACTATTTCTAGGACACATAGGAGACTTAGTGACTCTCCCTGTTGGCTTCAGGGACAGGTGGAAACATTCTCTCCCACACGACTGTGATTCAGCCTGGACGTTTAATTTTTTGTTTTTTTACCAGGACCATTTATTACTTTGTTATGCACATATCCATCAGCTTAAGAGGGAAAAGCAGCTTGAAGATTCTGGTCACTTAGATTTAGCAAATGAGGTCACCCACTTTCATCTCGCTTCTTTGAATGTGCGTTTAAGGCCTGGGGAATTCATGATTTTTCTTTTACTTTACCAAACCTCTTCTAGGTTCTTCCCGCAAAGAGATCACAAAACACTGGGAATGGCTGGAAAATAACTTGCTCCAGACACTGTCCATCTTCGACAGTGAGGAAGATATCACCACCTTCGTCAAGGGCAAGATACACGTAAGGTTTACCCGCCACTCTCTGTTCTCACCCTTCCCTGGCCAGCAGTGTTCTCGTGTATTATCCTATTTCATCTTCACGATGTAGGGTGCGTCCCCATTTTACAAAGGTGGAGACTGAAGTGTCAGCGCTCCTTCTCTTGGAGTTGAAAGGGGCAGAGGAACTCGTGACCCAGGAAAACCCCTTCTTACCCTGGGTGGGCACTGGAGGCTGCTGAAGCCTAGTGCGGGGCTTCCATTCCTACCCAAGTGCCTTGGAAGGCGTACGCAGATAGACGGTTCTGTTTGCCAGAAGAGATGCTGGAAACAATTGGATATTTTGAGTTGTTTTTTATAATAAAACTAACGTTATTTTAAAAGACACATGCCCTTTACCCAAAAATTCCATTCTTGGCGTTTACCCTACAGTGTATTCATATATGCAGAATATACAGTTTAAAGGGCCAGGTGTGGTGGCCCACACCTATAATCCCAGCACTATGGGAGGCCGAGGTGGGTGGATCATCTGAGGTCAGGAGTTCAAGAGCAGCCTGGCCAACGTGGCAAAACCCCATCTCTACTAAAAATACAAAAATTAGCCAGGCATGGTGGCACGCGCCTGTAATCCCAGCTACTCAAGAGGCTGAGACAGGAGAATTGCTTGAACCCAGGAGGCCGAGGTTGCAGTGAGCTGAGATCGTGCCACTGCACACCAGCCTAGGTGACAGAGTGAGACTCCATCTCAATTAAAAAAAAAAGGCCAGGTGCGGTGGCTCAGGCCTGTAATCCCAGCACTTTGGGAGGCCAAGACAGGCAGATCACGAGGTTAGGAGATCGCGACCATCCTGGCTAACACAGTGAAACCCTGTCTCTACTAAAAATACAAAAAAAATTAGCCGGGCGTGGTGGTGGGCACCTGTAGTTCCAGCTAATCGGGAGGCTGAGGCAGGAGAATGGCATAAACCCGGGAAGCAGAGTTTGCAGTGAGCCAAGATGATGCCACTGCACTCCAGCCCAGGCGACAGAATGAGACTTCGTCTCAAAAAAAAAAAAAAAAAGTAGAGATGGGGTTTTGCCATGTTGGCCAGGCTAGTCTCAAACTCCTGACCTTAAGTGATCCACCCACCTTGGCCTCCCAAAGTTATGGGATTACAGGCATCAGCCACCGCACCTGGCCTGAATGTATATGTCTTTTTCTTTCTGTTAGGTTATTGCCTTAAGTTAGATTCATGGGAGGGCTCTTACCAGGTCAAAGTCGTGTGGTGCAAAGTTGCTTTGGGCAGGCCCATGTGAATTCCTGATACCAGAACTTCCTAAGCCTGGACAGACATTACCAGCTTTCTCAGCTCTTCTCAGTGCACTTTGGGGTTCAAGGTGAGACCTGGTTACCTCTATCTCCAGGAAAACAGGTGGAGAGAGCAGAAGCAAGCCTTTACTCTGGTGAGCAATTGGGCGATGATAATAATAGTAGTTGTGACATTATTCACTGCCTCCTATATGCCAGGCCCAACAAACGCATCAGCAGAACAAACCAAATGACTCATAGGCCAAGGAAGAAATGGAAATTAGAAAATATTTAGAATTGAGGCCAGGTGTGGTGGCTCACACCTGTAATCCCAGCACTCTGGGAGGCCAAGACGGGCGGATCACTTGAGGTCAGGAGATCAAGGCCAGCCATCCTTTGCCAACATGGCAAAACCCTGTCTCTACTAAAAATATTTAAAAAGTAGCTGGGCGTGGTGGCATGGGCCTGTAGTCCCAGCTACTCGGAATGGAAGACTGAGGCAGGAGAATCACTTGGACTTAGGAGGCAGAGGTTGCAGTGAGCTGAGATCACACCACTGCACTCCAGCCTGGGCAACAGAGCGAGACTCCATCTCAAAAAAAAAAAAAAGAAAAGAAAATGATTGAAATACTACTGCATGTCAGGATGTGTGGGATGCAGTGAGAGCAATACACAGAAGGAAATTTAAAGCCTTCAGTCTTACAAAAGAAGGAAGGATGGGCCAGGCGCAGTGGCTTATGCCTGTAATCCCAGCACTTTTGGAGGCCGAGGCGGGCGGATCACGAGGTCAGGAGATCGAGACCATCCTGGCTAACACAGTGAAACCCCATCTCTACTAAAAATACAAAAAAATTAGCCGGGCATGGTGGCGGGGGCCTGTAGTCCCAGCTACTCGGGAGGCTGAGGCAGGAGAATGGCATGAACCTGGGAGGCGGAGGTTGCAGTGAGCCGAGATCATGCCACTGCCCTCCAGCCTGGGCAACAGAGCGAGACTCCGTCTCAAAATACGCTGTGAGGAGCATCTTTAAAAAAGCAAAACTCTAAAGAGAGAGGATGACAAAACAGCCTTAAACCAGTACCTTTAAGAATTTAGACAAAATGGGGCTGGGCGTGGTGTCTCACACCCGTAATCCTAGCACTTTGGGAGGCTAAGGCAGGTGGATCACTTGAGGCCAGGAGTTTAAGACCAGCCTGGCCAACATGGCAAAACCTTGTCTCTACTAAAAATATAAAAAATTAGCTGGGCATGGTGTCGCGCACCTGTAATCCCACCTATTTGGGAGGCTGAGGCACAAGAATTGCTTGAACCCGGGAGGCAGAGGTTGCAGTGAGCCAAGATTGCGCCACAGCATTCCAGCCTGGGCAATAGAGTGAGACCCTGTCTAAAAAAAAAAGAATTTAGACAAAATGGGCACTTTATTAGAATAACATTTATTAATTTCCAGTTGCTTCTGCAACAAATTACCATCAACTTAGTGGCTTAAAAGAACACCAGTTTGGCTAGGCGCGGTGGCTCACACCTGTAATCCCAGCACTTTGGAGAGAGATGTTTAGATCGCAGCTGCGGTAGCACTGGTATAAGAGAAGAAAAACCCTTTTCCTTCTCCCCATTTAGGTTCTTGGCTGGGGCTCTGTTACAAAAGGCAGATTAACAAGACAAAAACAGAAGTTTACTAATGTGTGTATCTCATATATTCATGGGAGAAACTTGGATAGGTGACTCAAAAGTTTAGTTGGAATTGGGTTTACACAGCCTCTTAACACAGGGACAGGCCACTTAAAGAACAATAACAGGACAGACGAAAACAGCTTATGCTTCCAAGGGCAGGAAACTGTGAGAAGATAAATACGTGGGATGAAACCGATGGAGTAAGGTTTGTTTGCAGATGCGTGCGGTGTCATCTCTGGGCTGATAGGAATCTAGAATTGTCTCCAATAAAGGAGAACGTATATCCAGCTTTTAGGCAGAAAGGGGGAGGGAGGGCAGAAAGAGCTTTTCCTGTGTTTGCTGCTACTTAATTGCCTTCAGCTCAAAATACTTCTTATGTCAAAAGGGCATATTTTGGGATGGCATATTGTAGTTTCCTTCCCTGGCTACTCAGAAATAGAAGAAATCAGAACAGATCCCACCTTTCAGTCCTCACCTAGGCTCATGGCTGTCCTCACTGCCCATGGACAGAGGGATCGGGGGTGGCCCAGCCACCAGCACTGACCTTGACTGACTAGTTTATCTTGTAATTGTCTTTCTAGAAAATCAATGTGTACATTTTGAGCTGAGGGCACTGCTGAGGACCTGTTTTACCCCAGGAGGCTTGGGGCTGGCTCTGTGGCCCAGGGGGATGTCTCTGGGCACCCTGAGCCCTGTAACAATGCCAGCAGCATGAGGGAGTATGGACGGGCCCTGAAACTGCAGGTCCTGCCGCTGGTTTGTGTGCAGGGCCAAGAGGCAGGAGCCCCCTGGCATACAGGGGGCCAAGTGCAGGACGTCCTCCAGGATGTGATAAGAGAAGCGCTTTACAGAACAGAGCTGCAGGGTGATCCCATTTGGGCAAATAAAGGGGGAAAGAGGAAAACATACATTTGCTTATGAATCCATTGGTGTTTGCATGTCTGGAAGGAACCAGGAAAGTCACTACAGAGAGCGAGAAAAGATTCCCTTTTCACTGAATACACATTTCTACTGTATGCATTTTTTACCATGTTTATGGATAATGTTTCAACAATTTTACATGAAAATAACTGAAATATTCATTTTAAAAGTGTCAGGCCAGACACAGTGGTTCACACCTGTAATCCCAGCACTTTGGGAGGCTGAGGCGGGCGGATCACTTGAGCCCAGGAGTTTGAGACCAGCCTGGGCAACATGGCAAAACCCCATTTCTACAAAAAGTACAAAATTAGCCAGGTGTGGTGGAGTACACCTATAGTCCCAACTACTTGGGAGGCTGAGGCAGGAGGATGGCTTCAGCTGTTGGGTTGAGGCTACAGTGAGCCGTGGTTGAGCCACTGCACTCCAGCTTGGGTGACAGAGTGAGACCCTGTCTTAATTTTTTTAAAAAGCCTCTGCTCACAACTGGTGATGACAGTAGTTACGGGAGTTGCAGGAACTTTGTCTAGAGAGTCACACAGGCAGCGTCTCTCATCCATGTGCCTTGACTGCAAGCCAGCAAGAGCCACTGACTGTTCCCAGCTGTGCCTGTAGCCCTTAGACCAAGGTCCATGAGTCCTGGGTTCCCTGGGCCTCTCTGCTCCACCCTTTGACCTGTCCGGGACTGTGCAGGGCAAGCCCTTGTCCTCTTGCCTTCCTCCAGGGAATCATCGCAGAAGAGAACAAGAACCTGCAGCCCCAGGGAGACGAGGACCCCGGGAAGTTCAAGGAGGCTGAGCTGAAGATGCGGAAGCAGTTTGGGATGCCTGAGGGCGAGAAGCTGGTGAATTACTACTCCTGCAGCTACTGGAAGGGCCGCGTGCCCCGGCAGGGCTGGCTGTACCTGACGGTCAACCACCTGTGCTTCTACTCCTTCCTGCTGGGGAAGGAAGGTGAGCCCGCCCCTCAGTGTGCCCCAGCCCCCACACCCTCAGCCCCTCCCTGCCTTCGGCCCCCAGATACTCCATCCCCACATGGCCACCAGAGGGGTCTCCCTGAAACCCAAATGCCACCTTAGCGGCCCAAGATGGGACTGTCCGGCCTTGGCCAGGCGTACACCTGCTCCCAGCCGACTTTTACCATGCCCCCCACTCGCTAGTAGGGTTCTCTACATGGTGACTCCGCGTGCCTGCCCTGCCCTCTTCTGCTGAACTGGCGTATTCAGGCACACGTCTGTCCCAAATTCCTGGTGATTCCATGTCATGCAATGCCTTGGGTGCGTGCCACAGCCCTCATCTGCTGCAGGTTCCTCCCTACAGACATCCCGGCCACAGGATGCGAGCCTGATTTCCCAGCAGCTCCAGAAAGAGCCCCAGGGTCTTAGCCATCCCCAAGCCCACCAAGCCCTCCTCCCTCCTTGCCTCCCTCAGCCCACAGCCTCCCTGTGCCCCCTCCTGCCCTTGCCGCTTACCTGTCACGACCAGGTGGCCAGTCACCTCCCGTCAGCAGGGGCTGTGTCCTGTTCTGTGTTGGCCGCGCTGTGCTGTGACTGTTCACACCTCCGTGCGCTCCCACTTGGGGGAGCTGCTGGGTGGGTCTCGGTGGTTCACCTCCGCACGTTCGTTCCTTTCCCCTTCAGCCACTGGTGGGGGAGACACTCACCGTGTGTGGTTGGTCTGGAAGGCAGTGGACACCTCAGTGGCCTGGTCCCTCCACATGGAGGGCGTGACACAGCCCAGACAGGCCTGGGCACACAGGAAGTGCTGCCCCCAGAGAGCAGTTCCCTGGGATGGGTCTGGGGTACAGATGGGCATCAGGAGCCTCGCCCTGCCAGGCCCTAACTTGCGGTGTGTCTATCTCTGTGGGCACAGTGAGCCTCGTGGTGCAGTGGGTGGACATAACGCGTCTGGAGAAGAACGCCACCCTGCTCTTCCCCGAGAGCATCCGTGTGGACACCCGCGACCAGGAGCTCTTCTTCTCCATGTTCCTCAACATCGGCGAGACCTTCAAGCTCATGGAGCAGTTGGCCAACCTGGCCATGCGGCAGCTGCTGGACAGCGAGGGCTTCCTGGAGGACAAGGCCCTGCCTAGGCCCATCCGGCCACACAGGAACATCTCAGCCCTGAAGCGGTGCGTTGCCCTCCAGGGCTGGGGTGGGCTCATGTGAGCCAGGTTCGCTGACCTTGGCTGGGACCTGCCTGGTCCAAGTGTGTAGACCTGGAGAAGGTGTCCACATTCACCCCTCATGGGCTCCCCACTTGGGAAGGAAGCCAGGTAAACAGATCATTGCAGTCCCGTGTGGAGAGGCAGCAGGAGATAGCAGTGATGTCCTGAGGATACCACTAATGGGGAGGAAGCTCTTCACACTTTATTCCTCTTGGCCCTATGATGGGAAGGGGCTCTTACCATCCCTAGGTATCAGACAAGGAAGCTGAGGCACAGAGAGGTTAAGTAACTTGCCTGAAGTCCCTCGGTTAGTGAGCAGTGGAGCCAGGATGTAGCCACCTCAGCCAGGGTGTTCTGACACCCCCAGAAAGGCTTTGGTAAATCTGGGCTCAAGTGCACGGCCTCCGTCCCACCGTGATTGACAGCTCTCCTGTATACCCTGAGACTCCTTGGCCAGAGGCCTCTCACAGCCATGGGACCCCCAGGGGTCCTGAGTTTGACGTGGAAGCAGACCTCTGGGTCTGAAGCCAGCCAAGGAGATGGGCCATGTGTGGGTCTGAGTTCCCTGCTGCCCTGTCCAGGGGACCGATAGGCAGGAACACATCATAGCAGCCAGCCCTCCCGGGCTACTTAACGTTTGGGTTCCTAGGTTGTAGCTTATGGGAAACTCCAGAGGCTGGACAAGATCTCTGAGGTTCCCTGGGTCCCACAGCCAGCCTGACCACAGCCAGATTCACACCCTTGTGTTGAGCGACCTCATTCCAGCCAGGCCATTTCCTGCATTGCACCCACAGACTGTGGTCCAGGCCCAAACTCTGGGGTCCACCTCCAGGACCAGAAAATTGTGCAAGCATGTTGTCCTTGGGATGCAAGTGACAGGTTGGCTTGTTGGACCTTTTGGAAAGAACACGAGCAGAGATGGAACATGACTGCTCCTGGCACTGCCGGTGAGAATGCAGTCAGGCCCTGGTCAGGCCACTGCGGCCCAGGGCAGGCAGGAGGCTCCCTTTGGGGCTGGGAGAGTTTATGTGGACAGAGCCACCAAAGGGGTGAGGGCCTGGGCCAGGCCACTGTCACAGCCATCAGATACACAGGTGTGCATTTCTGTTAGCAGCCGCATGCTTTAGTTTAAGCTCCACACCTCCCTGTGGGGAGCTCCTCACCTAGGTTTCAAGGTGAAACCTGGGGTTAGGCCTGCCCAGGGTGGAAGAGCTGCCCGGGGCCCTCCATCTGAGTGGGATCCAGGGCAGGTGCTCTGGGCTCTGCTTGCCCATCAGTACCGAGGGATGGGTTGCA
Organism: Homo sapiens; assembly: GCF_000001405.40. NCBI lineage: Eukaryota > Metazoa > Chordata > Mammalia > Primates > Hominidae > Homo > Homo sapiens. The sequence goes on along the minus strand of NW_016107298.1, from coordinate 657,436 downwards.
CATTGCCCAGGCCAGCATCTAGGTGTGTCCTTTTCAAAGCAGTCTCAGGACACATTGCTTGCTGGCCACTTCTCCGCTGGTTATGTGACTGTCTCACCTTCTGCCTGCTCACTCAGCATGCATCTTTTATTGAACTCTGAGGTCCCTGAGCATGACTTGCTCAAGGGACCACCCCAGGGATCCTGAATCTGATGTGGAAACAGGCCTGGGGAGGCCCCAAGGCTTCCTTGAGAGTGTGCTGGTCCTGACCTTGTCCCCTTTCCTCCTGTCCTCCTACCTTGTTTCCCCAGAGACCTGGACGCCCGAGCCAAGAATGAGTGCTACCGAGCCACGTTCCGGCTGCCCAGGGATGAGCGGCTAGACGGCCACACAAGCTGCACCCTGTGGACGCCGTTCAACAAGCTGCACATCCCTGGCCAGATGTTCATCTCCAACAACTACATCTGCTTCGCCAGCAAGGAGGAGGACGCTTGCCACCTCATCATACCCCTGAGGGAGGTCAGCATCCCCTAGTTGAGAGGCCAAGGCCTTTCCAGCCCCGAGGTGTCAGTGGGCTCAGGGACCAGCCTGTCCTGCTCTGCCCTGTCTCACTGGGGGGTACCTGGGAGGATGCCCTAGCCCAGGCAGTCACATGTCACTCAGTGATGGGACAGGTGGAGGGTGTAGGACAAGTGAGCCCCTCCACAGGCACCTGCCCTGTTGGGGAGGCAGGTAACATGGTGGGGGCACACTGCTTGCCCTCTCAGGTCACTTGCCTAGTGGAGACAGGGTCTCCCACGCGTGAGTTTCCATCAGGCCTGCCTTCTGGGCCCTGCAGGGCAAAGTGCTGCTCCGTGGCTGCGCTTAGAGGACCGTGTTCCTGCACCGGTCCCATATGTCACTCTCAGAGGCCACCTCACCAGTCCTCTCTGGACATACCACCTTGGCGTGGCTCGGCTCCAGCAGGCCATCAGAGGTCGGCTCTCCCCTGTGGGGCGGCGTCGGCTCTCCCCTGTGAGGCTGCATTGGCTCTCACTTGCTCCTTCTTGGGTTTCTTGGACTTCCACAGTGACCCTGGTGGGAGCAAGGCCATCTGTCCTGCACTGCACCGAAGGGGTGTGGACAGCAAGGACAAGGGCCCTTGCCCAAATAGAAGGCATGAGACTGAGTCAGGACAGGTCCCAAGGCCTCCTTTTCCTTGTGGCCAAGCAGGGCTCTGACTGTTTAATTATAAGAAGAATCAAGTGAGATTCTTAACTTAAAGACCTCCCTGCCATTTGCACAAATCCCTCAAGTTGCAGATGTAGCTGAGAATAGGTGTGGGAGAGTTGCTGCCTCAGTTTCCCCAAGGGAAGTCAGAGGGAAGGAACTCAGAAGAGCCACAGCTCCAAAAGCTCCAGGTTAAGAGGCTCAGGTGTGACCCGAACCCCACATTCTGTTAGCACCAGGGCCCTGTGGATCTGTCCGGGGCACTGTACTGACCTGTCCCCCAGGCCTAGGGGTCTTCCTGACACCTGAGGCTCCGTTTGGATTTCTCCTGCCGGGCCCTTGACATCTCAGATGGTAGAGAGCCCTGGCGGAGCTCGGGGAGCAGGACTAGCTCACACTGGAGGACTGAGTGTGCTCTGGTGATGGAACTCTGCAGCTGGTCAGGGTGGGGGCCGCCTGCCCAGCCAGCGCTGACCCCTCAACACACCTGCTCCTCCACGTTCCAGCCTGCAGGCTTTTGCGCACGCAGCTCACTCTGCTGTGGGTGTAGTGGACTCTTGAATTTCACTCCCAACCACCCGCTTCCATGCTTCCCTCGGGAAGTGACCCCTCTTCCACCCTTTGCCCAGGTAAAAGCCACGTATCGGCCTAGATTCCGACCTCTCCCTCCTCCCTACAGCATGTCTTGCCAGCTCACCCCGCAGAGCTCAGCCCTTCCTCTCCACGGACACCACCTAAGACACCATCATCTGCTTTAGCCACTCCCTAACCACACTGAACCCCAACCCCCGCCTTTTTTTTTTTTTTTTTTTTTTTTGAGACAGGGTCTCACTCTTGCCTGGGCAGGAGTGCAGTGGTGTGATCATGGCTCACTACAGCCTCCATCTCCCGGACTTAAGTGATTCTCCCACCTCAACTTCCCGAGTAGCTGGGACAGCAGATGCTTGCCACCACACCTAGCTGTTTTTTTTAAATTTTTAACAGAGACAGGGATTCATCATGTTGCCCAGGCTGGTCTCAAACTTCAGGATTCAAGTGATCCTCCCTCAGCCGTCCAAAGTGCTGGGATTACAGGCCTGAGCCGCCACACCCGGCCTAACACACTTAGCCCCTTTATGGCGTATCCTCCCACAGCAACCAGCAAAATTCGAAATGTCAGTGGGAGCATGTTGGCACCCTGCTTAGAGTCCTCTAGAGTCTTCTCCCACCTGCCTCCTATGACCTGTGAGACCTTCTGTGCGCCTCTCCCACCTGCCTCCTGTGACCTGTGAGGCCTTCTGTGCGCCTCTCCCCCTCTCAGACCTGCGCCCAGGCACACCCCATGGATATGTTCACACACAGACATAAAAAGTGCACACTCAGACTGGGCGCGGTGGCTCACGCCTGTAATCCCAGCACTTTGGGAGGCTGAGGCGGGTGGGTCACGAGGTCAGGAGATCGAGACCATCCTGGCTAACATGGTGAAACCCGTCTCTACTAAAAATACAAAAAATTAGCCGGGCGTGGTGGTGGGCACCTGTGGTCCCAGCTACTTGGGAGGCTGAGGCAGGAGAATGGCGTGAACCCGGGAGGCAGAGCTTGCAGTGAGCTGAGATCGCACCACTGCACTCCAGCCTGGGCGACAGCGAGACTCCGTCTCAAAAAAAAAAAAAGTGCACACTCACCTCCACCACTGCCCAGCTCACACTGTCCTGGCTTCTCTGGCCTTCTCTTCCTCCCTCAGGCAGTCCTACTCCCCTCTGCAGGGTGACTGCTGTGCCCCCACCCATCTCTTCCCCAGCACTCACCTGGCTGGACCAGGTCTCAGCTCAGTGGCCGCCTCCCCTGGGACCACCCAGCCTTCCCTCTTCCCAGCACTCACCCCTGCTGACTGTGCTCAGCTGGTGCATCCCTCGTCCGTCTCCCTGCCAGGCCTTGGGCTCTGCAGAGGTGCCCACTGAAAGCTTGTCCTGTGCCCTCTACACCTCAGAGGGGTTCAGAGCCAAGCTCCAGGACCCCTGCTGTCAAAAAGTGTTCCCTGGGAACAAGTGCAGGGAACAGTCCTGCAAGCAAGGGACTGCTTGCCCTGCTTTCGGACAGCCTTCTGAGAGCCAGTGAAGGCCAGCAGCTGGGCTGAACACTACATCATCCTCAGAACCACCCTGCACAGCCGGTGTGCTCCCCGCCATCGACAGGAAAAACGGGCCCTTAGAGGCACAGGCAACTTGCTCGGGGTTAGGTGCAGCGGGTGGCAGAGTCAGAATGTGAGGACAGTTGGGCCACTCACTGCATTGTGCCCAGGAGAGGACAGCTGCATGACAGTCTGCCATTCACAAAGCATGCCCAGCTGCAGGGCCTGAGATGCAGACACCCAAAAGAGTTCTTTCACCTTCTCAGGTGACCATTGTCGAAAAAGCTGACAGCTCCAGCGTGCTGCCCAGCCCCCTGTCCATCAGCACCAAAAGCAAAATGACATTCCTGTTTGCCAACCTGAAAGACCGTGATTTCTTGGTGCAGAGGATCTCTGACTTCCTCCAGAAAACACCATCCAAGCAGCCAGGCAGTATCGGGAGCAGGAAAGCCAGTGTTGTGGACCCTAGCACAGAGGTGAGAAGCCCCTTGGGAGCAGCAGGGTCGAGTTGGGCCCAGGAAGAGCCAGGGCATCCATCAGCCTCCCCGCTGGAGCCTGACCCCATGGTTCCGGCTGTGGGCCTCCGCCTAGGGGTGGATGTGTCAGAGCTGGCAAGAGACCCCTAGCCCAGACCCACACTGCCCAGCAACATCACAGCCTCTCTGCACCCCCAGCCACACACCCGGTACTCCTCACTCCTGCTGGGCCCATTGCCCATGAGGAACCTTCTCTGGCTGTCCTTTCTGCATTGCTGCTGCACTCAGAGCAAAGCCACACTGTGGAGGCCTGTACACTTCGGCTTTGTTCCCATGACCTTCCCTGCCAGGCGTTCAGGCTGAAGTTCTTGACGGTAGAACTGCAGTATCACTATTGTACCAGCAAACTTAACAAGAATTCCTTAATATCACCAAATATTGTATTCACACTTCCCCGTGTGCAAGTGTACTTTTCACGGTTTGATTATTTGAACTGAGGCAGACGAAAGTCACACATGTCACTCTTGGTTGATAGGTCTCTTAAATCTGTTTAATCTACGGGCTTCTGCTCCACCTAGCTCTCGTTTATTCTTCCACAATATTTTTTTGAAGGAATCGGTCACTTGTGCCATAGAGTCTCTCATCGTCTGGTTTTGCTGATTGCATCCGCTGCAGGCGTTTAGCAAGCTCCTGTGTCTCTTGTTTAAGTTGGTTGAGCGGTGAGACCGAGAGCCGTGATCACATTCAGGCTCAGCTGATTTTGGTTCTGGCAGGTCCGCCTGTGGGCAGGCTTGAGGTGCTGTTTATTCCCAACAAGAGATGTCTGGCAACCAGCCACCTCTCTATGCTACTGTCAGTCATTGAGAATATGCCTGGATCCAGCGGCCAGTGGCCAGCGGCATGCTCATTCCATTCCTCCTTTCGTCTGGGAGCTGAAATTCTCCCAAAGAGGGAAGCTGACCCCAGGCACAGTTCATAGAGGAAAGGTGGAATACATGTTTTACTCTTTCCTCTTACTCACCAGTTGTCAAAATAATGATGAGTTGGTTTTCTAGTGTCTTCCACATGTGACCAGTGAGTTTTTTGGTTTACTTTTTATTGTAATTATGAACGTATGGATTTAAGCAACTTGATGTGTGTCTTTCCACTGGAATCACTATGCTTATTCTGTCTGTGGCCAGAGGGGCTCATCTGGTCTAGCCCTGAGAGTCCCTGGGCACGACACTGGTCGTCTTTGATTCCTTGCTTTCTGGTGTGACAAGATGGATGTGCTGCTGCTGTCGTTGAGTCTGAATTTGCAAAAACATTTGGCCATTAGAAGAGTCCATATGCAAATTCACAGATCCAGCTTCTCTAGAAAAGTCAGTGCCCAGCCCTAAAGGCCCCATCCCATTGGGCAGCGGGCGTGGGAGCTGGGGCTGTGCGTGTCCTCCATGCTCTAGAGCCGTGTGTGGTCTGGCCCAGGCAGACCTTTACATTGTCTGCCCCAGTAATAGATGCTAAATAAATTACTACGTCAGTGAGCGCATGGGAAGGGGTGGGCGGAATCAATGTGGATTGCAGACATGAAGAAAGGTGTGGAGAAGGTTGGGCTTCATCTGGGATTTCAAGAAAGAGTGAAGTTGGATTGAGTGGCAGGGGCAGTGAACAGGGTGGTCGAGCCTCCTCTGCCTCCATGAGGCCCCACACTTCCTGAAAGCTGAGTAAGCACCACTCACGGCCCCTCCCAGGCACTCGGCTTCATGCATCCAAACACATTTTATTGCATTCCTGTTAGGTGCCAGCTGCTATTCTAGGCCCCAGGAGTAGAACAGTGAACACATCGGACAGAGTGCCTGTTCACTTAGAGCTGTATTCCAGTGAGGGAGGCAGTAAGCAAATAAACATACAATATGTCAGGCAGTGATAAGGGCTGTGGGTAGAAATAAAGCAGGATGAGGGGATCAGGAGTGCCAGGGGAAAGAAGGGGGCTCCATTTTCTCTCTGTTGCTCATGGGCAACCTCTCTGATCAGGCAGCACTGGAGGAGAAACTCGAAAGAAGCAGGGGAACTAGCCATAGCCTGTCTGGGGCAGGGTGTTGGAGGCAGAGAGCACAGCAAGCTGGGAGACAGGATTGGATGTGGCACGGGCTTCTGGGACCAGGGCTTAGGAGACTGACCAGGTGTAGGAGGTGAGACCAGAGAGGTGGCAGAAGGCCAAGTCACCGAAAGCCCGTAGGCCCTGTGAGTGCTGCAGCTTTGACTTCAGGTGAGAGGGGAAGCCAGTGAAGAGTCATGACCAGAGGAGGGCACGACCTGTTTACGTGTTAATGGGGTTACTGTGGCCGTCCATGTTGACAGTGGATTAGAGGTGCCCCGTCTAGTACAGCAGCCACGTGTGGCCATGGAGCACTGGAAATCCAGCGGGTGCCAATGGAAATGTGCTGTGAGTGTTCAGATCACTGTACACGGGTTTTGGAGACTTCGTATGAAAAGAAAAACGTAAAATACCTCCATCTTTTTTTTTTTGGGGGGGGGACAGAGTCTTGCTCTGTCACCTAGGCTGGAGTGCAGTGGGGCAGTCTTGGCTCACTGCATCCTCTGCCTCCCAGGTTCAAGTGATTCTCCTGCCTCAGCCTCCCGAGTAGCTGGGATTACAGGCGTCCACCACCACGCCCGGCTTATTTTGTATTTTTAGTAGAGACGGGTTTTTGCCATGTTGGCCAGTCTGGTCTTGAACTCCTGACCTCAGGCGATCCACCTGCCTCAGCCTCCCAAAGTGCTGGGATTACAGGGGTGAGCCACCGTGCCTGGCCACTCCATCATTTTTTAATTGATTCCTGTTGAAATGCGAGTATTTTGGATATATTGGATTAAGTCAAATATATTGTTAAAATTAATCTCAATAATTTACTTTAGGACTTTACAATGTGGCTACTAGAAAATTTACAATTACATTTGTGGCTCTCATCATCTCTCTTGGGCAGTGCTGGACTAGAGAGTGGCAAGAATAGAAGCAAGGAGGCCGGCTGGAGCCCATCACAGAAGCAGGGGCACAAGATGATGGAGTCGAGCATCAAGGGTAGGAACAGTGTAGGTGTAAGAAGGGGTCAGATTCAGGAGACGCTATTGTGATAAAATACACATAACAACATTTACCATTAAGTACATTGACATTGCTATGCCATCACCACCATCCATCCACAGAACTTTTTCAGTTTTGCAAAACTGAAACTCTGAACCCATTAAACAGTAACTCCTCAGCCCCCACTCCCCCAGCCCCTGGCAAGCACCATTCTACCTTTTTGACTTGAATTGAACTATTCTAGGTAATGCACATAAGTGGAAGCATATAGTATTTTCCCTTTTGTGCCTGGCTTATTTCATTCAGCGTGATGTCCTCCAGGTTCATCCCTGTTGTAGCGTGCTCAAGATTTCTTTTTTAAGGCTGAATCATATGCCATTGTATGGATAAGCCACGTTTTGTTCACTGTTGAAACTTGGACTGCTTCCACCTCATGGCTATTATGAGTAACACTGCTGTGAACATGGGTGTACAGATGTCTGTTTGAATCTTTACTTTCAGTTCTTTTGGGGACATACCCTGGAGTGGAATTGCTGGATTGTATAGCAGTTCTATTTTTAATATTTCAAGGAACCTCCGTGCTATGCTCTATCCACCAACTGTGCACCACAGTTGGAGGCCAGACCACCAACTGTGGCATGACTCTGTGCAGACACAGAGCCAGTAGCTGTGCTGAGGCAATGGCGGGAAGGAAGAGGGGCTCTGATAGTCCTAAGAGCCAAGGAATCCAGAAGTCACCAGAATACCCCTCACAAGAGACTACTCAGCAAATGGAAACCTCAACAAGTGAATCTGAGAGACAGCCAGTGAAATTGGGAGCCGATTTCTCAGGCTCCAGTTTATAGAGGAGGCTTTTTTTTATTAATGGAAGCACAAAATCCTGCTTTATTTCTACCCACAGCCTTATCGCTGCCTGACGTATTATACGGCTGAGGAAAGATCAAGAATGTGAGGGAAACCCATGCCCTTAACAAAAACTTCTCTTCTGAAAGACAAGAGCTCACCCCAAGAAAAAAAGGACTGGGATTGAACAGAGCAGGAACACTTGGGGTAAAGGAGAAAAGCTTTAGATACAAGAAAGAGGTGGCCAATCCCAGAAAGTACAGGAGCAAGGACTACACAGACCGACCACAGCAGGGGAAAGGCCTCTCCAGCTGTGGAGTTCAGAAAGCTACTCTGACCCACAACTGCCCGTACGTAGAACATCCTGCTGAAAGAACAGGAAAAGATGCTGATCACACCCTGTACAAAGATATTGCGGGGAGAAAGTGAACCAGATAACCTCCCACAGATAATGAAAGCACACCAGAAAAACATTCCTCCAGGCAGATGAAAACTGTGTCCTGATGTTTCTGAGTGATCTCAAAGGAATTAGAAAAACGACAGAAACTACTAAAGAATGGTATAAATTAAAAATGTTTAAAAAGCTCAGGTTAAAAGTGACTAGTCAACAGAAAAATATGAAGAGAGTTGACAGGACTCAGGAGGAAATAAGAAAAAAAAAACCAGATATTTCTGAAATGAAAATCAGGAACACAAGAATGAAAATACATTAAGGTAAATAAGGAAGAGATAGGAGAAAAATGGAGTCAGAGGAGACTCAAACAAATAGAGAAGAAGTTGTCCAGAGAAGGGATAAAGAAGTTAGGCAAAGAAGATCAAACTTACGTATAATCGTAGTGCCATCCCACACCCTTCCCAGAAAAAAGCAGTGGAATAACAGATAATAGAAACTGTGATTCAGGAAAACTGATAAAATAAGCTTGAACTTGTATAGTGGAAGGACACATTGAATGTCTAGAAAAATCAACACAAAATAGTCGATATTGACATAAAATCTCATAAAACTGTTCAATTTTAAAGATTAAAAAATTATTCCAGGCTGGGCACAGTGGCTCACACCTGTAATCCCAGCACTTTGGGAGGCTGAAGCAGGCAGATCACTTGAGGCCAGAAGTTCAAAACCAGCCTGGCCAACATGGTGAAACTCTGTCTCTACTAAAAATACAAAACTAAGCTAGGTATAGTGGCACATGCCTGGAATCACAGCTACTTGGGAGGCTGAGGCACAAGAATCACTTGAACCCAGGAGGTGGGAGAAGGAGGTTGCAATGGGCCACGATCCTGAGAGATTCCTCCTCAAGAGAGGTATCAGACTTTGTGATACAGTAACAACATTTTAGAGTAACTTTTTGTTGGGGGTTGGGGAGGGTGTCTCCTGGAGTGCAGTGGCACAATCTCGGCTCACTGCAACCTCTGCCTCCCAGGTTCAAGCAGTCTTGTGCCTCAGGCCCGTGAGTAGCTGGGACTACGTGTATGTGCCACCATGCCTGGCTAATTTTTGTATTTTTTGTAGAGATGGGGTTGAGATTTCACCATGTTGGCCAGACTGATCTCGAACTCCTGACCTAGGGTGATCCACCTGCCTCAGCCTCCCAGAGTGCTGAGATTATACAGAGTAACATTTTTAAGATATACAATAAAAGAAGCTGTGACCCAGGGATTTTATACCCAGCCAAACTGACGTTCAGGTATAAAGACCATAGGCTGTAAAGAACATGCAGAGGAGTTCAGGGGCTCTCTCAGCTTCTGTGGAGTCTGCTGGAGAACAGACTCCAGATAACCAAGGAGTGATGGAAGCAGCTTGGGCCTAACGACTGGTGGTAGCATTGATTATATTTAGCTGTGGAATTAAGGTTAGATAGTAGGAATAGAGGTGACAGTATATAAATGTTATAATCTCTGATGATGGAGACATAGTACAATCAAAACCTGAGGTTAGGGAGGTATATGAGGCTGGGCTTGATGGCTCATGCCTGTAATCCCAACACTTTGGGAGGCCGAGGCAGGCGGGTCACCTGAAGTTGGGAGTTTGAGACCAGCCTGGCCAATATGGTGAAACCTCGTCTCTATTAAAAATACAAAAATTAGCCGGGCATGGTGGCACACACCTGTAATCCCAGCTACTTGGGAACCTGAGGCAGGAGAATTGCCTGAGCCCAGGAGGCAGAGGTTGCAGTGAGCTGAGATCACACCTCTGTACTCCTGCCTGGGTGACAGAGCAAGACTCCATCTCAAAAAAAAAAAAAAAACGGAAGGTATATGGAAAGATATGGAAAATAGAATAAGCTCACTGATTGCCTTATTAATTAAAAATATATCCTTTTGATCAGATGTTGGCAGAGAGGGAGGAAAGTGGGAAGAAAAGGCCTGCTAGCTAATTTCAATATTGCTTGTAGTAGGGAACTGACATCTTAAAAAGAGAGGACTAAGAAACTATATAATGATATTAGCATAAAATGTTACAGTATAAATATACACTTTCTAACAGGGAAAAAAACTTGAAAGGGGGAAAGGAGACAGTGAGATTAAGCATCTCTTTCAAGAAATTTTGTATAAAGGTCAACAGAGTAATGGAGGTAACTTCTGGGAGGGCTAGAATTTTAATTGAAGTTTAACATATATATCCAAAAGTAAACATACGGTGTACAACTGGATGAATCTTAGCAGAGGGAGCATAATAGGTGAACAGCACCCAGCCAAAGTGAGGGTGGGCTTTAGAGGAGTAACAGTGCAGTTCTGTGCTGGGAGAGCGACTCCTGCAGAGAAGGCAGGGGATGGGGTCCAGGTGCAGGCAGGTGGGCGGGCAGGAGGGCACCCGTGGAGGGCTCGGATTGTTCCCTGTTCTCAGTTAAACAGGAAGAAGTGTGGTTCAGTGGGATGCAAGGATGGCAAGTGGTTTTGGAGGTTTATGTGAGGTGGTTACCTCGGGGAAGAGGGGAGGACTGGACTAGGAATACATAAGATCCCAGGCAGCTCTGAGCACCCACCTGAGGCCAGTAAGCCCGAATGTAAGGTGGGACTTGAGCCAAGCTTCTGCCGAAAGCCGCCTGGTCCCTGAGCTTGGTGCCACGCTTGCCGCCTCGCCAGGAGCACACGTTGGCTGCACGCCACACACCCGGCGGTCTGGCCCCTTCCCTGGCCAGGAGCACACGTCTGCTGCACGCCACACACCCGGCGGTGTGGCTCCTTCCCTGGCACTGAGATGTGTGATCCTCCAAGGCACCTCACAGCCTGCGAGCCCGTGTGTGTCCTAGTCGGTCCCTCTGGGGGAGCTCAGGTGGGAAGCAGGATCTCCAGGCAGGCAGTCAGTCTGCGCTGGGGCCGTGCCCACTGGATTCAGGCAGCTTGTCGTCAACATTTGTTTAAGTGGACCCAAAATCCATTTCTAACATCACAGGGGCCAGAGGGGTAGACTGTGGGTGTGAACCTAGCAGAGTTCTCTCTTTTTTTTTTTCCTTTTTCCTTTTATATTAATAACAACTTTATTGAGGTAAAATTGATACGCAATACACTGTACATATTTAAGGAATACAATTTGGTACGTTTTAACAGGTATACGCCCATGAAGCCATCACCACAGTCAAGATCAGGGTTCTCTCAAAAAAACACAGAATGTGAAGTGTTTTAGGAGGGCGCCCAGCACCCTGGCAGCTGCCCCAGCCCTGGGTGGAGTGGGACCGTGGCCACGGGACCAGAGCCAGTGGGAGGGTGTGAGGGGTAGAGAGCCCAGCCCAGGCCAGAGCCCACCATGGGGAATCGACCACCTGCCCAGCCAAGAAGTTCAGGCAGTCAGCTGGCCCTGGTCGAGCTGGGCTCTCCCCCACTGGACTTTGCTTTCTGCCAAGACAGCATCACTCTCAGGCCGGTGTGGCACCATGATGGCAGCAGCAGGCCTTGCATGCTCCCTGGGTTATCCCAACACTCCTGCAGAAGGGCCACTCATTTCCTTGGTAGCAACCGGGTGACGCAGTCGCCCTAAACCCACCCTGAGCCCAGCCCAACATCACAGGCCATCACCCAGCCCTCTGTGCAGCCCAGGAAGCATGGGCCCGAGGGTGGGCAGGGGTGTGCCTCCACGTTAGGATAGGGCCTCTCCTGTCCTTTGCACTGACCCCCCTCAGAAAAGGGCCCCACAGGGTGAGCCCAGAACCCGCTCCCTGAGACTGACTCGCTGGTGAGAGTGGGGTTAATTACTGAGGACTCGGTGTCCAGCAGCCAGAGAGGAGCTGAGGGCTGAGCTGCAGCCACAGCCTCCTGCCCAGCCAGACAGGCTCTTCTCCGTGCACCGTTTGCCCCCATGGCCCTTCTTGCACCGGGCCCCGATCCAGCTCTGGATGGATGGGCGCATCAGAGGCCACCTGGCAGCACAGTTGTTAGGGCGTCCCCTTCCCTGTTTTATTTTCTAGTCTTCCCCAGCTCCTCAGGAGGGGTCGGAGCAGCCCGCCAGCCCAGCCTCTCCCCTCAGCAGCCGCCAGAGCTTCTGTGCGCAGGAGGCGCCAACCGCATCCCAGGGCCTGCTGAAGCTCTTCCAGAAAAACTCGCCCATGGAGGACCTTGGAGCCAAGGGGGTGAGCCCTGAGCGCCGGCACTCCAGCCTCCGTCAAGAGCGGAGCCCTCAGGAGGAAAGCTGGAGCCAGTCCTGGGCCTGGGCCTTCCCTCAGGGCCCTGGGCTGACCGCTGGGCAGTGCCCACCCAGGCTGCACCCTGGCAGCGTGAGACGGAGCAGGCACTCTCTGGGGGGCTCCGCTGACCTGCTCAGTGTGCTGTTTGCCACGGACTCCAGGCCTCTGAAGGGAAGGGCCCTCCCGCTGAGGAGCTGGTCTCCTGAGCCTTGGGAGGTGTGGCTCAGCGCGGCCTGGTCTTTCCCGGGAATTGCGAGGAAGGCCACACTTGCTGGCCAGCACTGTCTGGAGTGTTCACGAGGCTTCCGCGGTGGCCTAGGCCTCGGCACTCAGATGCGCTTCGGCCCCCAGGCTCCCTGATGCGCTTTTCCCTCAGGCCAAGGAGAAGATGAAAGAGGAGTCATGGCACATCCACTTCTTCGAGTACGGGCGTGGCGTGTGCATGTACCGCACAGCCAAGACGCGGGCACTGGTCCTGAAGGGTATCCCTGAGAGCCTCCGGGGAGAGCTGTGGCTCCTCTTCTCCGGTGAGTGGGGTGCAGCCACCCCCAGCCTCAGCTCAGCCAGTCAGTCCCCAAGCTCTCCCCGTGTGAGCTCGTCTGTCCTGAGCCGGCCTGGAGTTGGCCAGGCAGGAGCTCCCAGCTCTTTCACACAGCCGGGAGCCGGGCTCTGGGCTCTGGGCTCTGGCCCGGGACCCAACCAGAAGGAGCATCTCGAGGGACAGAGGCTGGGGAATGGGCACTCTGCTGGCCGGGTGGTGCCCTCCCGCCCACAGCGGGAGGGAAACAGGTCCCCTAGAGGCCTCCTTTCCTTGGGACAGGCTCTGACAGCATTCACACCCGTGGTTGCTGGAAGAGGCAAGTCAGCCACTTGAACTTTCGGGTAGAGCACCCTCCCCAGGAGCACAAGGGAAACCTTGCCTCGCAGCTTGTGCTTGACCCCAAGTCCCACCTCTCCTCTGTGGGGCACCCGGTGACTCCAACCTGCCCTGTTACTGCCCCCAAAGTACCAGAAGAAGGACAGAGACAGCTGGCACCCGTGTCTCCCCAGGGGCCTGGAATGAGATGGTGACTCACCCCGGGTACTATGCTGAGCTGGTGGAGAAGTCCACCGGGAAGTACAGCCTGGCCACAGAGGAGATCGAGCGAGACCTGCACCGCTCCATGCCCGAGCACCCTGCCTTCCAGAACGAGCTGGGGATTGCTGCCCTCCGGCGGGTGCTGACTGCCTATGCCTTCCGAAACCCCACCATCGGCTACTGCCAGGTAAGGGGCCTGACAGGGGCCCAGAGACAGCATCTGCCACCAGAGGTTCACAGGAGCAGGTCCCTGTGGTCCCAGGCCTGTGTGGTGACCCTGCCTTGTGTCCCAAGGAAGGAGCCCAGCAGAAAAAGATGTAATTTAAAAACAGTATTAATTGCTCATCGCATCCCCATGCCGAATAGAAGTCGTCGTCTTTGTACTTTTGTCTGAGTCCCAGCAGCATTTGATTGTTGTATGTGTTTGGTGAAACAGGCACATACAGAACATAAAATGTCCCATCTTCACTGTTTTTAAGCGTGCAGCTCAGTGCTCTAAGCACATTCACACTGTTGCACGCCCGTCACCGCCATCCATCCCCAGACCTCTCTTCATCTTGCAAAACCACAGCTCTGTGCCCATTAAACATGCCCCGATCACCATTAGCAACCACTGTTCTACTTTCCATTGCTATGAATTTGACTACTGTGTCTCATATAAGTGAAATAACACAGTATTTGCCTTACTGTGCCTGGCTTATTTCACTTAGCAAGATATCCTCAAGGGTCATCCATGTCATATGAATGTGTCAGAATTTCTTTCTCAGGCTCCATCATATTACATAGACCACATTTTCTTTTCTTTTCTTTTCTTTTTTTTTTTTTTTTTTTGAGATAGAATCTCACTCTTGTTTCCCAGGCTGGAGTGCAGTGGTGCAGTCTCAGCTCACTGCAACCTCTACCACCCAGGTTCAAGCGATTCTCCTGCCTCAGCCTCTTGAGTAGCTGGGATTACAGGCATGTGCCACCATGCCCAGTTAATGTTTTGTATTTTTAGTAGAGACGGGGTCTCGCCATGTTGGCTAGGCTGGTCTTGAACTCCTGACATCAGGTAATCCACCTGCCTTGGCCTCTTAAAGTGCTGGGATTACAGGCGTGAGCCACTGTGCCTGGCCAGTATTTCTATTTTTAATTTATTTTAAATTATTATTATTATTTTTAGAGACAGGGTCTTGCTATGTTGTCCAGGCTGGTCTCAAGCTCCTTGGACCAGGGGATCTTCCGGTCTCAGCCTCCCAGGGCATGTACCACCACACCCAGCTAATATTTTTTTTTTAGACATGGGGTCTCACTGTCTTGCCCAGACTGGCCTCAAACTCCTAGGCTCAAGTGATCTTTCCGCCTCAGCCTCTCAAAGTGCTGGGATTATAGGCGTGAGCCACCAGCCACCATTCCTGGGCTTTTTTTTTTTTTTTTTTTTTTTTTGAGACAGGATCTCCTTCTGTTGCCCACACTGGATCTCAGTGGCATGATCATGGCTCACTGCAGCCTCCACCTACTGGGCTCAATCGATCCTCCCACTTCAGCCTCCTGGGTAGCTGGAACTACAGGTACACACCACCACGCCCAGTTACTTTTTGTATTTTTTATAGAGATGGGGTCTCACTGTGTGGCCCAGGCTGGTCTTGAACTCCTGGGCTCAAGTGATCCGACCTCCTCAGCCTCCTAAAGTGCTAGGATTACAAAGTGTGAGCTACTGTGGCCTGGCCTATTTTTAATTTTTTGAGGAACTCCATACTTCCTCCCCAGCAGCTGCACCATTTTATATTCCCACCAGCAGTTCACAAGGGTTCCGATTTCTCCACATCCTCATCAACACTTGCTATATTCTGTTGTTGTTAGAGTGATGGGCATGAGGGTATCTAATTGTACTTTAGGTTAGCATTTCTCGCAGCTTTTGATTTTAAATCTAGGCATTTTCCTGGCCAAGTCATATGGCTTTCTGTTTGCCTTAAAGGTCTTGTTAGCAGCTAGGGCTGTGTGTGGTCCTAGTTGTGCACCGAGTGGGTGGCCTTGGTGTGGGGCTCTGGCCTTGTGGCTCACCTCCACATCAGCTTGGTCATAATCCCACCTCCAACACCCAACACCACTCCGCAGAAGTGTGATGTGTTGATGTTCACCTTCTCTGGTTTCCCAGTGCCTTCTGACCCAGTTTGAAGGAGTTGGCAGACTCTCTGTTCCATCAGTTTCCTACAAATTGCCTTTTGACATTTCCCAGAGTTGGGTAGGGGCAGTTTCTCATTACCGGATGCCCAGCCCTCCTGAAGAGGCAGATTTGCTTGTAGGAGGAGGCCATTAATCTTCACCACGAGAACCTGAAAAATAATAAAAATAACAACAACAAAAAGAAGATCATGTGGGCCCTTGCAGGGAGGGGTGGCTGGGAGGGGTGGGGAGAGACAGTTTTATTTGCTGGCCAGCAGTGCAAGCCTTCCCCGGCTGTCTCTGTGCCCGGCAGGCAATGAACATCGTGACCTCGGTGCTCCTGCTCTATGGCAGTGAGGAGGAGGCCTTCTGGCTCCTGGTGGCCCTGTGCGAGCGCATGCTGCCCGACTACTACAACACCAGGGTGGTGGGTGAGTGTCCCCGGGTGCTGCCTCGCCTGGGTCTCCAGGTGCCTGCTGGTTCCATGAGGGTGGCAGCCCTTCCCAGGCCAAGCTCCAGGCTTCACGTGGGTTCCCTAGGAGTTAGAGGGTAGTATTACACATTCGGTGGTTTATAAAAGTCCCCTCAGAGCCTAAATTCCTATCCATCTAACTTCCTGTCAACTTTTTGATTATGGAAAATTTCAAACATCAAAACTAGAGAGTATATATCCCCCATGTAACCTGATGCTCAACTTTACTGAACTCATATCCAGTGAAATCTGTTATGAAGTGGAAATGGACTTGCAAGAGTGTTTAATTAGGTTCATATTTAAGCATGTTATCCTGTCCTTCCCCTGCTGTCTGGTGTTTGGAGTTACCGCTCTTGGGGTCCTTCAGAGCTGCGTCTATTCACAATCATCAGGATGGGACAGAGTCATTGAGGGTGCTGTTTACCTCTCATGCCTTACGGAGAAATCAGTATTTCCCCAAAATAAAATTCAAGTGTAGTAGAAGAAATAGTTATTTCGCCCAGTGGTTTGGGAGCTGTAGAGAGACTTGAAGGGTTTTTTCGTCCTTGTTTTCTCCCAGCACTCCAAGTCTCCCTCAGCCCTCACTGCACAGCTGGCAGGGCTGGAGTGGCCAGGGCTCGTACGCTGCAGGTGAGGGCCCACCCAGGCCACAGGGTGGGCTCACCATCAGCCTCGCTCATCCTGCCCGCAGGAGCCCTGGTGGACCAAGGCATCTTCGAAGAGCTCACGAGAGACTTCCTGCCGCAGCTCTCGGAGAAGATGCAGGACCTGGGGGTGATCTCCAGCATCTCGCTGTCCTGGTTCCTGACCCTCTTCCTCAGCGTCATGCCCTTCGAGAGCGCCGTGGTCATCGTCGACTGCTTTTTCTATGAGGGCATCAAGGTGATCCTGCAGGTGGCCCTGGCCGTCCTGGACGCCAACATGGAGCAGCTGCTGGGCTGCAGCGACGAGGGCGAGGCCATGACCATGCTGGGCAGGTGACATGCCGGGTTCCTTCTCCTGCTGGGGGCTCACAGCAGAACCCCTCACCAGCCCCGGGCACTGTCCAGTCAGCCTGAAGTGACTGTGCCCACCAAGTGCCAGGCTGCAGCTGGACCCGGGGGTGCTCTGGGGTCAGGAGGCGGCTCCTTTCTAGTGGGAGATGAAGCAGCGCTCAGTGATAGGTGCCAGGAGGAGTAAAGCAGGCACTGCGGGCAGAGCATGCTGGCTGGAGGGCCACCGCTCAGATGTAGGGTTGGAGATGCTTCCCCTGAGGGCAAACCAGAGCCAAGATCCAGTGACCACAATTCCAGTTGGTGGCACAGCTGGGCATTTCATGTCCACCAGGTGGTCCCGGTCATACCTCTCCAAGCTCAGCTGCATTGCAGCCCCCATGCCCTGGAGGGAGCAGGCCTGCCCTGGGCCCGCTGGAACAGCTGGATGAGCTGATGTCCCACTAGTCACGCCAAATGTCCAGGGTCATCCCAGCCCCTCCACCCCCTCCTTAGTCCCCACATCCCATCTCTTGCAGATTCTGTCTGGGATCCAGCCCCTTCCCTTCAGCCTGCTGCCTCAGCCCAGGCCCACCATGCCCTTTCCCTGGGGTTCCCCTCTCAGTCTTTGACCTGCCTGCATCCCATGACTCTGATCAGACCTGGCCCTGCCCCTTCCCTGGGTCCTCTGTACAAAGGCACTGTCTGAGCCTCCAGCCTGGCCTTCAAGCCCCGGCCCCTCCTGGCTACACTCTGCCCTGCCCTGAGCTCTGTGCAGTCCCACCCTCCTACATAGCGTATTTGTCCGGACTGGAATGCCCCCAGCCCCCAGGAACAGCCTGGGACTCTGCCACTTGCCCATGGCCAGGCCAGGTGCTGCCTGGGACTCTCTAGATCCAGCAGGGTTGTCACCTCCCTACTGTGGGCCTAAGTAGCTTTTGGTCCACACTGATGTTAAGATACTCAGCCTGTGGCCGGAGTCTGTGGCTGGTTTTCCTGCCGCTTCCTACAATAGGCGGATAGGGCCTCCTCCAGAGCAGGGGTCTGACTGGGGATATGACCAGGGCTATGGGCATGGGGAGTCAGCTACCTCCTCCCACCTGAGTGTCAGGCTCAGCCCAGGGACCCAGAGAGGCCATGAACTCTGGCGGGGCTAGGTCAGCTGACAGAGGTAGGGCTCCATCCCCAGGACTGTGTCCCTAGAGAAGCTGATTCCCTGGGCTGCAGCAGGCCTCCCCACACCTGACTTTCTCCTGCGACTCAACCTTTGATCCCTGAATCTTCTTGGCCAGGGCGAGAAGGTCCCACATCCCCAGGGCCCCGCCAAAGGGAGGAAGCTCGTCATCCTTCCAACTGGGTAGGATCTGGGGTTATAAGGCGTTCCTGCCCAAGGGACCCCCCCACTGACTAAGAAAACAGCCCAGCGTCCTCAGGGTTAGTGCTCAGGCCTTGTCGGGGGCACTGCCCTGTAGAGGGCTCCCCAACTTGCTGGGGGCGCTGCCAGGGCACACCTCTGCCCTCCTGCAGGGTGCCCAGTCCTCTGCACACTCCTTATTAGGAGTCTGCATAAAGATTGGGTCCCTCCGCATCACCCAGCTGTGGGAAGGAGGCTCCCTCTGCCTGGGCGTGGTCTGGACTGTTGTCCTCTGTCCTTTGCAGATACCTGGATAATGTGGTCAACAAGCAGAGTGTCTCTCCTCCTATCCCGCACCTCCGTGCCTTGCTGAGCAGCAGCGATGACCCCCCTGCAGAGGTGGACATCTTTGAGCTCCTGAAAGTGTCCTATGAGGTCAGCACCCAGTGGGGCCATTTTGGCCAGGCCGCTCCATCTGGCATGTGGGTTGGGGTGGCTATGGGCAGGTGGTGGCCCTCTGCCCTGCAGTTGGCTTGATCTCACCAAGTCACCTCTCCCTATAGAAATTCAGCAGCCTGAGGGCCGAAGACATTGAGCAGATGCGGTTTAAACAGAGGCTGAAAGTGATCCAGTCCTTGGAGGACACGGCCAAGAGGAGTGTGGTATGGGTGCCAGCAGGGCTGGGCAGGGGCTGGGCTGGGGGGGCAGCAGTGCCTTCCCCACAGAGCAGGGTGGGTACAGGGCTCCACCGCACCCAGTCTCCTACACTGCTTTGGTATGTACATCATGGTAGGATTCATGGGACCGGGATCCAGGGGTGTAGGTGGGAATGTGGGGAGAGGTTCCAGTCACTTTTCTCTGCTGGTGGATGTGTCACCGGGAAGCTTCTCAGATGGCTCCCACCCTGAAAGCCACATGCCCAGCCCTCTGGGCCGAGCCCGCCCAGCCTGGCTTCCCATGTGTTCCCTGCCCCACTCCCAGGTAGCAACATGCCGCCATCCTCCGCACACCCCAAATGGCATGTGTCTGCCACAAGCTGCTGTTCTCATCTCTAGAGGGGCCAGGCCCTCCCTGCCACCCTGTGCTGCAAGACCTGTTTGTGGTCTCTGCCCCCAAAGGCAGGGACTTCCTCCATTGTTTCCACATTCCCAGCCCTCCTGCAGGCTTGTAGGACACTGTAAGGACATTGGGTCGCAGCACCACAGACTGACTGCTTTGGCCAATTAAAGTACAGGAGCATTGGCTGGCAGGTTCTCGGCCTCCTTCCACAGAGCTGGCACCAGGGTCTCTGCAGGGATCCAGATGACGGGAGCCAAATGAGTATCCCTCACTCTGCGACCTCAGCTGCACGTTGAGGACAGAGGCTCCCCCACGCCCATCCTGGGAAGGGGCCCGGAGTGTGAGAGAGAGGCTCCCCCACGCCCATCCTGGGAAGGGGCCCGGAGTGTGAGAGAGAGGCTCCCCCACGCCCATCCTGGGAAGGGGCCCGGAGTGTGAGAGAGAGGCTCCCCCACGCCCATCCTGGGAAGGGGCCCGGAGTGTGAGAGAGAGGCTCCCCCACGCCCATCCTGGGAAGGGGCCCGGAGTGTGAGAGAGAGGCTCCCCCACGCCCATCCTGGGAAGGGGCCCGGAGTGTGAGAGAGAGACTCCCCCACGCCCATCCTGGGAAGGGGCCCGGAGTGTGAGAGAGAGGCTCCCCCAAGCCCATCCTGGGAAGGGGCCCGGAGTGTGAGAGAGAGGCTCCCCCACGCCCATCCTGGGAAGGGGCCCGGAGTGTGAGAGAGAGACTCCCCCACGCCCATCCTGGAAAGGAGCCCGGAGTGTGAGCTGAGTGGTAGGTGGGGGGCCAGGGATGGGCTGTGGGCCTCGCTCTCTCCCGAAGGGTCCGCCCTTGAGTGCTGGGCCACTGAGAGGGCGGTTCACACCCTTGCCCTTGTCTGCCGAGGATGCTCTCACAGAGTGCCGTACTTCTGTGCCAGGAGCTTGTGATCCAGCTATATACCCTGTTTCTCCTTCCTTCTAGGTCCGAGCTATACCTGTGGACATTGGTTTCTCCATTGAAGAGCTGGAGGACCTTTACATGGTGTTTAAGGTGACAGCTCAGAGCCAGGGCAGGACCCGTTCCTAGCTTCCTAGCTTCCTGCCAGAAAAGAAATGGATCTAAGAGTATCCTCTTAGAAGTAGATAGAAATAGGGAATAGAATAGAAAAACAGAAACAGATCTAAGTGCATCCTCAGATGCAGTTGCCATGAACCTCCTGTGGTAGAATCGAATCCCTCTTGGAGTTTAGGCAGGACCTCTTAAATGGCAGCAAATCCATTCAAGTCATCTTACACAGAAGAGGGAATACATTGCCCCTGTATTGCTAGACTGAAAAGTCTAGCAATGCACAGCTTCAGGCATGGCTGGATCCAGGTGCTGAAATGTGCCGTCAGGCTTCCCCATCTCTGATGTCCTCTGCACTGCTCTTCCTACACCATGCCAGGACTGTCGTCACAGCTCCAGGGTCATACTCTCTTCTCAGTAATCCCAGTGCAAAGAGAATTTTTCTTTCCCTTGTGCTTTTAGCAAAAGACCCAGCCTTAATGGTTGGAATCTGCCTTTCTGTTGTTGTTGCCAGTTCCCGTCCACCTCTCCAGCTGCCTCAGGTTCCGTGCTCAAGGTGGCTGCTGCGCTGTGGCCCTAGCGTCACAACAGTTGAGCCAGCTCTGCCTGCCTCCTAGAGAGGTCATAGGAGCGAGAGCAAGCCTCAGGCCTCTTGTTTCCCTGGAGCCCTGCCAGGAAGGCTCAGCCCTTCTCTGGGGCCAGCAGACCAGCTCTGCCCCCTGCAGGCTGCCAAGGACTCTGTCTCTCAGCCAACCCCCTCCCCATCTGTTAACAAGGGGCTGATGACAGCCTGAGAGCTTTCGGGAGGTGCTGCAGTGTCTGGCCCGTGCTTACCGCCCCAGGGCTCCGCAGGCTTGGACAGAGGGGGAGGGTGGACACACCACCAGCCTAGGGGTCCCCTCGACCCACAGGCTTAGCGGCTGGACCGTCTCACCAGACCGTGTCCCACAGGCCAAGCACCTGGCTAGCCAGTACTGGGGGTGCAGCCGCACAATGGCCGGCCGTCGGGACCCCAGCCTGCCCTACCTGGAGCAGTACCGGATTGATGCCAGCCAGTTCCGGGAACTCTTTGCCAGCCTGACACCCTGGGCCTGTGGCTCCCACACACCTCTGCTGGCAGGGCGCATGTTCAGGCTCCTGGACGAAAACAAGGACTCGCTGATCAACTTCAAGGAGTTCGTGACAGGGATGAGTGAGTGCCTGCAGGGCCTACCAGGGGCTTGACCCTCCCTCACCCTTTCCCAGGAAGCCTCCAAATGCCAGCATCTCCTGTCTGTTCCCCCTGCAGCAAGTAGGGGGCAGCTTGAGCCCCTGGCCCTAGATACGGGAAGAACAGTTTACCCACGGGAGCCGAGATGGGGTCCAGCAGGAGCCTTGCCCGCTCCCCTCCCTCATGCAGTCTGGGGCTGCTAGAAGCTGGTCTGCCAGCCCCAGGGAAGGGCTGAGCCTTCCCAGCAGGACGCCAGGGAGACAGGAGATCTGGGACTCACCCTGTGACCTCTCCAGGAGGGAGTTGGGCAGCACAGGCTGTGAAGAGGGTCCTACTCGGACCCCCTGGAAGGGGCTCTGCAGCCATGTTGCCAGACCCAGCCCTCCCTGGCCTTCTCCACAGGCGGGATGTACCACGGGGACCTGACAGAGAAGCTCAAGGTGCTCTACAAGCTACACCTTCCCCCAGGTGAGAGCCTCCTGCCCACTCCCCAGCCAGGGTCTCCCACTTGTCCAGAAGTTCAGCTGCAGAGGACAGGCCTCTGTGAGACTGTGGGGCCTCGAGGGGGCACAGCAGCGTCGCAGGCTGGAGGTTCACATTGGAGGAGAGGGAGCGGGAGCTTGAGCACTTCACAGAGGTCTGAGAGCAGGGCCTTGGCCTGGGAAGGGACGTGGAGGAGAATCCCATGGGTGACCGGGCACTGCTGGGTACAGAACTCCCACCGAGGAGGCAGCTGGACCCAAAACCCACTAGGAGGGCCATGAGTGGAGCTTCAGGGCTGGAACCGAAACTGCTGCATTTATCTGTCAAGTTTCTTAAGGGTTTATTCCCAGAGTTTCAGCTAGAGAATCCTGTCACATGGCCATGAGGAGGGGCCACTTCTCTCTGGCCTCTCAGTGGTGCTGTAGCCTAGTGGGGCTGCACTGGCGACAGGCTGTCTGTGCAGGGGGCAGGGCTCAGCAGGAGTGGCTGCATGGACAATGCTCCAAGGAGGGGTCATCTCCCTCATCACAGAAGGAAACAAAGGCGCAGGCAGGTGGAAATCCTGGGCTGGGCACTCTGCTGTGGCTGGACCTGCCCCAGGTCCCTGCTGTCGCTTTGCCATCTGAGGTTAGCAGCTGCCCTCAGAACCGACCCCGGGGATGTTTAGAATACTGGGGCTGAGCTTCACCCGAGGAGATTCTCACTTGATTGCCTGTGATGGGGCCCAGACCTGTGGTTTTTAAAGCTGGCAGGCCATTGCTCTGTGCCTCCAGAGCTGAAGGCTCTTGACATAGCTGTTCTCGTTTGTGGCTGGCTCACCAGAGAGGCCGTGGTAGGACAGACCCCACTGGGCCTGGTCCCAGGGTTGAGAGCATGCGGGGCTACCCTGAGACTCCTGAGCCTCCTCAGCCTGCCCTGCCCTGTCCTGTCCAGACACAGAGAACACTTGGGCTCTGCTGGGCTTGTGGCCCATGCCCGCTACACTCACCCAGGACCATGCGATCCGCAACCCTGGGTACTGCTTGGTGACCTCCAGCAAAGACTGCACTGAATGAGGCCGGCCAGCACGCACAACGCGGCCCGACCTCTGAGCTACCCAAAGGGAGAGCAGCAAGTTGCCTGTGCGTGGCTGGTTCCTGTGCGCCCATAGGAGCATGAAACGCCCCCAAAGGGCCCACTGGCCAGATGGTCACTGGGGCAGGCGGGCAGCTGCCATTCACTGGACTCCTAATTGTGTTGATTGGATTTTTACCTGGGACATGTATTTCCTTTTCAAACACAATGTCAAAGTCAGGAAAGCGGCTGGATGCAGTAGGAGGCCCAGGCGGGTGGATCACTTGAAGTCAGGAGTTGGAGACCAGCCTGGCCAACACGATGAAACCTGTCTCTACTAAAAATACAAAAATTAGCTGGGCGTGGTGGTGTGTGCTTGTAGTCCCAGCTACTTGGGAGGCTGAGGCGGGAGAATCACCTGAACCCGGTAGGTGGAGGTTGCAGTGAGCCGAGATCGTGCCATTGAACTCCAGCCTGGGCAACAAGAGCAAAACTCCAGGCTGGGTGCGGTGGCTCACGCCTGTAATCCCAGCACTTTGGGAGGCTGAGGTGGGAGAATCACTGTAGCCCAGTAGGCGGAGCTTGCAGTGAGCTGAGATCATGTGACTGCACTGCAGCATGGGTGATAAAGTGAGAGTCCATTAAAAAAAAAAAAGCTGAGGAAAGTAACAAATAACCAGAACCAATCATCACCATCAAAACTATTACCGGGCACTGTCATGGGCAGGTGCTGGGACTGGCCAGGCTCGTGGGCAGGGAAAGCAAGGCTCTGCCCAGGGCTGGAGGGAACTTACTCTGAGAGGATCTCCTTGTTTCCTCCTGCCCTCACTCTGCCTTCTCTCCAAGCACAGCTCTGAGCCCAGAGGAAGCCGAGTCAGCCCTGGAGGCGGCCCATTATTTCACAGAGGACAGCTCCTCAGAAGGTGAGCGGCCACTGGAACACCCGACATGCCCAGCCAGCACTCTGCAGCCACCGCCGCCTTCCTGTGGGGCTCGGGCAGTGGCCAGCAGTCCCACCTGGGCTCAGGGAGCAGGCCGCATGGGGTTCTCCCCAGGGGACCACGGGCTGGGCTCTGCCATGCTGGCGGGGGCTGGGGCCGCCCCCTGTGGATGTCCTCACTCCTGTTTCTCTTGTGTCTCTGTCTTCCTGGACCTTGGCTCCTCCCCACTCTGCCCCTCTGCCTCTCCTCTGCTGTCCCTTCCAGCATCTCCTCTGGCCTCAGATCTGGATCTTTTCCTGCCCTGGGAGGCTCAAGGTCAGTCCCTGGAAGGCAGGGGCGCCCCCTGTACCTCCTAACACTCTTCCTGCACTATCAGGAAGCCTGGAAGCTCTTTGTCCCAGGGACCTCTCTGGGACTTCATCCTCTGGGGCATAAGTTCTGAGAAGGACCCAGAAGCAAGCCACTCCTCTGCACCGCCTCCGTGTCTGCTGTAGGTGGGCGGTAAATAAGGCCCCCACACTAGGCGCCAAGCAGGCCCAGGGCAAGGCCTCCACAGCCACATGTTAGAGACATTCTGTCTTCCTGTGAGTAGGAAACAAATACAAAATGCTGTCATTGGAGCGTGTGAAAGACACAGTGTGGCTGAGTGGGGGCTGGAAAGAATAGTGGATGCTTTCCTAGGAAAAATCTTCATGTTCCACGTCACGTTTTTTGTTAAGGAAAAACACGCATGTTGAGTGCCTGTTAGAACTCATCCCTGTGCTATGTTTAAAGCCTGTTGGGAGCATCTGATCCCAGGTGATGGGAGCATGCTAGGCCCTGGGCTTTCGCAGTCGAGCTGGTGACATGCAGCACACTTGCAAAACCGACCATAATGCCACCTGGTGGTTTCACATGGGGGATAATGCACACCAAGGAACCGACTCAAAAGAGAACCAAAAATAGTGTGTACCAAGATGCCCATGGCAGTCCTGGTGACAGTGGCAGAGGCTGACTTGAGCTTGAGGACCTTGATTTCAAGGACAGAAACTACAGAAGCAGGTACACCTTCTGTTGTACATGGAACCAGCAGGCCACTCTAGGCTTGTCCCGCATGCTTCTGGGAGCGGCATGTTGGTGCAGAGCCCTGGCCTCAGACCGCATGTGGCCCCCAGGAAGCAGGGCCTCCATTCCAGGGTGAGTTGCCTGAGCCCAGAGAGGTGTGCCCTTCACTGCCACCAGACAGCCAGCGAGAGCAGCTCAGAACTGGGGTGCTGCCGACCTGCCTGAGGTGCCCCCACCAGCCACACTGCCTTTGGGGAACAGCTCCAGGAGAGCTGGTCGGCTGCTTCTCTCCCCAGGTGCATGTTCCCACGCAGGGAGTATAGTGCGCGCCAGTTCCGGCAAATGTCCTCCCCGAAACGCTGCACCAAGCACAGGAGCTGTGCACAGACCACCCCTCAGTAACAGGCACAGCAGGCGCGGGTGGAAGGGGTCATTAGGGTTCCCCTGAGTTCTAGCAGGAACATTCCCCAGAGTTCTAGCAGGAACTATAGAATTCGTTAGTCCTCAGACTGGTCTATAGCCCTCATCATTGTTCACGTCAAAACC
The DNA here is from genome assembly GCF_000001405.40 of Homo sapiens. Lineage (NCBI taxonomy): Eukaryota > Metazoa > Chordata > Mammalia > Primates > Hominidae > Homo > Homo sapiens. The sequence goes on along the minus strand of NW_016107298.1, from coordinate 631,729 downwards.
AGCATGTTGAGACTTGTATTCATTTGAAAAAAGGAATTGAGGGTTTGGCGGCCTTTATTTTAACCTGACCAAGTGAGGGAATGCTCAGGCCCTTTTGCTCTGGTGCCATAGGGCGGGGCTGGGCGGGCCAGGCAGGAGGTGTGGCATGGGAGACCTGCTCCCCAGGGCCTGGCCTGGGGCTGGCTGTACAGAAACACAGACTACATCTCAAGGACCCCAGGAGCTTGCAGTCCCAACAGCAGAATGTTATTCATGTTCTTTTTATTTTTGCGTTTGTCCAGAAGCACTACCACAGGAAGAGCAAGAAGGAAGTGGAAGTGAGGAGAGAGGAGGTACAGGCCATTCTCTGCCGCTGTTCTTAGAGACCCCAGCGTTGAGGCACCCTTGCTTGCTGGTCTTTTCCCCAGTCACTGCCAGGGAGCCCCCTACCCCGGGAGATGGCGGATGCGTCCCCCGATCAGGGAGCAGGCCTCGGGATGCACAGGAGGCTCCACGCTCTCCACCAGCCCCACGGGCACCCAGCCAGCCCTCTCTTGCCAGCTTCTCTCCAGCTGCCCTGTGACTCCCCATCTGAGAGAAGACATTGTGGATCATTGTCATCAGCTTAGGTCCAACCACTGCAGCAATTTAGGGAAAACCTGTGGCTGTTCTGGGTTTTTTTCCCATGACCACCTTCCCAAACGCCAGGGTGTTTTATGATAGGGCCCTGGTAACTCCATGCCAGAAAACACCCAACTCTTCCTCTCCCTGCTGTCAGCCCGCAGCCGTCTCACATGACAAAGATTAATCTCTTTCCTCCTAACCTGCAGAGGAGAAGGGGACCAGCTCTCCGGACTATCGGCACTACCTTCGAATGTGGGCCAAGGAGAAAGAGGCTCAGAAGGAGACGATTAAGGATCTTCCCAAGATGAACCAGGTAGGCTCCACTGGAGCCCACAGTAGACATTTCTGGAGAGTTCTGACCAAGACTGGGCCCTAACATCACCGCACCTGCACTGCAGCATCTCCTGGTGGGTGGGAAGGCTCCTCCCTGCCTCTAGAGCCCGTTAGTCCTGGTTGCCAGTCAGCGATGATTCCAGAAAGACAAGAGGCCAGTTGCTCCAGGGCCTTGTATAGGGGCATGTTTCCAGATTGAGTGAGTGTCTGTGAACCAGGAGCCAGAGGCTTGTAGGCTACCTTTGACAAGATATGCGTTCCACACCCTGCACCCTCCCAGCCCTGCCCAGGGCTCTGCACACGCAGGCTCACATGCATCCTCCACACCCGCTCTTCATTCACTGGTCTCGCAGATCAGAAGCATGGTGTCTTGCCAAGGGTCTCAAAGCCAGAAAATGGGAGACCCCAGCTCCAAACTGCAAGCGTTGAGCCAAAGGCAAGTCTGGAGCACCAGCCTGACCATGGCCCTCGGGCCAGACCCACGGTCTAGCTGTGCCCAGTAGGGGACCCTGCAATCTGACCACTCCCCCAGCAGGCCTGGAGGGTGGGCACCACGTGCGATGAGGATTCTTCCCATTCTTGGGCCAGGAGGCCTAGACGTGTGGCTTCAGGACCTAGCACCCACCCTCCCCAGCACCCCCCTCCCCAGGATCCCCCTCCCCAGCTGACCCAGGCTGTATTTTCCTCACCATCACCTTCTAAAGAGCTTCATTCAAGGGCTGAGTTGAGGCTGCTTCTGATTAAAACCAAAGGTGATTCTAAAACACAACGAAGTCCTTGTACTGACTGGATTTAGAGTCGTGGTAGAAATCCATCTCCCTGTGCCAACAGAACGGACCTAGAAACAGGGAGGCCCCAGGTCAGACCAGCATGCTCTGAGTGCCAAGAGAAAGGCAGCTGGAGGGGAAAGCCTTTTGAAGAGCTGTGTGGCCTCTCTGAGCCTGTGTCCTGATCTGTGAGATGGGACTGATGAGGCTCATGGAGATGATTAGCAAGACGGCAGCCAACATCCTTAGGCTGGTGCTTGTCATCAGTTTGGCTAATATGGACCCCGTCTGACTGGTCTTTTACCATCTCCCTGTTCTTCTGTTTTTCTCCCTAAAAGGAGCAGTTCATTGAGCTGTGCAAGACGCTTTACAACATGTTCAGTGAAGACCCCATGGAGCAGGACCTGTACCACGCCATCGCCACCGTGGCCAGCCTCCTGCTCCGCATCGGAGAGGTGGGGAAGAAGTTCTCAGCCCGCACAGGCAGGAAGCCCAGGGACTGTGCCACTGAGGAGGACGAGCCACCAGCACCCGAACTGCATCAGGACGCAGCCAGGGAGCTTCAGCCCCCAGCTGCAGGAGACCCCCAAGCCAAAGCAGGCGGAGACACACACCTCGGAAAAGCCCCACAGGAGAGCCAGGTGGTGGTGGAGGGGGGCAGCGGCGAGGGACAGGGCTCACCCTCCCAGCTGCTGTCTGACGATGAAACCAAAGACGACATGTCCATGTCCTCCTACTCGGTGGTCAGCACGGGCTCCCTGCAATGTGAAGACCTTGCAGACGACACGGTGCTGGTGGGCGGGGAGGCCTGCAGCCCCACAGCGCGCATCGGCGGCACCGTCGACACCGACTGGTGCATCTCCTTTGAGCAGATCCTGGCCTCCATCCTGACGGAGTCCGTGCTGGTGAACTTCTTTGAGAAGAGAGTGGACATTGGACTCAAGATCAAGGACCAAAAGAAAGTGGAGAGACAGTTCAGCACCGCCAGTGACCATGAGCAGCCTGGAGTTTCCGGCTGATGCCTGCAGCTGTGAGGCCTGGCCCAAGGTGTCATCAGTGGGGCTGGCCTCATCTCCTCCTGCCTTTCCTCCCTTATCAGTTTCTCTTTAAAGGTGTGCCCCTCCTGCTCTCCCAGGAGCAGTGAGTTGTGAGTGGAAAGAAGGCTGGTGCAGACCCAGCTGCCTTAGACAGATTCCCTGGGCCTGCATCTCCTGGCGCCGGCTGCTTCTGGGCCCAGGAAGAGGCTGTGGCTCCCACCTTCCTTACACCTGGTGGGAGCCCGCCTCGCACCAGCTGCACCTGCCTAGCATTACAGGCTCTCAGATCTGCCCTTGCTTGCCTCATACCTCTGTGCTCCACACTGCGGCCAGGCCAGCTGAGTCCCTCCATCCGTGGATGCTTTCCTGCAGCTATGTGGTATGGGGGTCATTCCTGCCTCTTGGCACCAGGTTGGGGGGCATGTGCTTGTTGGGCACCAAAGTGATGGAACCCTCAGGTGCTCTCCGGGAGCCTGAACCTCCTGACTGAGGAACATGGGCAGAACATGTTTATTGCACAGAGTGGGCGCTGCGCACAGGCGTGGCTGTACACGTGCTCTCAGCTCATCATCCTTTCCAGTAACTTTAAAAAAACATCCCTCAGGTCCTGATATATTTCCTTGGATTCATTTCACTTGGCTAGAAATTACACTGTGCTCAATGCCTTAATAAATCCCTGAAAGAAATAAAAACCACTGTGTGCAATGCCTTGCTGTGGCCCCCAACCACTGCTTAGGCCTCCCAACTTCTCCCCAGGCCAAGTATGGGGCCCTGGCTGTGTTCTGGAAGTTCAAGACACTTAGTCCTCCACAGTGGGTGGAAGAGTGCAAGGTCTGCCAGGTCAGATGGAGACGCAGAACCTGCTGGTGCAAGCTGGGCAGGTCCTGACCAACCTGCATCAGGGGATGCCCTGAGCTCCACAGGTCTTCATGGGCAGGGGTTGTGGGTCCTGGTGAAGGAAGTGCATCCTCAGGCCTGGGCTGTAGCAAGCTGTCTGCCCTTGGGTTCAAGAACCAGACTGTGGAGCCAAAGGTGACCGCAGGGGGCCCCAGGGCTGGAGCCACAAGGATACCCTCACTTTGCATGAGGAGCTGAAACTGACCAGTGTCCAGTGTTAGCCCCCACATGGGGCTGCTCTTGCTTCTACTAAAAGATACAGCAGTTACCCCCTTATCCACAGGGGATACAGTGGATATCTAAAACCAGACCCCCAGTGGATGTCTAAAACCACAGATAATAACAAACCTTATACATACTGTTTTTTCCTATGCATACATACCTGTGATTAAGTTTATGAATTAGGCACCTTAAGAGATTGACAACAATAACTAATAATAAAATGTAACGGTTATACTGTAATGAAAGTTGTAAATGTGGTCTGTCTCACAATATCTTCTTGTACTGTACTCATCTCTTTTCCAGGTGGCTGTTGACTCTGGGTAACTAAAGCTGCAGAAGGTGAAACTCAGGTACTATTGTATATCTCTGTGGCTGCTGTTTTTGTTTTAATTAAGTAGCTTTGTTTTTTTGTTTTTTTGTTTTTTTGTTTTTTGAGACCAAGTCTTGCTCTGTTGCCCAGCATGGAGTGCAGTGGCGTGATCTCAGCTCACTGCAACCTCTGCCTCCTGGGTTCAAGCAATTCTTCTGCCTCAGCCTCCCAAGCAGCTGGGACTACAGGCGTGCACCACCACGCCCAGCTAATTTTTCTATTTTTACTAGAGATGGGGTTTCACCATATTGGCCAGGCTGGTCTCAAACTCCTGACCTCGTGATCCACCCGCCTCGGCCTCCCAACATGCTGGGATTACAGGCGTGAGCCACCATGCCCGGTCTGCTTGTTTGTTTGTTTTAGAGACAGACTGGAGTGCTGTGGCATGACCATAGCTCATGGCAGCCTCAAACTCTTGGCCTGAAGTAATCCTCCTGCCCCAGCCTCCCTAGTAGCTGGGACTACAGGCATGAACCAGCATGCCTGGCTTCAATTTCCTTTCTAGTATTTACACAAAGTACCATAAAATAATTTCAAATGATTTATACCAAAAAGACCATTGTTGGCCTTAATATAATTAAGATATAATAACCCCACATATTTGGCAATTTTAAGTCTTACACTGATTATATTCAATTAGATTTGAATAACTTGGAATTTGGATAAATGGCTTTTTATTTCCCATTTTTTGTCTTTACAGAGGTAAGATAAATGTTTTTAATATATGGAAGTATAAGCTTGTGAATACACCAAAGAAATTAACCAAAGAATAGGAAAGAGGAATCTGGCCTATTCACGTGATACAATGTACGAAAATGTACAATAGTACTTTAATCCATAAATCATTCAACCTGGGAAGATAACTCAAAATGTTTAACAACCAGAACAGTAACATTAAATAATATATAGATAATACAAATAAAAAATTTAAATTTTATAAGTAAACATGAATATTTTAAAACTGCTTACCAAGTAATATAAGTTGCATCAAACCACTCATCAAATCATTCTTATAATTTCCAAGAAAAAAAACTATATACATGAATTTTTAAAGGATTACCGGTTCATTGCCAAAAGGAGAAAAATATACAGAAAAGTAGAACAATTTTTCCTAGTGCTACAGATTACTCAGTATTTTGGTGTTTATTCTGTATTTTTTTTCAGAGTTTAACTGATGTCATATATGAAATTTTTATTCTACTCCTTTCATTAAGCATAAAACATTTTTTGCAGATGCTTTCTGTTCTCAGCCACAGTAGCTCAAACGTAGAAATGAAGGAAAACCACCCAAATGAGAAACAGTATTCAGAGCTTGCTACAGCAAGGGAGTCAGCAACATCCCCGGTGTGGGTAGGCGCAAGGACGCAGGGGGTGGAAAACGGGGAAGGCTCCAGGTGGTTCTGACCGCAGGCTGTTGGAAACTGGAGGTGAGCTAACAAGAAGCAGGATGTTTTCTGTGACTGGTTTGGGGAGCGCTTTCTTGGGTTGGTTCTGACATGGGGAGGGTGGTACAAAAAATAGAGGAGCAAGCAGTCCTGACCACGTCCTTCCCAAGCAGCCGACTGCCCGGTTACTGCAGAGGCTGCAGTCAGTTTATTGTCATTCGTTATCTGACCATTGTCTATTGGCATATTGTCTCTCAATTTTTTTTTCTAACTACTTACTGTACAAAAGTTGGAAAAATTTAAAAATTAGCATTACCTACGACCTTAGCCACACACACACACACACACGCCAGAAAATAATGCCGGTGTCACAGAAGTCAAACGATGTACTGTAATTCTGTAACCTTGCCTCTCCACAGCACGTTGTCACTTCAAACTCAGGTTCTTGCTGATGGAACTGCCTAAGAGTCCGTGCCGTTCTTCAGAACACTGATTTCCATTTCTTCCTAGTATTCTTCAGGGAACACTAGGGAATGAATAATAAATCACCTAGGTGAAGGGATTCCTTTCTTGGGGTAGCAGTATTGCCAGGTTGCTTTCCACGGTTTTGCACTTGACCGTTCTCCCAGCACCCTGTCAGAGGGGTAGCCCTCCCTGCACCCTTGTCAGGATTGGGTGTTTTCTTCAACGGGATGGTTTCTGCTGTTAAAAGCGAGTGTCGGCCGGGTGCAGTGGCTCACGTCTGTAATCCCAGTACTTTGGGAAGCCGAGGCGGGTGGATCACCTGAGGTCAGGAGTTCGAGACCAGCCTGGCCAACATGGAGAAACACCGTCTCTACTAAAAATACAAAAATTAGCTGGGCGTGGTGGCGGGCATCCGTAATCCCAGCTACTGGAGAGGCTGAGGCAGGAGAATCACGCCACTGCACTCCAGCCTGGGCGACTGAGCGAGACTGTCTCCAAAAACAAAAAACAAAAAAAAAACACCTCGCTTTTTTGGTGATAGTCACTGTGTAAAAGTTGGAAAAAAAATTAAAATTACAACCCTAGACACCGAGGGTTGTACGGTGGGAGGTAATTTTAATATTTTTTGTATTTTATTTTCCAACGAGGTTACAACCCTAAGCCACACAGGGTTGCGGCGTGAGCGTCGGGCTGCGGGGGCGCCTCCACCCTCCGTAGGGTGGGCCTGGGACGCTCCCGGGGCTGCAGGGGGACCGGCTTCGCGCTCGGCGGCCGCGCGCCTCCGCCGCCCTCTCCGGGAAGCGTGGGTGTGGTGAGCCCCTCCGTCTCCCCGTATTCCACCCCGGGCTCCGGTTCAAAGGCTAACTGTTCGCTGCTACCTAAAAGCACGGCAGCGCAGGCCTGGCAGGGCGGCCCCTCAGCCCCGCTCCGCGTTGTGTCCAAGGACTGGTCAGCGGAGGCCCTGTCGTCTCAATTCCAGTCTCCCCAGGGCCGGAACCAGTGCCTTAGGAAGATGCGGGCACGGCCCTGGTCAGACGACGAGTCGGCTACCAGGAATCCCGCACCCAGGACTCTTTCCGAGGTCGGAGGGGCGCAGATGACCAGCGAGAGGCGCGGCAGGCTAGAGGGATCCCAGTGCGCAGGGGCGGGGCCGCGGCGGCCGGAGCGAAGAGTATAAGCGCATGCGAGACGGCGTAGGGGACTAGAGGGTTCGGAGCGCGTGCGTGGGGCGGGGCCGCGGCGGGACAAATGCAGAGCGCACGCGCTTGGCTGCCTGGCGACTGCACAAGCAGGGATGGCGTCGCTTCAGCGTTCTCGGGTGCTACGCTGCTGCAGCTGCCGCCTCTTCCAGGCGCACCAGGTCTGGCGGGTGCCAGCCCCCTCCTCCTCCTCCGGCGCGGGGACAGCGGACGGGGAGTGGCGGGGCTGTGGGTGTTGTCTCGAATGGCTCCGGGATGCACCGGGCCCGAAGGAGTGCAGGGACCGCTGAGGGCGGGTCTCATTGGGGTCGCCCCCGCATAACGTTCTGAGCTTTTTGTTTGGTTCTTGTACAAACCAGAGGTAATGGTTCTGCGGAGGTGGCCTCTTGTGAATTGTAGCAGGTAGTGGGAGAATCCGGTTGAGTATAGCATCCTTTACGCAGAGCCTACCCCACGAAGTAGCGCTGTCGCAGTTTCAGTGAGAGGGGGAGGACGGTTCTTAGAGACCGAGCGCGCCGCGGCGGCGTCCCTGCTCCACACCTGGGCGCCCTCTCCGTCGCCCCGCGCCTCTGCCGCCGTCCGTTTCCGCGGGGCCAGGGACTTGATATGGCTGTTCGCCGACGCATAAACCACGGGCCCCGGAGTCTTAAAGACAGATAATCTGTGTTTCTAGGACATATTTGCCTCCCTAACTTTCAGCGTGCCAGATAGAGAATGCCACTTAACCTTTTCCGGATCGCACCTGTCTCCCTGCTTGATATCACTTAACACTGCAGTCACCGTATCTGCTTCTGATAGTCCCTCCCTCCTAATTATTGGTAATCTGCTATGCCCTGAGAAAGAATAGCATCAGACTTCTTCTTCTTTTTTTTTTTTTTTTGAGACGGAGTTTCGCTCTTGTTGCCCAGGCTGGAGTGCAATGGCGCGATCTCGGCTCACCGCAACCTCCGCCTCCCAGGTTCAAGCAATTCTCCTGCCTCAGCCTCCCGAGTAGCTGGATTACAGGCATGCGCCACCATGCCCAGCTAATTTTGTGTTTTTAATAGAGACAGGGTTTCTCCATGTTGGTCAGGCCGGTCTCGAACTCCTGACCTCAGGTGACCCGCCTGCCTCGGCCTCCCAAAGTGCTGGGATTACAGGCGAGAGCCATTGTGCCCGGCGTGGATCAGACTTGTTTAAGAGGTATGTTAAAAAGTCAGCAAGATGCTGAGTATGTGTCTGTAAGCTTGCATTTAATGCTAAGCGTTTGTAAGGGCCATTTTAAGGGCTCAGAAACTTTTTACTTATTTTCTTTCGGGAGCTGGGTCCTAAGAGTTGCAAATAAAGGGAGATCATTTGCATTTTTAAATTATTCCACGTCTAATGTTTCATGCTGTTTTTTAAAAACAAATTTTCCGTTTATTTTTATTTCCTTTTTTTGTTTTTGAGACAGAGTCTCACGTCTCACTCTGTCGCCAGGCTGGAGTGCAGTAGCGTGATCTCGGCTCACTGCAACCTCCGCCTCCTGGGTTCAAGCGATTCTCCTGCTTCAGCCTCCCGAATAGCTTGGATTACAGGCGCGCGCCACCAAGCCCAGTTAATTTTTGTATTTTTAGTAGAGACGGGGTTTCACCATGTTGACCAGGAAGGTCTCCATCTCTTGACCTCGTGATCTGCCCGCCTCGGCCTCCGAAAGTGCTGGGATTACAGTGCTGGTGTTACGGGTGTGAGCCACTGCGCCCGGCCTCTATTTCCTTGTTTGTTTTCCTGTTTCACTCTTCCATGTTCACCAGTGTTATTTATTTATTTATTTACTTATTTATTTTGAGACAAGGTCTCGCTTTGTCGCCCAGATTGGAGTGCAGTGGTAACAATCACAGCTCGCTGCAACCTGCATCTCCCGGGCTCAGCTGATCCACCTCAGCCTCCCACGTAGCTGGTACTACAGGTGTGGGCCACCATCCCCAGCTAATTTTTATATTTTTTGTAGGAATGAGGTTTCGGCCGTGTTGCCCAGGCTGGTCTGGAACTCCTGGGCTCAAGTGTTCTTCCCGCCTTAGCTCCCAAAGTGCCGGGACTACGGGTGTGAGCCAGCGCCCCTGACCCTCGTGGTCATTTTCAACCTTATGAAATGTGAGTTGCTTGGCCCCGGTGGCTCACGCCCATAATCTCAGCACTTTGGGAAGCCCACTAGGGCAGATCACTTGAGCTCAGAAGTTCCAGAGCAGCCTGGGCAACGTAGCGAGACCTTGTCTCTACTAAAATTCAAAATAAAATAGCTAGATGTAGTGGCGCGCATCTGTAGTCCTAGCTACTCAGGGTCGCTGAGGCAGGAGAATCGCTTCAGTCCAGGAGGTAGAGGTTGCAGTGAGCCGTGTTCACACCACTGCACTCCAGCCTGGGCGACAGCCAGACCCTGTCTCAAAAACAAAGAAAAATTACTTGAAACCAAAGAGGACGGCAAGTCGGCTATGTACTACTTTAATTTTAATTGCAAGTCGGCTGTGTACTACTTTAACACGTTTAACTTCAACAACCTTTGACTTAGGCATCATTCCCATCTTAGAGACATGAGAATTCCGAAATACACGGGAATCAAGTGGTTTCTCCATCTAGGGAGTGGCAGAACCATACTATCTCAGCAGTTCCCACAATTAATTCCTTTACCAGGTTCTGTGAGTCCTAAACTTTTAAAAAGGCTTTTCTTGGCCGGGTGCGGTGGCTCACACCTGTAATCCCAGCACTTTGGGAGGCCGAGGGGGGCAGATCATGAGGTCAGGAGTTCGAGACCAGCCTGGGCAATGTTGTGAAACCCCGTCTCTACTAAAAATACAAAAAATACAGGTCGTGGTGGCGGGCACCTGTAATCGCAGCTACTTGGGAGGCTGAGGCAGGAGAATCACTTGAATCCAGGAGGCAGAGGTTGCAGTGAGCCGAGATCACGCCACAGTGCTCCAGCCTGGGCAACAGAGCCAGACTCTGTCTCAAAAAAAAAAAAAAAAAAACAACTTTTCTTACTTGTTTATATACTCATAGAAAATCCACAGTTTTATTGGTGTTTTAAGGTAGAAGCTGAGAAGTAAAATTGCTAAGTCATTACCCAGTTCAATTTTTGGTAGGTGCTCATTGTCCTCCTTAGAATCCTTTTGGATACTTCCCCCGAAAACCTCATGATTTTGTATTAGGATCATATTAATCGTATTAATGTTAATGGATCAACCTAGACATCTTTGTGGTGTTAAACATGATCCATTACGTTTCTTCAAGTAACCTTGGTATCCCTTGGTAACATTTTATTTGTTGCTGTTATAAATGGACTCTTTATCAATTATGTGTTCTAATTAGATGTCTGCTCATATAAAAGCTATATTAATTTTTGAAGGTATCTTAATTTTGTACCTAACCACTGTATTAGACTATCTGGTTTTAGTGGCTTCTCATTTCATTATGTTGGTTTTCGGATAAAAAATTATGTCAGGTAGCAGCCGGGCTGGTGGTTCATGCCTTTAATCCCAGCACTTTGGGTGGGTCACTTGAGGTCAGGAGTTCGAGACCAGCCTGACCAACATGATGAAACCCTGTCTCTGCTAAAACCACAAAGTTAGCCGGGCGTGGTGGCACGTGCCTGTAATCCCAGCTACTTGGGAGACTGAGGCAGGAGAATCTCTTGAACCTGGGAGGTGGAGGTTGCACTAAGCCGAGATCTCACCATTGCACTCCAGCCTGGGCAATAAGAGCGAAACTCCGTCTCAAAAAAATTAAAATTAAAATTAAAATTAAAAAATTGGCTTTTCTTTGGGAGGCCGAGGTCTGCAGATCATTTGAGGTCAGGAGTTATTTCAGGTATTATAATTATGTCTATAAATAATGATAGGGTTTTCCGCTCCTTTATAATTTTTATACATCTTACAACTTTCTTCTAATTCCATTGGCTAGTACATCCAGAAAAAAATGGTAAATAATAGCGGGCAACCCTGGCTTGTTCTTGACTTCCATGTGGAATGCTGGTAAAGATTCTCCAGCATTAGAGTGGGTTTTAGGCATTTTATATGTTAAGAGAGAACACATCTAGTCAGGTTTAACAAGAATTGAAAATAAATGTTACGGAATTTTTTTTAGACCCAAGTTTAACAAGAATTTAAATATTATGGAATTTTTTTTACAGCTTCAATTTGAGTCTTACGGAGTGTTTTTGTTTTGTTTGGATTTGGTTTTGCGAGACAGGAATATTATGGAATTTTTTTTTACAGCTTCAATTTGGGTCTTTCAGAGTGGTTTTGTTTTGTTTGGATTTGGTTTTGTGAGACAGCCTCTTGCCATGCTACCCGGGCTGGCCTCAAACTCCTGGGCTCGAGTAGTCTTGGCCTCCCTCGTCGCTGAGACTACAGGCTCAAGCCACTGTGCCCAGCCCAATTTGATTGTGTTTCATACAGATAGCCAGTTTTCCCAGCACCAACCCGGACTTGTTAAATAGTCTGTTCTTTTCTCACTTTTAAAGTACCACCTTTATGATTATGATACGCTAAATGTTTACACATGCTTTGGTTTGTTTCTGGACTCCTTCCATCAGTTTTTAAAATTATTTCAGGCCAGATCCAGCCCTGGTGGCTCACGCCTGTAATCCCAGCACTTTGGGAGGCCGAGGCGGGTGGATCACCAGGTCAGGAGATCGAGACCATCCTGGCCAACACGGTGAAACCCCGTCTCTACTAAAAATACAAAAAATTAGCCAGGCGTGGTGGCGGGCACCTGTAGTCCCAGCTACTCGGGAGGCTGACACAGGAGAATGGCGTGAACCCGGGAGGGGGAGCTTGCAGTGAGCCGAGATTGCGCCGCTGCACTCCAGCCTGGGCAGCAGAGCCAGACTCTGTCTCAAAAAAAAAAAAAAAAAAATTATTTCAGGCCAGGCATGGTGGCTCACACCTGTAATCCCAGCACTGTGGGAGGCCAAGGCAGGTGGATCACTTGAGGTCAGGAGTTTGAGAACAGCCTGGTCAACATGGTGAAACCCCATCTCTACTAAAATACAAAAATTAGCTGGGCGTGGTGGTACACACCTGTAATCCCAGCTACTTGGGATTTAAAAAAAAAAAATTTCAGATCCAATTCCATTTGTTTTTTGTTTGTTTGTTTGTTTTTTTGAGATGGAGTCTCACCCTGTCGTGTAGGCTGGAGTGCAGTGGTGCAATCTTGGCTCACTGCAACCTCCACCTCCCAGGTTTAAGCGATTCTCCTGTCTCAGCCTCCTGAGTAGCTGGGATTACAGGTGCCCGCCACCATGCCTGGCTAATTTTTGTATTTTTAGTAGAGACTGGGTTTCACCATATTGGTCAGGCTGGTCTCGAACTCCTGACCTTGTGATCTGCCCGCCTCGGCCTCCCAAAGGGGGATTACAGGCATGAGCCACCGAGTCCAGCCCAATTCCATTTTGTTTTAAATAATTATCTGAGTTGTATTTCTGAAATTTCATTGCAGGTAAAAAAGAGTGTCAAGTGGACATGCAAAGCTTGTGGAGAGAAGCAGTCCTTTTTGCAGGTGAGTCCTACAAAACAGAAAGCAAGTGGGGCGCAGGCCTGCAGCGAGCCCTTCCAGGGAGTCCCAGCATGCCACAGCTGGGATCATCCTCTCTCAAACAGAGTTCCCCAGACACGGAGCTCCTGCTTCCGAGCTTCCTGTTCCTTCAGGAAGTGAAATGGATGGAGCAGAATCTGGAAAGGTACTGCCATTTGATTCTTCATTCAGCAAGTATTTCTTGAGTACTTTCTGTGTGCCAAGCACAAGGGGAACAGTGGAAAGTAAGCCCATTGTCATTCTTGCCCTCACAGATGCACTTGTGTGGAAGGGGAAGAGAAACTAATGCACACATGCATCTGCATAATTTAAAACTCGGCTGAGCACAAGGAAAGGAAAGCACTGGGGACTGTGAGAAGATGACAGAGGAATCAGGGCAGCCGGGGAAGGGCAGAGGCCGTTGGTGGAGGTGGAGGTGTGGGATAGTGGGCTCAGGAAGTGGAGGCAGGCAGGGGCAGGCTGTAAATGCTCTCATCCAGCTGTTTGCAGCTGGCATTCAGTACGTCTTTTCAGTCCATCCGTATTGCCCCTCCTGAACTCTAGGACCCCAAACTGTCCTGCATCCTTTGCCTTACTGAACTTGCTCTTTTCCTGCTCCAGCCCCAGTGCCACCTCTCCCTTCACCTCTCATCTTTCCTCTCCTTCTACAGCCATGTGCTTTCTTTCTGACCTTAAACCCAAATTTGCTCCCTCTTCAGGCCTTTGTGCTCACTGTGGAGTTCCCCTCCCTCTTCTCAGTATCCTATGGAAGTTACATAGTCATGTGTTTATGCACGGATTGTCCATCTAAGGCTGTAAGTTCCGTGAGAACAGAGGCTTTTTATTTGCTGGTGTATCCGCAGCACCTAGCACAGTGCTCGGTGTTTGTGGAGTGAGTAAGGAACTGGCCCAACCTTGTTGGGCATTTAGGTTGATTTCCCTTTTGACTGTTATGCACAACTCTACCGTGAAGCTTTTCACAAAAACCTCTTTATCCACGTGACCAGCTGTTTACTGTTTACTTAGGACAAAGTCCTAAAAGTTAAATTGCTGTTTTTTGGGGTTTTTTTTTTTTTTGACATGGAGTCTCTCTCTGTCATGCAGGCTGGAGTGCAGTGGCGCAATCTCGGCTCACTGCAACCTTCGCCTCCCGGGTTTAAGCAGTTTTCCTGCCTCAGCCTCCTGAGTATCTGGGACTACAGATGCATGCCACCACACCCAGCTAATTTGTTTTTTGTATGTTTAATAGAGACGGGGTTTCACCATGTTGGCCAGGCTGGTCTTGAACTCCTGACCTCAAATGATCCACCTGCCTCCGTAGACAAAAACATTTCATAATGTTGGTGAGTGCCTTCACCTGATATTTTTTATTTTTTTATTTTTTTTTAGACGGAGTCTCGCTCTGTCACTCAGGCTGGAGTGCAGTGGTGCGATCTCGCTCACTGCAAGCTCCGCCCCCTGGGTTTACGCCATTCTCCTGCCTCAGCCTCCTGAGTAGCTGGGACCACAGGCTCCCACCACCACGCCCGGCTAATATTTTGTATTTTTAGTAGAGATGGGGTTTCACCATGTTAGCCAGGATGGTGTCAATCTCCTGACCTCGTGATCTGCCCACCTTGGCCTCCCAAAGTGCTGGGGTTACAGGCGTGAGCCACCGTGCCTGGCTGATATTTTTTTTAAAAAAGGGAAAAAAAACACTTCAGAATGGGTTCAGCAAAGTTAAAAAATAAATAAATAAATAAATAAAGTGCTGGCAAGGTAATGAGATCTCTTAGGGAATCCAAGGGCAGAACTTCATCCCCGGTCCCTTGAAAAACTAGCCCCAAGAACTGAAAAGCTGCCAACAAGCCAGACATCAGCTTTTCCTGCCCATCACCCAGCTTCTCCCTATATCTTTACTCTATTTTCTCCTCTCCTTCCCTTTCTGTTTCTCCCCAGACTGTTCAGTCAGATTCTCTGCTCCAAGTCCATAGAATCTCATTCCAAGCCAACTGGAAGAGCTGAGTCTCAATTATAAATTCCTAGGAGAAGCAACCTGGTTGGCCCAGGCTGACTCGGATGCCCACCTCTGGTCCAGTCAACTGGGATTGGGTCTCAGAAGAGAGGGGCTGGCTTACCAGGTAGGCAGACACCCCACATGGTGAGCATGGCTTGTTTGAGATGTATATATTTCTACATTCTCCTTGAGGAAGCCTTCTTACTCCCCTCAATGCCTCTGTGCTGTGTGTGGTATGTGGTGTATGGCTGACTAGGCCACAGTAACAAACACACCAAAATTGTGGTGGCTTAATACAATAGACGTTTCTCTTGCTCTCATAACAGTCCTGGGAAGATGATAAGGTCAGCAGGGCGCTGCCCTTGATGTGGTTGCTCAGGGATCCAAGCTCCTGCCATCTTGAGCTGCTTCTATTCCCTGAGGCTCATCTGTAGCTGCTTCTAGCCACTGTGCTTCTAGCCACTGAGAAGGGCAGGTGCTTGGAGGAGCTACCGAGAGGCTTTGAGGGCCAGGCTGGGAAGCAAGTGACAGTGCCATGGAAAGAGGCTGGTTTC
Source organism: Homo sapiens (assembly GCF_000001405.40). NCBI lineage: Eukaryota > Metazoa > Chordata > Mammalia > Primates > Hominidae > Homo > Homo sapiens. The sequence goes on along the minus strand of NW_016107298.1, from coordinate 616,372 downwards.
GTGGCCACCCCTGACCACACGCACACTGGAAAATGACATCTAGTTTTCGGGAAGAATGCGCTTCAGTATCCATCCAGCAGTCCCTGCCCTATGGAAGAGCACACCGCTACTGGTTATGCCAGCCTGGTCTTTGCCATTTCCCCCTCCAGCTACTCTTCTCCGTTCTCAGGCGAATGTGCTCCAAACAGGACTGCACTCCCTACGTGTCCATTACAATTGCTTCTGTCAGCGTCAGCAGTGGTCTCTGTGTTGCTAAAAACAACGGTTGGTTCTCAGTTCTCACTTGACTTACTAGCTGCCAGGCACTGGGAGTCCACCAGAATTCTGTGCTCACGGGACATCAAGAATGCTCCTGCCAGTGGGGTGTTGAGGAACACTGGACACGTATAGTGTGTGTGTCTGATCACAGATGTGCTCCATTGTCCCAGCACACTTCACTTAAAAAACACAGGTTCAAAGGCCAGACTGTTAAGAATTTCAAGATGGCGACAGCAGAGCGGCTGTCACACCCTGAAGCTGATTCTGCCTGTGCCATAGCAGGACGCATGCTCTCAAATTCCATCTCGTACCATCTGCCTGTGCCATAGCAGGACGCATCCTCTCAAATTCCGTCTTGTACCATCTGCCTGTGCCATAGCAGGACCCAGGATCTCAAATTCAGGCTCTTAACATCTGCCTGTGCCATAGCAGGACTCATGCTCTCAAATTCCATCTCGTACCATCTGCCTGTGCCATAGCAGGACCCGTGGTCTCAAATCCCGTCTCGTACCATCTGCCTGTGCGATAGCGGGACCTGAGCCCTCAAATTCCGTCTCGTACCATCTACCTGTGCCATAGCGGGACCCGTACTCTCAAATTCCATCCCGTACCATCTGCCTGTGCGATAGCGGGACCCGAGCCCTCAAATTCCGTCTCGTACCATCTGCCTGTGCCATAGCGGGACCCGTACTCTCAAATTCCGTCTCGTACCATCTGCCTGTGCCATAGCACGACCCATGGTCTCAAATTCCATCTCTTACCATCTGCCTGTGTCATTGCAGGATCCATGCTCTCAAATTCCGTCTCGTAGCATCTGCCTGTGCCATAGCAGGACCCATGGTCTCAAATTCTGTTTCTTACCATCTGCCTGTGCCATAGCAGGACCCATGGTCACAAATTCCATCTCTTACCATCTGCCTGTGTCATTGCAGGATCCATGCTCTCAAATTCCGTCTCGTAGCATCTGCCTGTGCCATAGCAGGACCCATGGTCACAAATTCCATCTCTTACCATCTGCCTGTGCCATAGCAGGACCCATGGTCACAAATTCCATCTCTTACCATCTGCCTGTGTCATTGCAGGATCCATGCTCTCAAATTCCGTCTCGTACCATCTGCCTGTGCCATAGCAGGACCCATGGTCACAAATTCCATCTCTTACCATCTGCCTGTGTCATTGCAGGATCCATGGTCACAAATTCCATCTCTTACCATCTGCCTGTGCCATAGCAGGACCCATGGTCTCAAATTCCATCTCGTACCATCTGCCTGTGCCATAGCAGGACCCGTACTCTCAAATTCCATCTTGTACCATCTGCCTGTGCCATAGCAGGACCCATGGTCTCAAATTCCGTCTCGTACCATCTGCCTGTGCCATAGCAGGACCCGTACTCTCAAATTCCGTCTTGTACCATCTGCCTGTGCCATAGCAGGACCCATGGTCTCAAATTCCGTCTCGTACCATCTGCCTGTGCCATAGCAGGACCCGTACTCTCAAATTCCATCTTGTACCATCTGCCTGTGCCATAGCAGGACCCATGGTCTCAAATTCCGTCTTGTACCATCTGCCTGTGCCATAGCAGGACCCATGCTCTCAAATTCCGTCTCGTACCGTCTTCCCCTTAGACCCCTCAGCTCCAGCGATGCTGGCCTCTTTGCTGTTCCTCCAAAATTTCAGGCTCAGGGTCTTCACACTCATTCTCATGTATTGCTTCTGCTGGAATGTTCTTCCCCTAGACAGCCATGTGGGTTGCTTCTTCATATCTTCCTGTTTGTGCTCAAACGTTACCTTCTTAGAGATGCATTTCTTGACCATTTTGAACACCTTATGTAAAACGGTATGCTCTTATGTACGACCTCTTTCCTGGCCTTGTCTTTCTCAGGAGCACTTACTAGCATCTGATAGGTTATATGGCTCACTTGTTTCTTTCCTGTCTCTTCTCACTTGAATGTGAGTTCCATGATGACAGGGAGTCTTGTCCATTCCTGTATTGTCTACCCCAAGATGAGGCCTGGCACACAGTTGGTATTCAATAAATATTTGTTGGATGAATTTGTGACTGGTAAGTGGGAAAAAATGTATTTTATTTTGTATTCCTTTGATTATCAGTGAAGGTAAGTATCATTTCATATATTTTTTGGCAGTATGTTATACAATATGGCAATATGTGTTACTTCTCTTGTGACCTTTTTACTCATGTGCACTAACCATTTTGTGTAGGGCTTTGGGTTGAGTTTGGCTTCAGTAGGTAGAGTTCAGGGTGATTGTGGGACAGCCACATAGATGTAAACTATTAGTTCCGGAGACTGTTGGTTTGTAAATCATTCTAGAGACAGCCGTCAGTCATTAGGATTCCTGCATGCTGCTTTAGGGGTCTTTGGGCCTTGCAGAATACAGCTTTGTCCTCCCTGAGGTGCATCTCAAATGGATCTGTTTCTCAGCATTCTGCCAGCACTTTTTCAATGTAATATATTTTTTGGTTTCTCAGGCTTATGGTGAAGGCTCTGGTGCTGATTGTAGACGCCATGTCCAAAAGTTAAATCTACTACAGGGACAAGTTTCAGAGCTGCCACTCAGGTACAGTTGTTTGAGAAGAGCGTGGTTGTCTTGCCCTGTTTTCGTCTTGACTGGATAATAGAAGTACACAGTGGAAATCCTGAGCTGGGCACTCTGCTGTGGCTGGACCTGCCCCAGGTCCCTGCTGTCACTTTGCCATCTGAGGTCAGCAGCTGCCCTCAGAACCGACCCCGGGGATGTTTAGAATACTGGGGCTGAGCTTCACCCGAGGAGATTCTCACCTGATTACCTGTGATGAGGTCCAGACCTGTGGTTTTTAAAGCTGGCAGGCCATTGCTCTGTGCCTCCAGAGCTGAAGGCTCTTGACACAGCTGTTCTTGTTTGTGGCTGGCTCACCAGAGAGGCCCTGGTAGGACAGACCCCACTGGGCCTGGGTCAGTGGAGAAGTCCCTTAGACTTCCACGTCTTACAATATGGCAGTCAAACACCCTGAGCAATTCTCCCACTGAAAATAACTAAAAATGCTAGCTATTTTAAATGCACTGATGAGCTGACAAGAAAGTAACTCTCGGCCAGGCGCAGTGGCTCATGCTTGTAGTCCCAGCACTTTAGGAGGCCAAGGCGGGCAGATCACGAGGTCAGGAGTTCGAGACCAGCCTGGCCAGCATGGTGAAACCCCGTGTATATTAAAAATACAAAAAAATTAGCCTGGCATGATGTTGCATGCCTGTGATCCCAGCTACTCAGGAGGCTGAGGTAGGAGAATCACTTGACCCCAGGAGGCAGAGGTTGCAGTGAGCCGAGATCGCGCCATTGCGCTCCAGCCTGGGCGACAGAACGAGACTATCTCAAAAAAAAAAAAAAAAAAAAAAAAAAGTAAGTAACTCTCAGAGGTCAAAAATGAAGAAGCGGGTCTGATGGTGGTGGGTTATGAGAACTGATTAACATTAGTGTCACTAACGTTGGTATACAACTCTCCACTGCTAAGTTTAACTGGCTTAAAAAAAAATGTAGAAGCCAAAATCCAGAGAGGAAGCACCTGAGCTGCTGGGGTGATTGAAGCCCGGTGCTCTGGAGCCTCCATTTCGACGGCTGGGAGAGGGGCAGGAGGCCCTCAGAAGACAAAACCTACGGCAGTGTGGGCGGACCAGTAGGACACCTCCTAACAAAACTGAGCTCCCGGAGGACTACACCCTCGGTGTACAAATGAACTAGATCCACTCTGCAACAGGCAGCTTGCCTGTATTGACCTTGGCAATGGCTGAAGAGGGGGAAATATCTCTAAGATTTTGGAAATAAAAGGAAGTAGTTGCATGGTTTTTCAGCCTTTTACATACCCTGTGTGAAAAGCCTCAAGCAGAAAATTTATGTTTTAATTGTCCCAGGAAGCAGAGGTAAATGGAGCTCCTCTTTGCAGCAATATATCTTCAATTGCTGGGCCTTAAAGTTCCCACAGAGGCCGGGTGTGGTGGCTCACCCCTGTAATCCCAGCACACTGGGAGGCCGGGGCAGATGGATCATGAGGTCAAGAGATCGAGACCATCCTGGCCAATACGATGAAATCCCGTCTCTACTAAAAATACAAAATCAGCTGGGCGTGGTGGCGGGCGCCTGTAATCCCAGCTACTAGGGAGGCTGAGGCTGGAGAATTGCTTGAATCTGGGAGGCGGAGGCTGCAGTGTTCCGAGGTGGTGCCACTGCACTCCAGCCTGCCAATAGAGTGAGACTCCATCTCAAAAAAAAAAAAGAAAAAAAGAATCCCCAAAGAAAAAGTTCCAAGTAGCATAATATACTCAGGAGTTTAAAATCATTTAACATTCAAGGAAATACACCACCAGGAGCAAAAGATCAACAGTCAGAAAAGTCAGACCCATAAAGACTTCAGAATACATGATATTGCATGTTTAATATATTTAATCCAATAAAAGAAGTGGGTGATAAGATGAGGGCCTTCAAAAAATAGGTGTATTTGAGAGCTTTTTTGGAGGTTCTAGCAGGGGAGTGCAGCTACTCATATACCCTGGACCAAAGACCGCTCCTCCTCTATTGGAGGTGGTCGTCCTCTTCGACCAAGCGCACAGCTTCAGGAGGGACGCACATGGAGCGGTGAGGGAAGAAGGGGACACCACCTAGCCATCCAGATCAGCTAACCAACCCTGGTGATTGATGGAGTGACAGATGGTGCAGCCACATCACCCTCACATCCAAAAAAATAGGTGTATTTGAAAAAGAACCAAAAAGAGGCCGGGTGCAGTGGCTCACACCTATAATCCCAGCACTTTGGGAGGCCAAGGCAGGCGGATTATTTGAGGTCAGGAGTTCAAGCCCAGCTTGGCCAACATGGTGAAACCCTGTCTTTACTAAAAATACAAAAGTCAATTGGGTGTGGTGGCACATGCCTGTAATCCCAGCTACTCAGGAGGCTGAGGCATAAGAATCGCTTGAGCCTGGGAGGCAGAGGTTGCAGTTAGCCAACCTCCGCCTCCCAGGCTCAAGTGAGGCCTGCACCAGAGTGAGACTCTGTCTTTAAAAAATAAAAGAGTTTGTAGAACTTAAAAGTATAATCATTGAAATTAAAAATTCATTTCAGGCCGGGTGCAGTGGCTCATGCCTGTAATCCTAGCAATTTGGGAGGCCAAGGCAGGCAGATCACTTGAGGTCAGGAGTTCATGACCAGCCTGGCCAACATAGTGAAACCCCATCTCTACTAAAAATACAAAAATTAGCTGGAAATCACTTGAACCCAGGAGGCGGAGGTTGCAGTGAGCCAAGATTGTGCCACTGCACACCAGCCTGGGTGACAGAGTGAGACTCCATCTCAAAAAAAAAAGAAGAAATTAAAAATTCAGTGGACACGTTAAACAGATTAAATGCAGCTGAAGAGAGAATTAGTGAAATGGAAGATAAATCTAGAAAATTATTCACAGTGCAACACAGAAAAATGGAAAAGTAGAAAATATAAGGGAAAGTTGAGAGACGTGGAGGTTACAGAGGAGAGTTCTAGCAAAAGATAATTAAGAGAATGGGGCAAAAGCAATAACTGAAGAGATAAGAGCACAGCATTTTCCAGAATCAAAGACATAACATTTTTAGATTAAGGAAACACAGTAAATCCCAAACTGGATAAAAGCATTATTTTATTTGCAAATAGCATGATTGTGTATGTAGAAAATCCTAATGAATCTACAAAAAAGCTACTAGAACTAATAATTTAGCAAGATCACAAGAATACAAGGTCAACATACAAAATTAAATTGTATTTCTATATATATGCAGTGGACAATTGGAAAAATGATTTTTAAAATCAAATACCAGCTGGATGCGTACTTCACGCTTGTAATCCCAGCACTTTGGGAGGCCGAGGTGGGTAGATCACTTGAGCCCAGGAATTTGAGACTAGCCTGGGCAAGATGGCAAAACCGTCTCTACAATAAAAAGAAGAAAAAAAAAGGGCAGGCGTAGTGGTGCGTGCCTGTGGTCCCAGATACTCAGGAGGCTGAGGTGGGAGGATCCACCTGAGCCCAGGGAGGTTGAAGCTGCAACTTATCTCCATTGTCATGTGATTCCATCTTCCAGCAATCTTGGCTCACTGCAGCCTCTGCCTTCCGGGTTCAAACATTATCTGCCTCAGCCTCCTGAGTAGCTGGGAATATAGGTATGCACCACCGTGTTCGTCAGACTTGTCTCGAACTCCTGACCTCAGGTGATCCACCTGCCTCAGCCTCCCAAAGTGCTGGGATTACAGGAGTGAGCCACTGTGCCCAGCCCCTGGTCATTTTTCAAAGGGCATATGTATGGTCTTCCCTGAAGGTCTCTAGAAGAAACTGTCAGTGCCAGTGAAGAAGAAAACGTGGGACACCAGCAGGCTGGGAATGTGAAGCAGCAGGTAAGCCTCAGGCCCACCTGCCCCAGGCTGGCTCTGTGTCAGGGAAGGGATGAATGCACAGATGTATCCAGTAGTCATTATAGCAAATGTGTGTTGATGCCACCCAATGACAGGCAGTTGGCTTAAAGCTGCAGGGAACACAAAAATAAATAAACCTGTACCTTTTGTAAGGATGGAGGCAGCCATGTGTACCAAGCATTACAATACCCTGCAAAGGACTCTCTCCTCTGTCTGCTTGGAGAACTCCTGAATGTAGCTCAAATATCACCTTATACTGCTTCCACTTTGCTCCCACAGCACTCTGGGCATACCTCTGAGAGGGAAAGAATAATGGGGTGAAACACCTGGGTTTCCATCTTTCCTTGTTCCAGACTGCAAGCTGTTGTTTTGTTTTGTTTTGTTTTTTTTCTCTGAAACGAGGTCTCACTCTGTCGCCCAGGCTGGAATGCAGTGGCGCGATCATGGTTCTCTGCAGCCTTGACTTCCTGGGCTGAAGTGATCCTCCCACCTCAGGCTCCTGAGTAACTGGGACTACAACTGTGCCCTACCACGCCCAGCTAATTTTTTTTCTTTTTTGTAGAGGCAGGGTCTCCCTGTGTTGTCTAGGCTGGTCTCAAACTCCTGGGCTCAGGCCATCTTCCCACCTCAGCTCCCAAAGTACTGGGATTACAGGCATGAACCACTGCACCTGGCCAGACTCACACTTTGTTATAAGCAGAGGAAGATGCTCTTCTGGTACCTGTGCCTGTGCTTCCAATTCAGTCCATTTACAGACTTAATTTTATATCATTCTCATCAGAAATACTTTTTTGCATCCTAGTTTTGAGTTGTATCATTCTTCTGTGCTGCGGTATAGTTTTCAGTGATTTTCATTTCTTATTTATTAATTTTTGAGACAGGGTCCCTCTCTGTCACCCAGGCTGGAGTGTGGAGGCATGATCGCTGCTCACTGGAGCCCCAACGTCTCAAAAAACAAAAGTATTTACAGAATGTAGTAGATGCACCAGTATTGATTCCTTATTATGTGGCATTTAGGTTGTTTCCACACTTCTGCTTGCCTGCTTGCCTGCCTCCCTCCCTCCCTCCCTCCCTTCCTTCCTTCCTTCCTTCTTTCCTCCTTTCGACAGAGTCTCGCTGTGTCCCCCAGCCGGAGTGCAGTGGCGTGATCTCAGCTCACTGCAACTTCTGCCTCCTGAGTTCAAGCAATTCTCCTGCCTCAGCCTCCCAAGAAGCTGGGATTACAGGCACGCACCACCACGCCCGGCTAATTTTTGTATTTTTAGTAGAGACGGGGTTTCACCATGTTGCCTAGGCTAGTCTTGAACTCCTGAGCTCAGGTGACCCGCCCGCCTCAGCCTCCCACGGTGCTAGGGTTACAGGTGTGAGCCACCGCGCCTGGCCATGTTTCCACCCCTCTGTTCTTTTTTTTTTTTTTTTTTTTTTTTTTTTTTTGAGACGGAGTCTCGCTCTGCCCCCCAGGCTGGAGTGTAATGGCACCATCTCGGCTCACTGCAGGCCCCGCCTCCCGGGTTCACACCATTCTCCTGCCTCAGCCTCCTGAGTAGCTGGGACTACAGGTGCCTGCCATCACGCCCGGCTAATTTTTTGTTTTTTTTTTGTTGTTGTTTTTTTTTTAGTAGAGACGGGGTTTCACCGTATTGGCCAGGGTGGTCTCGATCTCCTGACCTTGTGATCCGCCAGCCTCGGCCTCCCAAGGTGCTGGGATTACAGGTGTGAGCCACCGCGCCCGGCTACTTCTGTTCTTATAAATGAAATTTGCTATTTTTTATAAGACTGGGACTGGCACCTCTGCCTTCTCTGTGTGGAATCACTGGGCCAGGGAGCATAGACTTTCATGAGTCTCTTGGTGGGCCGTGCCCTGCCGCCTTCCCGAGGCCTGTGCCAGTGAGCACTGTCCTGCCAGCATTGCATAGTATTGGCGTCCATCACCTTCCAGCCGGTGCCTTTCCTAGAGTGGAGCTGGACATGACTCCTGAGATCCTCAGGCCCAAGAGTTGGGCTAGGGGTTTTCGATAAAACTGCCTGGTTTCCAGTACTGAGAATCAACTTTTTTCTCAATCTGGCAGGAAAAATCGCAGCCCTCAGAGAGTCGCTGGCTGAAGTATCTAGAAAAGGACTCCCAAGAACTGGAGCTGGAAGGAACAGGAGTGTGTTTCAGCAAACAGCCTTCATCCAAAATGGAGGAGCCAGGCCCCCGCTTCAGTCAAGACCTGCCTAGAAAAAGGTACCAAGTGCGTCTCCGTTCCAGCCCTGGCCCAGGGCCTCTGCTGCCTCCAGCAGTGGGGCACCAGTGAGCCACTGTGAGCGTCAGCCAAGCGCGGGAAGCCTAGGTGGCAAGTGCCAGCAGGTGGGAAATCGGGCAGCTGCTGCCACTGCTGGCCCCACAGCCCACCTGGGCATTGGGCACTGCTGGTGCAGAGGCGAAGGCTGGGCAGGACACCCGTGTGCACACCCTTTATGATGCCCACTTAATTCTGAACATCTCAGACTGTACTGACCCCAGGGGAGAGGTCGGAGTAGCTGGCAGGCCTAAGAGCTTTTAGCTCAGAGAAGCAGAGGCCTCAGACTTGAAGGAAGTTTTCTTCTGCTTCAGGCATTTCAGTGAGATTTTTGGAGAGACTGCTTTAGGTTAAGGATCTAGGGAGGCTCTTAGAGGGCAGGTGCTTTCAGGAGGTAGATTCTGCTTTCAAACCAGAACCTTCATCCGGGTACAGTGGCTCACACCTGTAATCCCAGCACTTTGGGAGGCTGAGGCAGGAGGATCATTTGATCCTCCAGTCCGGGCAACATAGGGAGACCCTATCTGTACAACAGATTTTTTAAAACAAATTCATGGGGCATGGTGGTGCATGCCTGTGGTCCCAGCTACTTGGGAGGCTGAGGCAGGAGGATCACCTGAGCCCAGGAGGTCAAGGCGGCAGTGAGCCATTGCACTCCAGCCTGGGTGCCGGTGAGACCCTGACTGAAATAAAAACAAAACTTTCTAGCACCTAGAAGCTGTGAAGCAGGGGAGTGGGGCCTGGGCGGTGGCTGGACACCCTGAGCAGCTGCCTGGGAAGCCGTAGGAACAAGCAGGTGGCCACCCGAGCCTGTGGGCCATGTGATCGTGGAGTCAGGCTCGGGGTGCCACTGGAGAGTAGCACGGGACTACTGACGGTCCTGTCCTGACAGGAAGTGGAGCAGGAGCACCGTCCAGCCTCCGTGCAGCCGTGGCGTGCAGGACTCGGGTGGCTCTGAGGTCGCCTGGGGACCCCAGAAGGTCAGTGACAAACAGTTTCTCTCTGGTCCCAGTGACCACTGAGCGTGTGTGTGATAATTCTGTCTTTTGTCACAGTTGACGAAGTGTGCGATTCCTACCCGCAGAAAGCCCATCTTCCCACCCGGGTTTCTTGTCTTTTCTGTCTGAAGCCAACTCCTTCCTCGGGTCTGTACCCCCTTTTCCCTCCCATGCCTCTCGTCTCCCATGAGGGTAACTCAGGACCAAAGAGCATTGTGACCCTTGGAGAAACTGAGGTTGGCCAGCAGGTCAACCTGACGATGGGTCAGGGCCATCGTCTCATTCTGCGTGGAGCACGGGGACCTTTGTCCGGGCAGGAGTCGTCAGCGGGCCGCCCTGAATCCTGGGAGATGCTTCCCTCCACACTCGCATTTGCCCTGCTGTGGACTCTTGTATGTGAGGCACTCTTCACTTAGGGTGTTGTCTTGTTCTTTTTTGTTTTCTGAGACAGGGTCTCACTCTGTCTACCCAGGCTGGAGTGCAGTGGCACAGTCATAGCCTACTGAAGCCTCAACCTCCCAGGCTCAAGTGATCCTCCTGCCTCAGCCGCCAAGTAGCTGGGACCACAGATGCACACCACCACACTGGCTAATCTTTAAAAAATATTTTGTAGAGGCCAGGCGCAGTGGCTCACACCTGTAATCTCAGCACTTTGGGAGGCCGAGGTGGGTGGATCACTTGAGGTCAGGAGTCTGAGACCAGCCTGGCCAACATGGTGAAACCCCATCTCTACTAAAAATAATTAGCTGGGCGTGGTTGTGCACGCCTATAATCCCAGCCACTCGAGAGGCTGAGGCAGGAGAATTGCTTGAACCTGAGAGGCATAGGTTGCAGTGAGCTGAGATTGCATCACTGCGCTCCAGCCTGGGCAACAGAAAAAAAAAATTTTTTAGAGACATGGTCTCACTATGTTGCCCAGGCTTGTCTCAAACTCCTGAGCTCAAGCAATCTTCCCACTTCCCAAAGTGCTGGGACTATAGGTGTGGGCCACTGCGCCTGGCCCATTTGTCTTGTTCTTGAAGCTTCCAGTCCAGCAGGCCCCACCGCATATCCAGTGCTGCAGAGTGCAGGGTTTGCTCTGCCTGTCAGAGGAGCCAGGGCACAGCAAGGGCACTGCAGTTGGGAGTCCACTGGGCGTCAGTCACTGCCCCCACCCCCACATCAGCCAAGGTCGGTCTCCGCTGGCCTTGCACCACGCACAGAGCACTGGCTCATGCCAAGAAGCAGAATTCAAACTTTGATGTTGCCGCCAACTAGTTTTGTGATCCTGGGTAAGTAAGTGGCTTTGAATCTCCAAATCCTAGAAGAATGACCAGAGAGTCTGCCACGGGCCAGTCCCTGGGCTGCATGTTGTAATGGTATCATTGTGTTTCATGCTCCCTCAAGCCTGTTGCTTTGTTTTAAAGGTGAGGAACTGAGGCTTGCAGTTTTTGTGCAGTCATGGCAAGTTCAGTGGCAAAGCCAACGTCAAGTTTCAGGGCCGCAGAGCCTCTTCTGTACTGCCTGGGTGGCAGTGCTGCAGGGACCCACTCTATCGCTGCTTTCACATTGCTTTTCCCTTTGTAAGCAGCACAACCCAACTGTTGTTTTTTTTTTTTTTTTGAGTAGGAGTTTCACTCTTGTTCCCCTGGCTGGAGTGTAATGGCACGATCTTGGCTCACTGCAACCTCCGCCTCCCAGGTTCAAGCGATTCTCCTGCCTCAGCCTCCTGAGTAGCTGGGATTACAGGCACCCGCCACCACGCCTGGCTAATTTTTGTATTTTTAGTAGAGACAGGGCTTCCCCATGTTGGCCAGGCTGGTCTTGAACTCCTGACCTCAAGTGATCCACCCGCCTCGGCCTCCCAAAGTACTGGGATTACAGGCATGAGCCACTGCACCCAGCCTTTTGTTTTTGAGATGGGGTGTCACTCTGTCACCTAGGCTGGAGTGCAATGGTACAATCACACCTCATAGCAGCCTCCATCTCCCGGGCTTAAGTGATCCTCCCGAGCAGCTGGGATCACAGGCACTCACCACCACAGTTGGCTAATTTTTTGTAGAAGAGGGGGTTTCACCATGTTGCCCAAACTGGTGTCAAACTCCTGGGCTCAAGCAATCTGCCTGCCTCAGCCTCCCAAAGTGCTGGGATTCAGGCATGAGCCACTGCTCCCAGCCTACAACCCAACTTTCTTTTTTTTGAGACAGAGTTCGCTCTGTTGCCTAGGCTGGAGTGGAATGGCGTGATTTCGGCTCACTGCAACCTCTGCCTCCCAGGTTCAAGTGATTCTCCTGCCTCAGCCTCCCGAGTAGCTGAGATTACAGGCGCGTGCCACCACGCCAGGTTAATTTTTGTATTTTTAGTAGTGATAGGGTTTCGCCATGTTGGCCAGGTTGATCTCGAACTCCTGGCCTCAGGTGATCTACCTGCCTTGGCCTCCCAAAGTGCTGGGATTACAGGCGTGAGCCACTGCGCCCGGCCGACACCCAACTTTCAGAGCATCTTTGGTTCCTGGGGTGAGAGAAGCCAGACCCCAGCACCAGTCCTATCCCACAGGGAGCTCGGTGCTGCCACCTCTGCAGCTGCAGAACCCGGCAGGCTCTGGAGAGCTGCCCCCCGGTGGGAGGTAGCAGAATGGAGCCAGCGCACCCCTTTCCCGATGTCTCGAGGCCCTTCTGCTCAAAATTCTTTTGTAGGCACCGGTAACCTGATTCTAAGGTCCCCAGGAGATGGATCACCTGATGACATGAGAATGTCTTGTTTTTGGAAAGCCTGGTCATGCAATTTAGCAGAAGGTTTGCGGTGAGGTGGAAGGCATTTATTTGCTTTGTCTTGCTAACCCTCAAAATCAAAGCCTGTCCCAGCCTGACAGCTTCCAGCAGAAAGTGTCAGAACCAGAGGCCCAGCCAAGGCCCAGGCAGGGCAGGCGGTCCTCCTGGGCCCTGGCATTGTTCTTACACATGGAGGGCATGGCCATCTTCTCTTTCAGGGACAGGCTGGCCTGACATGGAAGGTGAAACAAGGCAGCAGCCCCTGCCTCCAGGAGAACTCTGCAGACTGCAGTGCCGGGGAGCTGAGGGGTCCTGGGAAGGAGCTATGGAGTCCCATCCAGCAGGTTACAGCCACATCCTCTAAATGGGCGCAATTTGTCCTGCCACCTAGAAAAAGTTCACATGTGGACAGTGAGCAGCCAAGGTCTCTTCAGAGGGACCCCAGGCCAGCTGGTCCAGCACAGGCTAAGCAAGGGACCCCCAGAGCACAGGCCTCAAGAGAAGGCCTCAGCAGGCCCACTGCCGCTGTCCAGCTTCCTCGGGCCACACACCCCGTCACATCTGGGTCTGAGAGGCCTTGCGGGAAGACCTCATGGGACGCAAGGACTCCCTGGGCAGAGGGTGGGCCCCTGGTCCTGGAGGCACAGAATCCTCGACCCACACGACTATGTGACCTCTTTATAACTGGGGAAGACTTCGATGATGATGTGTGATCTGGGACTGGCAGGTTATTAATCGAGATACACTTGTTAGGAGGGACAGGGTTCCCCTAAGGCACTTTTAAAGATACTCTGTAAGAACCATTAACAATAAACTTACTGTCAATCATTTCTCTCTATGCAAACGTCATTGGTTAAAGTGCTGATGCCATTTAATTAGATTGTTTACAAATTTAACAGGATGGCTACAAAGAGATCTTATTTTAAAAGCAGCTGATGGTTTGGAAATGAGAGAACTACAGTGGTGAAGAGACCAGGAGGCAGCTCTCAGTGAAACCAACATTGCGGATGCCCTTCGTGAGCCTTCTCAGTCCCAGCAGGAAGCCCACAACACTGGCCTCCCCAGCCTGCCTGCTGACAACACCTAGGCTTACTTTATCTAAAATCAGAGTGTACCAGGTCTGTAGCAGAAAATAATCAACTAAATGTCAGGGACCTATGAGTCATTTAAAACAAAAGAGAAAGTGAAAGCCATTAGGCAAGCTATGTGCTGGGCTGCTAACGTAGCCCCTGCAGGGAGGGGTCAGGAGCGCGCTGCAGTGAGCCTTGGGTCTCGCAGGCCCAGCCCTGCTGCAAGGAGCCAGGGCACCCAGGAAACATCAGCACACACACACACAGGGACCCTCCCTTCATGTCACTTGTTTTGCTGCCCTAAATGGCTTCTTGCACCCTAACCCCTGATCCTGGAAGAAGGCAGAGAAACTGGCCCGTACAGAGACCTGCAATTCTACGCAAGCTTAACACAACTATGAGACAGAAGAGGGGCACGCAGAAGAGGTGGGCAAAAGTGGTCACAACGGCGGGGGATGCTTTGAATACTGGATGGTGTCCAGAGCCGCTCCGATGTCATAGTTCTTGGTCTGCAGGAGCCTGGTGAGCCAGCCGCCTTCATCAGAGAAGCCCATGGACAGCATCTGGGAGAGGGACTCAATCAGCCGCGGGTCAGCCTCTGCCGAAACAGTAAGGAAGCCATGAGGAGTGGTGCTGAGCCCTGTGAGTGACCCGAAACACATACCCTGCTGCCTTGGCCAGCCAGGACCAGGGTCTGCCAGTGTCCGAGCCTGCCCAGAGCTCTCGTCCTCACAGGCCACAGTGGACCTGCTTTCCCTGTAAAGGGCCAAGCAGTCTTTTTCACACTGCTCAACTCTGCCACTGCGACACCAGGCAGCCAGGTGGTGTGTAAGCAGAACCATCAATGGACACTGAAATAGGCATTTCACCTGTCACATCTTTTGATTTTAAAATGTAAGAACAGGCCAGTTAGCCAATTATTACACTCCTCCATGCAAGAGATGATGGGGCATTGAAATAGATTGAAGATGGAGAGAGATGAATGGATACAAGATACATTTTGGAGGTAGAATGAACAGGACTTGGAAATGTATGTGGAGAAGGCAAAGGAGTTAAAGATGATATCTGGAGCAGCACAACTCACAATTGCAAAGATGTGGAACCAACCTAACTGCCCATCAAGCAATGAGTGGATAAAGAAAATGTGGTATATATACACCATGGAATACTACTCAGCCACAAAAAGGAACGAAATAATACCTTTTGCAGCAACTTGGACGGAGCTGGAGGCCATTATCCTAAGTAAAGTAATTCAGGAATGGATACCAAATATCATATGTTCTCACTTATGAGTAGATGCTAAGCTATGATGATGCAAAGACATAAGAATGATATAGCTTTCCCTCTCCCTCTTTCTCCACGGTCTCCCTCTGATGCCGAGCCAAAGCTGGACTGTACTGCTGCCATCTCGGCTCACTGCAACCTCCCTGCCTGATTCTCTTGCCTCAGCCTGCCGAGTGCCTGCGATTGCAGGTGCGCGCCGCCACGACTGACTGGTTTTCGTGTTTTTTTGGTGGAGACGGGGTTTCGCTGTGTTGGCCGGGCTGGTCTCCAGCTCCTAACCACGAGTGATCCGCCAGCCTCGGCCTCCCGAGGTGCCGGGATTGCAGACGGAGTCTGGTTCACTCAGTGCTCAATGGTGCCCAGGCTGGAGTGCAGTGGCGTGATCTCGGCTCGCTACAACCTCCACCTCCCAGCTGCCTGCCTTAGCCTCCCAAAGTGCCGAGATTGCAGCCTCTGCCCGGCCGCCACCCCGTCTGGGAAGTGAGGAGCGTCTCTGCCTGGCCGCCCATCGTCTGGAATGTGAGGAGCCCCTCTGCCTGGCTGCCCAGTCTGGAAAGTGAGGAGCGTCTCTGCCCGGCCACCCATCGTCTGAGATGTGGGGAGCGCCTCTGCCCCGCCGCCCTGTCTGGGATGTGAGGAGCGCCTCTGCCTGGCCGCGACCCCATCCGGGAGGTGAGGAGCGTCTCTGCCCGGCCGCCCCGTCTGAGAAGTGAGGAGACCCTCCGCCCGGCAGCCACCCCGTCCGGGATGTGAGGGGCGCCTCTGCCCGGCCGCCCCTACTGGGAAGTGAGGAGCCCCTCTGCCCGGCCACCACCCCGTCTGGGAGGTGTACCCAACAGCTCATTGAGAACGGGCCATGATGACAATGGCGGCTTTGTGGAATAGAAAGCGGGGAAAGGTGGGGAAAAGATTGAGAAATCGGATGGTTGCCGTGTCTGTGTGGAAAGAAGTAGACATGGGAGACTTTTCATTTTGTTCTGTACTAAGAAAAATTCTTATCCTGTTGATCTGTGACCTTACCCCCAACCCCGTGCTCTCTGAAACATGTGCTGTGTCCACTCAGGGTTAAATGGATTAAGGGCGGTGCAAGATGTGCTTTGTTAAACAGATGCTTGAAGGCAGCATGCTCCTTAAGAGTCATCACCACTCCCTAATCTCAAGTACCCAGGGACACAAACGCTGCGGAAGGCCGCAGGGTCCTCTGCCTAGGAAAACCAGAGACCTTTGTTCACTTGTTTATCTGCTGACCTTCCCTCCACTATTGTCCTATGACCCTGCCAAATCCCCCTCTGCGAGAAACACCCAAGAATGATCAATAAAAATAAATAAATAAATAAACAAAAATAAGAACTACTCTTGGCCCATAGGCCATAGCTCGCCATCCCCTGCCCTAAGGCAGAGAAGACACACAGCGGCGGCCCACAGCAGGTTGTGCACACGGACCTTGGTTTACACACGGCTGCCATGTGACAATGAGGAGTTTCTGTCAGCTGTCCCCACCCCCCACCCCCCCACTGCTGCCTGCCACACCATCCACTTCAACGGTGGCTTCTGCCTGGCTCCTACAGGGATCTTGGCTATGACCCCCCCCCCTCTCAGACCAGCACTCCCTGAGGCGGCACTTGAGTGTGAGTAGTAGGGACACACCCAGTGCTGCCCCCTCTCTGTGTCACACCTGCCTTAATTCCTGGTCTGCATGTTAAGTTTTAGAAACTCCTACAATTAATATTCCTGGCTCTGGAGTTTGCCTAAAGAAAAACATTTTCAGAACTGCATTAGCAGAGCTTACTCGCTATTGCTCAGGGTACACATAATAGGACAAAACCAACTCCTAACCTCCCACACCTACAGACAGCCCTGCAGTGGAGAACATCTCATCCTTCTGTTTGTGTCGCTGAAATCAGAGGAGGGCAGGATGCTCTAAAGGGAAAGGTAGGAATATGTACAAAACCTCTTGGTTCACTTGCCTGGCGGGAGATGTGGGTACAAGGCAGCTTCCTTCAGCCCTGTGGGTCCCTCCTGGGAGGGGTCCAGAGAGCTTGGCCCTTCGGATTCTGGCATCTGTAGGGACTGGAGTTCACCTGTAGACGGGTCCACTTCTTTTGAAGACAGATGGGTCCAGTCATCATCTCCTCCTGAACAGTTATCCGACTCCATCTGTTCCTGGAACAAAACTCACCATGAGCACACAGGAGACACGCGCAACAGGCCAAGCCTGACCATGGCCCTGGCTCCTGGCAGACAGTCGGGGAGCACGCATGCACACGTGCAGTTAAGGCTGCAGGGGTCTAGGGGGAACAGTGGCCACTCACAAAGACCAAGTAACTACAAAGTTCTAGCAGGTTCCCAGCGTGACTTTAATGGCACAGACATCACTGCAGCAGCAGCAGCTCCCTCGGGTTTGTAAGTGGGGCTGCAGAGGTGCTGAGGATGAGGCGGAGGTGCAGGCCACAGATCACTAGGCTGGCCGTGGTCCCAGGTGGCGGGAGGGGCACAGGCTTGCCTCAGGGCGCCCCTCGGACTCCAAGGCGATCTTCCTCATCTGCTCCGCCAGAGACTGCGTGGCGCCCTCAACATTCCCACCCGGCTTGCTGGGGTCAGAGCAGCAGCTGCTTGGCTGTGAGCTGCTCTTCTCCTCTGTGCTGGAACTCTCTGGAGAGACGGGGGTCAGGCGGCTTCTTTTCCCTCCGTGCTCCACATCGATATCAACTTCAATGCCTAGAGGCGGAGGAGGAAAGAGCAAGCCGTGAAGTTCCCCCAAGGATGCACCTGCAAGCAGGAGCTTGGCCTGTGGAGACTACAGACTCACGAAGATCTCAACGTTCAGTCCCCACAAGCAGCTAAGTGTCTGGATGGTGGCACTCAGCGTGTGGATGCAGGTGCTAGGTTCTACCCAGCTCGACCCCGCAATCACACAGCCAGTATGGGACCAGACGATACAAACCCATGAGTCAGAGGCTTCTCCCCATATCCCAGCTACAAATCTCTGTGGCTTCTGGAAACATTCTTGGTGGGCCCATGATACTGGACCTTTCTCTTTCTCCAATTCAGTAAAACATTAACCTCAGCTAGCATCTAAAGTCAGCTTCTGAGCCAGAAAGTCGAAAGAGACCTTTTTCCTAACCATGCAGGACACGGGCCACACGGCAGGTGGGGCCAGGCCCTAAGTACAGGGAGAGCCAATACCACATGTGGCAGGCGCTTCCAGCCACAGTGATGGAAGGCCATGTGCCTCCTGACACCTGCACACAGAGGCTTTGTGCGACGACACACACGCACACCTCAACGCCGGAGCTCTGCTCTGGGAGGTGGATGGGCCGTGCAGGCGCTGCGTAGGGCCCAACGCTGGCCCCACAGGGAACCTGCACACCTCCAGGCTCACGTGACTCACCAGGGACAGAGGGGAGAATCACCTGCACTATTTTTGAAATTAAATGTGTCAAAAGTCTCCACACCCACAGCTTAGAGTCACCAGTTGCCAAAGGCTGTGGTGCACACTCCCTGCCCCCATCCCACTCCCCAAACTCTCCCTGTGCCCTTTCAGCTCACGCTGCTCTTGCCTGCTGCTGGAGTTCACATCTGCGCACTTCCTACTCTGGACCAGTACCTGCCTCTCCTTCCACTACCCTTTCCAAGACGCAATTTTTTGTTAAAAGAACATTCAGTAGGCCGAGCGCAGTGGCTCACGCCTGTAATCCCAGCACTTTGGGAGGCCGAGGCGGGCGGATCACGAGATCAGGAGATCGAGACTACCCTGGCTAATATGGTGAAACCCCGTCTCTACTAAAAATACAAAAAATCAGCTGGGCGTGGTGGCAATCGCCTGTAGTCTCAGTTACTCGGGAGGCCGAGGCAGAAGAATCGCTTGAACCTGGGAGGCGGAGGTTGCAGTGAGCCAAGTTGGCGCCACTGCACTCCAGCCTGGTGACAGAGCAAGACTCCATCTCAAAAAAAAAAAAGAACATTCAATGTTTCAGCTAGGACCTCTATCTAAATGTTCTTTGCTGGGTCAAGTAGCAGACTATTTCTTTGTATCGCTTTTTGTTTTCCTACCACTGATAATGGCTTCTCTTTTCCTTTGTTTTGTAGACAGAGTCTCGCTCTGTTGCCCAGGCTGGAGCGCAGTGCCGCAATCTCTCGGCTCACTGCAGCCTCTGCCCACCAGGTTCAAGTGATTCTCCTGCCTCAGCCTCCCGAGTAGCTGGGACTATAGGCACGTGCCACCACGCCCAGCTAATTTTTATATTTTTAGTAGAGACGGGGTTTCACCATGTTGGCCAGGCTGGTCTTGAACTCCTGACCTCAGGTGATCTGCCTGCCTTGGCCTCCCAAAGTGCTTGGATTACAGGCATGAGCCACTGCACCCAGCCTGCCTTCTCTTTGCATTTGCTAACTTTCCCTATGTTCTCCCACAGCATCTCCATAGTTTTCTACAAGGGTGAAGTGGATCAGAGACCCCACTGGTTCTGGTGTTTTCCATAGAGAGTGCCGCTTGCTGTGCAGCCTCCTGTTCCAGCCAGGACTGGCAGCTCTCTGGGCAGAGGCTGCGCTGTGATGCTGTGACCCCCTTTACGTTCACCCTCTGTCCTGTTAGGTCCCCCGTTTCCTAATACCTCTGTGCTTCATTTTGGGTTTCTCTCTTCATGTGGTTCAAACCAAGGTTAAAATAATTAAGACTGTATACCAGAAAGTAACTTTGTTCTGCCCTGATACTTGATCGTTTTAGCTGGGTATAGAATTCTAGGCTGGACCAGGCACAGTGACTCATGCATGTAATCCTAACACTTTGGGAGAACAACATGAGAAATCTCTTGAGCCCAGGAGTTCAAAATCGGCCTGGGCAGCATGGCAAGACCCCATCTCTACAAAAAAATTTTAAAATAGCTGGGCACGGGGCTGGGCACAGTGGCTCATGCCTGTAATCCCAGCACTTTGGGAGACGAAGGCAGGTAGATCATGAGGTCAGGAGTTCAAGACCAGCCTGGCCAAGATGGTGAAACCCCATCTCTACTAAAAATATAAAAATTAGCCAGGCATGGTGGCGGGTGCCTGTAATCCCAGCTACTCGGGAGGCTGAGGCAGAAAATTGCTTGAACCCAGGAGGTGGAAACTGCAGTGAGCTGAGATCACGCCGCTGCACTCCAGCCTGGGCGACAGCGAGACTCTGACTCGGGGGTGGGGAAAGAAAAAGAAAAAAAAAAATATCTAGGCACAGTGGCACATGCCTGTAGTCCCAGCTACTGGGGAGGCTGAAGCAGAAGGATCACTTGAGCCCACGAGATGAAGACAACTGTACCACTGCTCTCCAGCCCAGATGACAGTGAGACCCGGTTTCAAAAACAAAAGAATTCTAGGCCGAAAAGCCTTTTTAACTGATTTCTGGAGTCATCAGTTGTTCCATTGTCTCCTAGCTGTTCATGTTTGTTTGCTCTTTGTATTCCCAAGTATTTACAATAACCTAGAGTTTTAGAAGCCCCTCTTTCTTTATCCTCAGGGTTCTGACACTTGACAATGATAAGCTTTGCTGTGGGGTCTTTCTCAGTCATTGTCAGGGCCGCTTTCAATCTAGAAGATAATGTCCTCATTGCCAAGAAACTATCTTGCATTTTTGTTTGTTTTTTGTTTTGTTTTGTTTTGTTTTGTTTGAGACAAGGTCTGTTTCTGTCTCCCAGGATGGAGTGCAGTGGTACAATCCAGGCTCGTTGCACCCTCTGCCTTCCAGGCTCAAGCCATCCCCAACCTCAGCCTCCCACGTAGCTGGGGCCATAAGTACACAACTCCATGCCTGGCTAATTTTCATAGTGTTTGTAGACACGGGAAGTGGGGGATGGTGTCTCCCTATGTTGCCAAGGCTGGTCTCAAACTCGTGAGCTCAAGTCATCTGCCTGCCTTGGTCTCCCAAAGTGTTGGGATTACAGGCATGAGCCACCATGCCTGGTGCCAAGAAACTATCTTGCATTCTATGTTCATTTCCTCCTTTCAGTTTTCTATTCTTTCTGGAATTCCTACTCATCCTATATTGGGCTTCTAGACTTGTTCCTACATTAGTTTTTTTATCTTTCCTCTCCTCCTATCTCTATTTTGCTTTTGGAATATCTCCTTGAGACAATAGTAGAATCTAAGCCTTCTTTTGAAGTTTTTTTTCTATTTTTTAATTTTAAGAACTTTCTTATTCTGTTCCCTTTGTTATCCTTTTTCTAGTATCCTGTTCCTTTTTCATGCAGACAATGCTCTTTTGTATCTCACTGAGGACATTAACATTCTCTTCCCTTTAAGACCTTTTCTCCCATGTGTGGGGGCTTTCCTCAGATGGCTGGTGACCCAGGGGTCTGATCCCACTGAAGCACTAAGGTTGACAGGAAGCCTTCTGTGGGGCCAGCGCCATCACTAACTTTCCCTCTGCAGGGTGCCTGGGGGTCTGGCAGGCAGGAGCTGTAGGACACTTCTCTGGGGGCATTCAACCTCCCTCAGCAGGGACTCCCCACCTCCTGCCTGGCCAGGGAACTGACTGCTGGGCCCATTGCTCATTCGGGATGCCCAGTTTCAGGCTGGTGCCTCACCCTGGCCTGTCTCTAGTATCCCATGCTGAAGCTTCCCTGGGTCAGGTGCTCCTGGAATTAAACATGAGGTCTCCTTCAATTGTTGGCAAGAGCCATCATCTGGCCAAGTGGGCCCTGAAGTCTCTAGCTGACACTCCCTAGAGGTTTTCAACCCTCCCCCCTTGTTCCTGTCCCCCGATCACTCCCACCTCTTGCCTTTCCTGGTACCTGAACAGATGGTCTTGCTTCTCACCAGGATGCCCTGTTCTGGCACAGAGATTTCTGAAGCTTCCCTCAGCAGGTTGCCACCCTCCCTCCATGTCCATCTTCCAAAATCTGATCACATCTTTGTCTTTTCCTCTATTACTTTCTTTGTCTATGGTGTTTTCTTTTTTTGTGTAAGCCCTTTCCTGTTATTTCAATAGAGTTTAAGGGGGGAGCAGAGGTAAAAGCAGGCTTAACTACAAGTACCTCCATCTGTAATATTTAAATTATTTTTCTCCTTTATTCTTCCCAACTTGTGATTATGAAAAGGTTGAAGCTGCCGGGTACAGTGGCTCACGCCTGTAATCCCAGCATTTTGGGAGGCCAAGGCGGGCAGATCACCTGAGGTCGGGAGTTCGAGACCAGCCTGACCAACACAGAGAAACCTCGTCTCTACTAAAAATACAAAATTAGCCAGGCGTGATGGTGCATGCCTGTAATCCCAGCTACTGGGAAAGGCTGAGGCAGGAGAATCGCTTGAACCCGGGAGGCAGAGGTTGTAGTGAGCCAAGATCACACCATTGCACTCCAGCCTGGACAACAAGAGCAAAAGTCTGTCTCAAAAAAAAAAAAAAAAAAAAAGATAAGAAAAAAAAAAGGTTGAAACAAACAGAAAAGTTGAAAAGTTGAAAGAATAGTACAATCAATACCCATATGCTTTGTAAATGGGTAATGAGACTCGCCTGTAAGCAGATCAGAGAAATTATAGAATTAGGATCTCTCCAACTTGGTGATGAAAGCGTGAGATTTTCAGGCCTTGTCGTAAGACTGGACAGGCTACTTTGTCTACGGAGTAGCCATTCTTGTATTCCTTTACTTTCTTAAGAAATGTGCTTTCACTTAAAAAAAAGACTAGACGATGCTCCGTGCCCTGCTGCCTCACAAAGCCTCTGCGTGTCGGTTTATCAAAGATCCCACGACCAGGAGGGGCCCTGTGGCTTCGGGGCCTGTAGCCTCCCAGCCAGGAGCAGCCTGGGTCTCAGTTGTGGCTCCCTCAGCAGGTTCTCAGCCCCCCAACCAAAAGGCCTTGGCACTTCACATGAAAGCTGCCGCTTACCCTACACACACTGCCACCGGGAGGCAGCTGTTGACTCGTTCGTTCCCCCTTGGGCCCTGCTCTGGGAACAGTCCCTTCTAGGCAGTTAACCTGTGAGTCATCCAGCTTATAGTTCCTCATAAAGAAAGAAACTAGCCCTAACTTCCACAACAGTCTAAGCCGCTCCTCCACTGGCTCTCCTCAGCTGAAACCACTCAGTCTATTTTACTGAAATATTCCTTGTTTGTAGAGCTTCAGGCTCCTCCCTAGTTCGGAGAAAGCAATTCTATCCACTTTAAGCCTTTAGCTTTTAGTGCTCAAAGACATCTGAGGGCCGGGTGCAGTGGCTCACGCCTGTAATCCCAGCACTTGGGGAGGCTGAGGCGGGTGGATCACGAGGTCAGGATATCGAGACCATCCTGGCCAACAAGGTGAAACCCCGTCTCTACTAAAAATACAAAAAACTAGCCGGGCGTGGTGGTGGGCGCCTGTGGTCCCAGCTACTCGGGAGGCTGAGACAGGAGAATGGCGTGAACCCAGGAGCCAAGATCGTGCCACTGCACTCCAGCCTGGGCGACAGAGCGAGACTCCGTCTCAGAAAAAAAAAGACATCTGAGCATCTGCAAGATTATTCCTGTCTGTGCCAAGTGGGGCGTCCAGTTCAGTTCTGAGATGCTGCACCAGCACAGGTGGGTCTTGAGACAGTGACCCCAAGCACCTGGGCAGCCTCCCAGACAAATCCCAGGCCCCACCAACACTCACTCACCAGGATCAAAAAAGGTAAGGTCTGGGGATCTGCACTGTTTTAAAAGTCTCTACCTGAACCTAGACTTGGTTTTGTGACTTCCCGGGATGTCTCCTTTGTTCTTTGAGTGAAGGACTCTTGTTCATATCTCCAAATTCACCGGCAATCTCTCAGACCTTTACTACGTCCAGAGTGAGTGGCAGGATTTAGGCACAGCCGATCTCTCAATCATGACCTCGGTGCTCCACTGTTTACCCTCCTTGGAAAGCATTAAGAATACTGATTCTTGGCCGAGCTCGGTGGCTCACACCTGTAATCCCAGCACTTTGGGAGGCCGAGGCAGGTGTCGAGATCAGCCTGGCCAACACAGTGAAACCCCGTCTCTACTAAAAATACAAAAAATAGCTAGGCGTTGTGGTGGGCACCTATAATCCCAGCTACTTGGGAGGCTGAGGCAGGAGAATCGCTTGAACCTGGAAGGCAGAGGTTGCAGTGAGCCGAGATCACACCACTGCACTCCAGCCTAGGCGACAAGGGTGAAAGTCTGTCTCAAAGAAAAAAAAAAAAAAAAACAGACTAGCGATTCTTCTTTCCTATTCTCTGACTTCACCTCTAAACTCTAGTACAGAAGCCATGCGTGTTTGGGCTGTTTAGTTCAGAAGCAATGCCAAGATGTCACTGCCGCCTCAAAGTGGAATGAGCAAGGCCAGGCGCAGTGGTTCACACCTGTAATCCCAGCACTTTGGGAGGCCAAGACGGGTGGATCACCTGAGGTCAGAAGTTCAAGACCAGCCTGGCCAACGTGGCGAAACCCCGTCTCTACTAAAAAAATACAAAACTTAGCTGGGCGTGGTGGCGGGTACCTGTAATCCCACTTACCCAGGAGGCTGAAGCAGGAGAATCACTTGAACCCAGGAGGGGGAGGTTGCAGTGAGCAGAGATGGCACCACTGCACTCCAGCCTCCGTGACAGAGCAAGACTCCATCTCAAAAAAAAAAAAAAATCGGAATGAGCAAAGTTGGAGCAGATGGCAGTCACGCCCTGTAGCCACAGGAGGCAGCAGGCATGGTTCGGACGCCCCTCCTAGCAGCATTCTTTCAGACACTGAACACAACCTTTGGACAGGCTGGGTGGACACAGCCTGCCACTGCAGTCACAAAAACAAGCTCACTCGTCTAGCGAGAGATGCAGGTGTCCCAGCGATCCATCTGCCATCACAGATCCACCGTCATCTTGAACTAGAAGTTGGCTTCATTCACTGATTCTCACTGCCGCATGCCTAACCCTGCAGCACCCACCCGAGACCCTTAGCCAGACGCAACAGGCACTTTCTAAAGCCCAGCAGGGAGGGGTCTCAGAGCCTGAGCTCATGCCTGGGGTCAGGTGGCACCTTCACCCACCCCACAGACCCACTGTGCAACCTGAGGCACCAGAACCGGGTGTCACCCAGAGCACCTGCCTCCACCTTCTCCCCGCTCTGAGGCAGGCCCAGCACTCAGAAGCACCAGAAAGGTTTGGGGGTTGTAAACTAAAAGAAGGAAAAGATAAATAGCATGTCAACTAACTACTACCCAGGTCCTCAAAAGTCCAAATCCCAAGGCCTGGCTTAGGGGAAATTGCAGACTATTGTTCACCCAAAGGAGGGCAGTCAGAGGTGACAGGCAAGACCTGCAACCACAGTCTGGTCACCCTCCCTCACTGGGATTATCCCAACCAAATGCCAGCTGATTCGACTTCACTCCATGTAGAAAGCTCGAGAATTTTGTCAGGGAATTCAACCTTGAGTTGCCCGTGGTCCAGCACTACTAAAGGTTGATTTGAGGCAACAAATCCTCACCAGTGTCAAGGGCATGTCAATTACCCATTCCTTTGCAGTATTCCAGGTGAAAGTTACATAAAGTGCAGGCTGAGTTAGGGAAGCACTGGGCAAGGAGGTGCACTCACCCAGAGGGCTAAGGGCAGCTGCCACACTCTCCCCAACGTTCTTCAGGAAATTCACACTCGGATCCTCCGATGGACCAGAAGCTTTGATTTTTACAAAGATAAGATAAAGATATCTTTAATGCCTTGGATACCTGTCACAGTCCTGTCACCTTCTTGCCAAGGTCCCTGTGTTCCCGGGTGACCTTTAACCCGGACATCTTGTCCAGTGACCCACTCAGCATCCCCCTCTCCTTCCTCCCACTCTGCACCCCCTGGCCCTGCACAGAGAGCATCTCCACTCTCCCGTGCCATCTCCCCCTCATCTGTGACCCTGGTGCTCAGCAACCCCACAGAGGCTCAGGCTCAGTACACTGTGAATATTGATCACCTCCTTGAGTAAATATGTTATTTACTCAAAGTCAAGCAAACATCCCCATCTTTGTCCCAAAGGGTGAGGTGATTCACAGGACACAGTAACATTAATAAAATCAGAATCCAAAAATCTAGACTACAAAGCTAACGGTAAGTCTTTCACTTATAACTATGTTTCAAAGGACTTCAGCAACTTTGGCTCTGATCTTCCTGACAACCATCACAAAAGAGAACAAAGTGCATCAAAGACCCCTGGGCTGGAAGGGCCTCCCTGCCTGCACCTCAGGGTACCTTGAGAGGGCAGCCTCCTGAGGTAGGAAGGGCTGTGCAGGTAAATTTGTGGCCTCAGGCACTTAGGCACCTCAGTTTCCCCATTTGGGAAATGGAGAGAATACACCCCCCTTTGCAGGGTTCTTGTGTGATTGTAGGGCACCAGGAAGGTGGGGGGTATCCTGAATTCTTGCCTTGCACACACGCTTTGCACAAGGGCCCTGCACACAGGCTGCCTGACTACTGTCACCAATCAGAAGCAGGTTCCAACACAAGCCTCACCTGATTCTGCCGTGGGGCCAGGGCGGGCCTCCCCTGCACGAGGAGGACGTGGGCTCCAGTTTCCTGGTGGACCCATTTCCCATCCTGGCCACCCGAAGTGTCCGTGTTTCACCTTCCGGAGCCAGCGGCTGTGCGAGAAGCCCTGGGGGAGGAATTAGCAGAGCGGCAGGCAGTGAGCGGGTCAAGGTTCCTGCCACCCTGAGCCCACCCCAGGCCTGCACAGAGGGCCTGCTCACCTCAGACAGGTGCCCGAAGGGGCTGGGGAATGCGAGCTTGGTGTGCCCCCGGTGCAAGCCCTTTCCCTCGCAGACGCTACACAAGTCGTAGTCTGGGCAGACGCTGCACTTGTAGCGGGTTCCTACCACAGGCCCATTGCAGCCATCGCAGATCACATTGGGGTGCACCATGTTGCGGGGCGCCTCCTGAGCACACGGTGGGCGGTGGTCCCGCCGGCACTCTTTTTTCTCTACAGGAAGGGTAAAGAGAGCCGCTAGGGTGGGACCCCCTAAAGTCCTCCCCCTCTGTCGTCACTGTGGGGCTGTCACTGCCAGCAAGGCCCCCGGCCCTGCTCTCCAGCATGGAATCCACACAAAATTCAGCCACTTAGGTGAGGGCAGCAGAGCCACCAAGAACCTGCTAGGAGGTTCCCAGTCCCTGTGTCTGTTTGGCCCAGGCAGCAGAGCAGCAGCAAGGAGCCCTGTCTGCACAGCTTTGGCCTTGCCCTTCACCCAAGCACCACGGCACCAGACCCCATCCCTAACCCAAGCACCACGGCACCAGACCCCATCCCTAGAGTGAACATGGACTCCTCTTTCTCAGGTCAAGCACAGCACTTAAAATGTCTTTTTTTTTTTTTTTTTTTTTTTTTTTTTTTGTCGCCTAGGCTGGAGTACAGTCATGTGACTTCGGCTCATGGCAACCTCCGCTTTCCAGGTTTAAGTGATTCTCGTCTCAGCCTCCTGAGTAGCTGGGACTAGAAGCATGTACCACCACACCCGGCTAATTTTTGTATTTTTAGTAGCGACAAGGTTTCACCATGTTGGCCAGGCTGTTCTTAAACTCCTGACCTCAGGTGACCTGCCCGCCTCGGCCTCCCAAAGTGCTGGAATTACAGGCGTGAGCCACACCTGGCCTATGTCTCTGTCTTAAACAGCCCTCAAATTGCTGACCCCTTCATTGGTGGAACATCGAGCCCTGTTTTTTACTCAGCAGGGAACTGAGTACAAGCTGAGCTGGCTTCAGGCAGCCCCCAGAGCAGCCCCTTACCTTTAATGTAGATTCGGAAGATGTCATCCTTCACGTAGGACATGGCCATTGTCAATTCCTCGTCACTGGAAAAGGCAACCAAGTCCCCGTCCTCATCTAGATTGTTTAAAAGACAGCACGTGAGCACCCAGGGGTTCTCAGCTGGACATAAGCTGCTGGAATGGGCTGAGGCAAGTATGAAAGGGACACTCACAGGGCTATAAACAAACACACCTACTTGAGCCACAGAGGGCAGGAGTGAGAGGCAAGACTACCCCCTTGCTCTGGCACCTCCTGGAAGGTGAGTGCTCCGACCTGGGCCCTGGACCACAGCCACATGCAGGGGGCGGAGGGCCTGTGCACAGGGGCAGCAGCTTTGGCTGCTGCACTTATTTAGCCTTGGGCCAGCTGCCTTTTCAGAAACGTGCCACCTCATTCCCCATCCGACCAGGCCCATGTCCGTCTTCAACTGTGGGAGATCCCTGCCTGTGACCTGCTCCTGAGGGGCCCAGCCCCACAAAGGCCTTAGACTTCTAGTGGCTTGGGAGTAAAGGAGAAGACAAGGGCATCTGCCTGCTTCCTTCCCTAACAAAGCTGAAAGACACGTATTTGTATGTAGTCTCCATTTGTGACAGATACATGTGAGCTGAAATGGCTTTAAAGCACAGCTGTGCAGACCAAACCACGCCATCCACCGAGGGCACAGGTGAGGCACCCAAAGATGCAAACAACCCAAATGTCTGTCAACTAATGAACAGGTAAACAAAACATGGCCTGTCCACACAACAGAATATTATTCCTCCAAAAAAAACTAGTTCTGATATGTGCCACAACACTGAACACATTACACTAAGTGAAAGAAACCACTTGCAAGACTACATTGTCTGATTCTATTTACATGAAATGTCCAGGATTGCAAGATGAATAGATACAGAAAGGAGGTTGCTGGGGGCATGTGGATAAGAGGGTGATAAAAGGTATGTATGGCGTTTATAAGGTGATGAAAAGCTCTCACACTGAATATGGTCCACAAACCTATGAAAATAGTGAAAACCACTGACTTGTACACTAAATGGGTGAACCCTTATTTCAGTTACAGCTCAATAACATCACAATTTTTTTTTTTTAAGAATAGGAGAGGGCCTGGTATGCTGGCAGCGCTCCAGAGGGAGGTCCTAGCACTGCACCCTCCCAGGGGCCGGCCTTGGCCACCTCCCGCCCTCCTGGCCACAACCACCTCCCTAACCCCACCCCCAGCAGCCACTGGTCACACCAGCGCAGCAGGAAACAGGGCTTCTGGGC
Organism: Homo sapiens; assembly: GCF_000001405.40. Taxonomy (NCBI): domain Eukaryota; kingdom Metazoa; phylum Chordata; class Mammalia; order Primates; family Hominidae; genus Homo; species Homo sapiens. Next base: position 587,331 of record NW_016107298.1, on the reverse strand, counting down.
CAACACCAACACTTCTGAAGAACGTTCTCGTCCACTTGCCAATGGGAAAACATCTGTACTCGACCTGGCTCGGAGCGTTCCGCCGGCGATCCGTGCCCTTCTCCCAGGCGCTGTCGCGGCGCTCGCGAGTCCCCCGCACCCCCGCGCTTGTTTACCCGCGTCACTCCCTCCCCTCGCCGGCGCTCGCCCGGCTCCTCCAGGGCATTATCTGAACCCACCACCTGGCGCAGCAAGGTGTCAGTGTAACCCGAGTGCCCGCCTGACCACCCAGTGCCCGCGGAGAGCCAGAGCGTTCGCCCCGGCGCGTCCTTGCCAAAATCCCCAACAGCGCGGGGGGTGGAGCGGGGCGTCTGACGCCCCCAGGCTCGAGCCCCCGGCCGGCAGGGCTCCACCGCCCCAGGGGGCCGACGCTGAGCAGCGGGTCCCGGCCTTGGTCACCACTCCAGTCACCAGGCCGGCTCCCATGGCCGAACTGGGGACCCATGCAGGCCACCGCCATCCAGGGAGCAGCCAGCGCAGACCCCCTCACGGCCCGCCAGGCGTCGCCGAGAAGGGAGGGGGCAGCCACCCCGCGGCAGGAGGCCGTGTCCGGCCTGCGTCACCGCCCCCGCCGCTCCCCGGCCCGCTCACCGCGGTAGTGCGCCTGGAAGCCGCCAGGCCGCAGCGCGGGGAACAGGGCGGCCACCCGGCTCAGCAGCCGCTCGCAGGGTCCCGGACCCGCCGCAGCCTCGGCTTCCGCCTCAGGCTCGGGGCTGCAGCAGAAGCTGAAGCGGCGAATCTCGCGCGCCGCGTCCTCCTTGCCCAGAAGGTAGGCCTTCACGGTGAGCGACGCCATAGCGAGCGGCGAGCTGGCGGAAAACGGGCCGTCCCGGTCGCAGCCGCCGCGCGGCTTTTGTAGCGAACGCGGAGGCCCCGCCCCGCCTCGAGAGGGGCGGAGTCTCTCGCGCCCTCCCCGCCCCCGCCACCGTCGTCGCGGCGCGAGAGCCGCCCTGCAGAGGCCCCTTCACTACTCTCCCCTTCCCCGCTACCCCTCGCTCCAGGTCTCCCGGCCCCCTCATTGCTGACCCCTCTCTTCATTGCCCCGGTGCACCAAGGACCCCAGGAAACCGGCCCTGGCACTCATACAGGCCTGGGCTCCAGCCTCTGCACCTGGGATCAGGGTACTGGCGGGGGTCCAGCCCCTCGCCCCTCCCAGGCTTGGGCCTGGCCATGACTCAGCAATATCCTCAGTTGGGGGTACCCAGTGCAGGGAGAGGGGGACACAGCCCCCATATCAGGAGGCTGCTAGGTCGCCCAGTGGGCACTGCTGGCCAGAACAAGCTGGCTCTCAGGTTGCTGTTCCGACCCTGCCATGGTCAGCCTGCCGCGGTGGCAGCCCTCTTACAGCGCATGGCATCCTCGGTGATGGGCAGCGCATAGCATACTCGGTGACGGACCCCGACTCTGGCCTGAGCACCAGAGAAGTTCCCAGTTTAGTAGGAGTGGAGTTGAGAGGTGCTGGAGGACCAGCTAAGGTCTCCTGAGTGTCAGTGGTCGCCAAGTGTTCACTGTGGTCCAAGTGACTCCTTATGGGCTCCTCAATTCAGCAGGTAATGCCCATGGCCCTGTGGGGGCTCAGGCCCGTTGGCCTTGTGGGCAGCCAAGGGGGTCAGCCAACAGCCTCCTCAGCTAGGAAGGAAGAAACACTGCTTTATGCCACCAGAGTAACCTGTCCGCCAGAACTGGGGCAAGGAGAGGGGCAGGACGAGTGGTCACCCTCTGGAGCCTCCCAGGCAAGGTCCTGTGAGTAGGAGGTCAGAACCTGCTGGGTCCAACTCATGCCATTTCAGCCCAGGGCTTGCAGGAGCTGGAGAAACCTCCCAGGGGAGGAAACCCAGAGGGAGGCAAGAGTGGCTGGATGGGGCCAGTCAGGTGCGAAGGTGATGTGTGGGTGTGCGCACAGCAGGGGCTGGTCCACAGGTGTGAATGATCCTTCCCGGAGGGCTCCGAAGTGGGCAAGGCTTCCACCCTGCCCAGAGCAGCCCTGTGGAGAGGGTTCAGGCCTCTCCCTGCATCCGGCGGTGGAGAGTGGAAAATGCCCCAGGGCCTGCTGGAGCCACTGCCTTGCAGACAGGGGCAGGGGACACAGAGGGGCGTGCTGGCAGAGGCTGTGGCCTACAGACAGGTGCTGGCCAAGCGTGACTCAGCAGCCCAGGCGCCTGAGAGCCACGTGGCCCCCGCCGAGGGCCGGCTTTCCTGCCCCAGCCCCCGGCTATGGCCCGGTCTGAGCAGGGTGAGGGACACAAGGAAGGCCTGTGGCTCTGGGAACATAGCTTTGAGGAAGCGCTCAAGGCGCCCCACTCACCCCCAAGAAGGAGCTCCTTTGCTTTCTCGCCATTTGGCCCGTTTGGGATCGCGGGAAGTTTCCGCGGGGGCTAGGGGCATGTGAAGAGACTGGGGGGGGGCGGGGAGGGGAGAAGGAAGCACAGAAGAGGGAGTCTTTGGGAAGCTGGGGTGGACACCCGGCTCTGGCCCTTCCCCGCACGCCTTGCGGCCCCAGCGGCCGCCCTGCCCCCACGCGAGGCCGAGGCCTCCCGGAGGTAAACAAGGCGCGGCGGGAACCCCCTGGCAGGGCCCTCTCCTCCCGCCGCGGAGGTCAGGTGGTCTGGCCGGCAGTGAGTCAGCGTCCCATGACCGCTGTCGTAATAGGGGGATCCCCGGCCCCTGCTGCCACCCATCTCAGTGACCTCTTACCTGGAGGCTGGGCTGGGGAGTGGCTCCGGGGTCACCGTGAGTCCCCTGAGCAGGAAGAGCGTGCAGCGGCTGGAGCCAAACAGACACTCTCCCCCTTCTCGCCTCTGACTCCTTCCCCTTTCCCGATGCAGTCCCACCCCGCAGGCTCCCCGCGTCCACTGGCCCCTTCCCACCCTCCAGGGCCCGGCGTGCATGCCCAGGGAAGGCTCGGCACCTGAGCCGCGAGACCCACTATGGACCAGCCTCTCATTTCCTCATCTTTCAAATGGGGCTGAAGTGGAAGGATTTGGGCTGCCCTCCCAGGCGATGCCCCGTGGGTGTGCGAGTTGTTTAGCTGCTTTTGGGGCTGTAAGCTGGGGGGTCAGGGCAGGACAGAGACTGCAGGGGGGCTGAGGTGGAAGAGTGGGGAGGGCAGGAGAGGCCTGAGCCAAGCGCCCAGTGGTCCCAGGAGACCAGCCGGGGCAGCCACAGGGGTGGTCTGGTTCTGTCTGTTGCTGCCCAGCATGTTGTAACCACCTCCTCAGTTCCCCCTTCCCCCCTCCCAAATAATCCTATGCCTTGGCAGTGGTGTTCCCAGGTTCGCTTCTTTTCTTTGGGGCGTGGAGTCAAGTGTCCGCGTGGGTGCTGGGGCAGCCAGAGACAAGGCCACTGAGGGATTCAGGCCGCACTGCTCTGGGCCATCTTTAGGGAGATTGACAATCACAGGGGACACAGGGGATGAGTTCCTCTACAGAGGTCCTGGTCTGTGCGGGGGCCTCCAGGCCTTCTGCGCTGCAGCCACTCCCTTCCACTCACATGGGAGGGCCACAGCCCTCCCTTGCCGTCTTCCTAATCATGCCAGCTCATTCTACCTGGTGACTTTTCCCTGGCTCTCCCTCTGGTCCAAAACCCTTTCCACTCCTGCCCTACATGGCAACTTCCCACCCTAAATGTCTCCTCCTCAGCGGGGCCTTCCTTGACCACTCCCTAGGAAAAATCCCCAGGCACTGGACATCACTTTTTTTTTTTTTTTTTTTTTTTTTTTTTGAGACAGTCTCTCTCTGTCACCCAGGCTGAAGTGCAGTGGCACGATCTCAGCTCACTGCAACCTCTGCCTCCCAGGTTCAAGCAATTCTCCTGCTCCTGCCTCAGCCTCCCAAGTAGCTGGGACTACAGGTGCCTGCCACCAAGCCTTGCTAATTTTTGTATTTTTAGTAGAGATGGGTTTCACTATGTTGGCCAGGATGGTCTTGAACTCCTGACTTCAGGTGATCCGCCCACCTCGGCCTCCCAAAGTGCTGGGACTGCAGGCGTGAGCCACCCGCCCGGCCAGGCATCACCCCCTTTTAGCCCTTTCAGACAAGCCCAAAGCCCAGGCAAGAGGCACGGGGGCCATGGGAGGGGCACGCCCACAAGGGGTTTGCAAAGATCTTTCTAAAAGAAAAGGAGTTCAAGTCATGGACAGACATGGTTAGAGAATTCAGTGATGCCAAGTTGTCAGGCCTGAGAGCCCCAGGGACCCTCTCCTACTGGAAGGCCAGAGCTGCAGAAAGAGGTCCCCTGGGCTGGGCGAATTTCTCCAAATAAATTCAAACATGGCCTGCCTCGGGACGGGGGCGAGACCCTGGGCCCTCAGGGGCACTGAGGGGTCGTCCATGCCGGGGGACATGGCCACTTGGGGGCGGCCCTCGTCAACCGCGGAGTGGGGAAAAGGGGGGAGGGATGGAGGACGAACGCCCGGCGGTGTCTAAAGGCACAACGCGGAGCAGGAACCACAGCCCTGGTCCCCAGAAAGCGCGCGCGGCCCGGGGCAGAACCTGCCGAAGTTCCAGCTCGGGGCGCAAGGGATGTGGGGGTCACTGGAAGACGGGGCGCGGGCCGCCCGTGGGGAGGAGACTGGACCCGAACCCGGCCCACCCCACCCGAGCGGCGACGCCAGCGCTGACCCCAGGCGTGTCCCGGCCCCCGGCGCGGCTCCGGCCCAACCGTGCACGCCCGCGGAAGGCCTCGCACCCGCGTCAGAAGTGGCCTGCCCGGGGCCACCGGCCCGCAAGTCCCCGGTGTTCTCGAGGTCCCTGCCCCGTCCCGCGCGGCTGTAGCCGGCGGGAGGGGCTGAGAGGCGGGTCGCGCTGGGACCTAAGGCGCCGCCCCCTCGCCAGCCTCTCCCTCCCTCCGTCACCGGGTGGCCGGAGACCCGGGGGCACTGCTGGGGTACCCCAAAGCATAGGGCCAGCCTGAGTGCGCAAGGTCCTGAAAAGACGAGGGGGCGGCGACAAGGAGTAGGGAGGGGGGCTGGAGGAAGACGGCAAAGTGACCCCGGAAGGGTCCAGGCGCCCCAAGCCCATCGAAGACGGGAGGCTCTCAGTGGCGCCTGGGGGGACTGTGGGAAAAGCAGCTCAAGAAGGGGAATCTGGAGCGAGGTGGGGGAGAGGTCGGCATGGCCTTCTCTAGGAGCGCCAGCGCCAGACAGAGCGGTGACAGGCCGCACCGGGAGTACCCCGTCTATACTGAACGGGTCAGGAGTGTGGGATCCCGTGGAGGGGCTGCCCTTGCAGCAGGAGCGATGGCCCTCTCGCTCCCCTCCACCTGCTGCCATCGAAAACCTTCTGGAAGAGGCCAGGCGCGGTGGCTCACACCTGTAGTCCCAGCACTGGGAGGCCGAGGTGGGCGGATCACGAGGTCAGGAGTTCGAGACCAGCCTGGCCAACAGAGTGAAACCCCATCTGTACTAAAAATTAAAAAAATTAGTTGGGCGTGGCGGCAGGTGCCTGTAGTCCCAGCTAGTCGGGAGGCTGAGGCAAGAGAATTGCTTGAGCCTCGGAGGCGGAGGTTGCAGTGAGCTGACATGGCGCCACTGCACTCCAATCTTGGTGCCTCAACAAAACAAAACAAAACAAAGAAAACCTTCTGGAAGAATTATCCTCCTTTGAGGATCTAACCCTTCTTGCTCCCAATGCTTCCCAGCAGGGCCCGCACCCCAGGACGGGTACTTACCGCAGTCCCCCACCTCCAGCTCTGCACACTCGCAGCCCAGTGCCCGCTCTTCCCCCTCAGCCTCCCGACGAGACTCAGCTCTTCGACCTCCCTGCGAGTCCCTGTGCACCCACTTTGTTCTGTGCCTGTCCCTGCCCTGACTATGTGGGCTCAGGTAGTTTTGTGGGGTGTGTGGATGTTGCGTGGGAGTGTATGTGTGCCCCGTGTGTCCCATGTGTTATAACCCTGATGCTCTGGAGCAGAAGGCGTGGGGTCATCTGTGGATAAAGGCTGGTATTGAAGCAGGGTCCCCCACCTGTGTTAGGCCACCACATACTCTTGCGTAAAAGTAGGGTGAGGTAAACCCCATGGCCAAAGCTTGGCCAACCAGAGCACTGTAGCACCCTGGTCAGGGATGGACATGTGACCCACGCTGGCGGACGAAATGCACACTGGGGTCATCTGGAAGCAGGAGCCTTGGGGAGGGGGGAATCCTGAGCAGATCAAAGCTTGATCTCAGTATCTGACCCCTGGATCCAGGCTGGCCTAATGCTGGGTTATAAAACGGCTTAAGCCAGTTGATTGTGGTTTTCGTCAATTGTATCCAAGAGTAGTGACCCATGACGTATACCCCATGCCTGCTCCAGGTTTTCTTTTCTTTTTTTTTTCCGAGACAGAGTCTTGCTCTGTTGCCCAGGCTGGGGTACAGTGGCTTGATCTCTGCTCACTGCAACCTCCACCTCTCGGATTCAAGCAATTCTTGTGCCTCAGCCTCCCAAGTAGCTGGGATTACAGGCGCCCACCACCATATCTGGCTAATTTTTGTATTTTTAGTAGAGACGGGGTTTCACCATGTTGGCCAGGCTGGTCTTGAACTCTTGGCCTCAAGTGATCCACCCACCTCAGCCTCCCAAAGTACTGGGATTACAGGCGTGAGCCACCACACCCGACCTGCTCTAGGGTTCCTGATGGCAGTGATGGTCACAATACAGGCCAGAAACAGTCACAATACAAGCCAGAAACCTGGGAGTCAGCTATGACCATATGCTCCCCCTCAAGCCACCAGCAGTTCCTGTTGATTGTACTTTCTGGCAATAGCAACAGTAATAATACACACGTAGCACATCTTTTATGCTAGGAAACATTCTAAATATTTTAATTTTTAGAGACAAGGTCTCACTTTGGTCCCCAGTCTGGAGTGCCGTGGTATGATCATGGATCACGGCAACCATGATCTTCTTGGGCTCAAGCGATCCTCCCGCCTCGGCCTCCTAAAGTGCTGGGATTAGAGGCGTGAGCCACCTCACCCAGCTTGAATATTTTTCTGCATTTAACTCACCTGTTCCCTTGAGGTGAGACCATGTGATTAATTCTGGCCAAGGACCTGAGCCAGAAGAGCCATATATCACCTATACGCCAAGCATTTATTTATTTGCCAGTGCTAAAGCTTCTAGAGCTCTCTTTCTCTTTGCCAAGAAAGCCTTTGATTTCCACATGGTTATGCCTGTAGCCAGGGCAGGAACTACAATGAGCAGAGACCCCAGGGGACCCTTGAAGGGTATACAGCTTTGAGTATACTTTTATTAGATCAGAGAAATTTGGGGTTGTTAGAGCAGCATAATCCAGCCTATCCTGACTGATTATCCCCACAGGCATAGAAGGGACTAAGTTGCTGTTAACCGACGGAAGCAGAATTGTGAACCCAGAAGGGCCATTCCCTAGGACATCTTGACCTCAGTGATGTACATTCTCCAAAGACTGTCCTGAATCTATCTACTTCTCCTAACTCCATTCCCTACCCCTCTGACCCTCCATTCCAGACTTTCTCCTGGATGGTTATGTCAGGGAGGAAAAGCTTTTCCTCTGCCCTCTTAGATTCAGCATCTGGGGCCTGCAAATTAAACTGACAAAAGACAAATTAGCAAGAGAAACGGAGTTGTATAGCTTTCTGTTTTTTGTTTGAGATGGAGTCAGTATTGCACAGGCTGGTCAGGAACTCTTATGGTCAGAGGATCCTCCCACCTCTGCCTCTCAAGTACCTGGGACTACAGGCTCACGCCACCACCCCGATAGACATTTTTATTCGTGTACTAGGAGGTTAGAATTGAGAGCTCGTAAACCAACAAAAGGTTGGGGGAAAGGGCACTTGGGGAAAACAAAGGACTTCTAGGAAAGAGAATATGCTAGTTTTGTGACAGTGTCTGTTTGCCTGTGGTGCCATGTCTGGGGATGAGTCCCTTGTGCTCCCAGGGAGGGGGCTTATCTCTGTTTCCTCTTATTCTCTCCAGCCCCTTTCCATGCCTGCCCAAAAGGTTATATTTTATTTTATTTTATTTTGAGAAAAGGTCTCACTCTGTGGCCCAGGCTGAAGTGCAGTGGCAATTAGAGCTCACTGTAACCCAGGAGTCAAGTGATCCTCCCGCCTCACCCCCTGAGGAGCTAGGACTACAGGTACATGCCAACATGCCTGGCTTTTATTATTGTTTTTTTTTTAATTTCTCACAGAGAGGAGGGTCTCGCTGTGTTAACCACGCTGGTCTGAAGCTCCTGGCTTTGTGTGGCAAATGCTCATTTTAAAATACAAATACAACCTCAGCCTCCACTCCTCTTCTTGTTTTAGACTTTATGCACAGCTTCAAAGGTCAAAACCCAAATTCAATTCCCAACACTGTGTACTAGGTCCTGCAAGCTGTGCTCTGCCCTGCCCAGGTCTGCCCCAGGGCCAGCTTTCCTGGTACTCATGAACCACCTCCCGCTACCCAGGCGGCCCCTACAGGCACGGTTAATTTTCCCATTACAAGTTGTCAGAGTCCCATGGACTCTGATAAGGTGGCTGTGGATGGGACTATAGTAAGACAGTGAGGAGGTCAATGTCAGTGCACATGTGTTTGTATCATTAGTGACATGTGTGTTTGGTACATGGTGAATATACAGAACATTTGCTATGAATGAAACACCCAGCTGCCAGGTGAGGTGAGGCTTTAGGGCAGGGCTTCCAAACTTTTACTGTGCCAGGGACACCCTTGGCATCTGCAGAAGATGAAGGACCCCTGGTTAGAAACATGCTTTTTTCTTTTTCTTTTCTTTTTTTTTTGGGGGGGGGGACCATGTTTTGAATGCATTACATTACCAAAAAAATTAATATTGAAATGCAAAAGTCAAAATATAAAAACACGGCCATTTGCTCTTTTCCTAGACTAGCTATGGCTGGGCCTGGTCAAGCTTTGGGAGGCTGAGGCTGTGGAGTTCCAACCCTCAACCTTGGAAGAGCTGTCTTGGAGGCAGGCAGGTCCAGAGCCCCACGTGCCATGGGACCTAAACCGAGAGCAAGCCTGGGCCTGGGCACTGGAGAACTTCCCTGTGCTGAGCCGCCACTCCTGCCAATGCCATCAGCTCTACGGGAGCACTGCTGCGAGCTGGCTGCTGCACTGCACCTCTACTGGGCACGGAGCCCTTCCCGGATATGAGAGGGGCCAAAAATGGCCTCGACACTTCCATGTCCAGAAGTCAATGGCTGAAACCATAGACGGGCTCCAGTCACCTCAAGAAGACGCAGATGCTACCGATGGTGAGGTCCAAAGCGGCCTGAAGCAGCCTGGAGATGCCAGCGCCTGCGGAGGTGGAAGTACACACGCCCAGGGCGCCTTCTGCAGTCCAGGCGGCCTCCGGAAGCTGCTGAAAACCTAGGATTCCATCAGGAAGGAACCGCTGAAAACCTAGGATTCCATCAGGAAGGAACCCGAAAAGGAGAGGAACCCCAGCCTTTCTGCAGGCCTGCAGTACGACCCGCTTCAACTGCTGCCCTGGAAGGAGCCCGAGGCACCCAGTGGGGGCCCTCATGCCGTGCCTGCGGACATTTGCACTGGAACTGTGCCCTGCATGCATAACAGCCTTGAGGTCTGTGCGGTGGAGATCATTCCTTAATCTGTTCTTTCTCTCCTGAGCGTCCTAAACATTTTTCATTTAGAAAAACTTTCTTCATGGAGGGGTGGGCGCGGTGGCTCACGCCTGTAATCCCAGCACTTTGGGAGGCCAAGGCGGGCGGATCACGAGGTCAGGAGATCGAGACCATCCTGGCTAACACGGTGAAACCCCGTCTCTACTAAAAATACAAAAAATCAGCCGGGCGTGGTGGCGGGCGCCTGTAGTCCCAGCTACTCAGGAGGCTGAGGCAGGAGAATGGTGTGAACCCGGGAGGTGGAGCTTGCAGTGAGCCGAGATGGCGCCACTGCACTCCAGCCTGGGCGACAGAGAACCGCCGTTCGCCCATCCGTCCAGAAGTAAGGAAAAGGCCATGGAGACCAAGGGGGTGGGGTCACGGTTTCCCCTCCCCTCCCCCTCAGAAGTCCGAAGATAAATAGGCTTAGAAAGAGAGGAAAAAAATTTCTTGGTTTGCATCTCACTCACCCTTTCTCAAGCCCCATGTTGCACGCCAAACTGTTGTAGGACTTTCTCCTTAGTTCAGCTAAAAGCCAGGTTCTTGTGCAGCGGCCATGAGAGATTAATCTCGCAGACACTTTGAAGAGTGAGAAAAATGGAATTTATTGGGCAAGAAGGAAAAAAAGGGAAACAGGGACTCTCAGCAAAGCGAGAGAGAGTCCCGCTAGCTGGTTTCTCGCCTCCCAGATAGAATCCCAAGTTCCACCCCGAACATGAGACCAAGCTCCTCCCCCCTGCATAGCTCCTCCCCCTGCATGCTCCTCCCCCTGCATAGCTCCTCCCCCTGCATAGCTCCTCCCCCTGCAAAGCTCCTCCCCCCTGCAGAGCTTCTGTGGCTCTACCCAGTTCTTCCAGTGCTTAGGCAGGTGTGGGAGTTTCTCCTGGACCTCTTTTTTTTTTTGAGACGGAGTCTCGCTCTGTCGCCCAGGCTGGAGTGCAGTGGTGCGATCTCGGCTCACTGAAAGCTCCGCCTCACAGGTTGAAGCTATTCTCCTGCCTCAGCCTCCCGAGTAGCTGGGACTACAGGTGCCCGCCACCACTCCCGGCTAATTTTTAGTAGAGACGGGGTTTCACCGTGTTAGCTAAGATGGTCTCGGTCTCCTGACCTCGTGATCCGCCCGTCTCGGCCTCCCAAAGCGGGACCCCTTTAGACTTGGCTGTCTCAATTGGATTACAGGCGTAGGCCACAGTGCCCAACTGAGTCACTTTTTTTTTTTCCTTAAAAAAATTGTTGGCCTGCAGACACATGAAAAAATGCTCAGCATCACTGGCCATCAGAGAAATGCAAATCAAAACCACATTGAGATAGCATCTCACACCAGTTAGAATGCCAATCATTAAAAACCCAGGAAACAACAGGTGCTGGAGAGGATGTGGAGAAATAGGAATGCTTTTACACTGTTGGTGGGACTGTAAACTAGTTCAACCATTGTGGAAGTCAGTGTAGCGATTCCTCAGGGATCTAGAACTAGAAATGCCATTTGACCCAGCAATCCCATTACTGGGTATATACCCAAAGGATTATAAATCATGCTGCTATAAAGACACATGCACACGTATGTTTATTGCGGCACTATTCACAATAGCAAAGACTTGGAACCAACCCAAATGTCCATCAATGATAGACTGGATTAAGAAAATGTGGCACATATACACCATGGAATACTATGCAGCCATAAAAAAGAATGAGTTCATGTCCTTTGTAGGGACACGGATGAAGCTGGAAACCATTCTGAGCAAACTATCACAAGGACAGAAAACCAAACACCGCATGTTCTCACTCATAGGTGGGAATTGAACAATGAGAACACTTGGACACAGGGTGGGGAACGTCACACACTGGGGCCTGTCGTGGGGTGGGGGAAGAGGGGAGGGATAGCATTAGGAGATATATCTAATGTAAATGATGAGTTAATGGGTGCAGCATACCAACCGGGCACATGTATACATATGTAACAAACCTGCAAATTGTGCACATGTACCCTAGAACTTAAAGTAAAATAAAAAATTAAAAAATAAAAATTTAAATTTAAATTAAAAAAAAATTGTTGGCCCGGTGCGTTGGCTCACGCCTGTAATCCCAGCACTCTGAGGGGCCAAAGTGAGCAGATCACCTGAGGTCAGGAGTTGGAGACCAGCCTGGCCAACATGGTGAAACCCCATCTCTACTAAAAATACAAAAATTAGGCTGGGCGCCGCCGGTGGCTCACACCTGTAATCCCAGCACTTTGGGAGGCTGAGGCAGGTGGATCACCTGAGGTCAGGAGTTCGAAACCAGCCTGACCAACATGGTGAAACCCCATCTCTACTAAAAATATAAAAATTAGCCGGGTGTGGTAGCACACGCCTGTAATCTCAGCTACTCAGGTGGCTGAGGCAGGAGAATCGCTTGAACCCGGGAAGCGGAGGTTGCAGTGAGCCCAGATCACTCAACTGCACTCCAGCCTGGGCCAGGGAGCAAGACTCCGTTTCAAAAAAAAAAAAAAAAAAAAAAAAAAGGGCCAGGCGCAGTGGCTCATGCCTGTAATCCCAGCACTTTGGGAGGCTGAAGCAGGTGGATCACGAGGTCAGGAGTTTGAGACCAGCCTGACCAACATGGTGACACCCTATCTCTACTAAAAATACAAAAAAATTAGCCGGGCTTGGTGCCGTGCACCTGTAATCCCAGCTACTCAGGAGGATGAGGCAGCAGAATTGCTTGTATCCAGGAGGTGGAAGTTGCAGTAAGCCGAGATTCTGCCATCGCACTCCAGCCTGGGCGACATAGCGAGACTCTGTCTCAAAAAAAAAAAAAAAAAAAAAAAAAAAAAAATTAGCCAGGCGTGGTGGCGGGCGCCTATAATCCCAGCTACTCGGGAGGCTGAGGCAGGAGAATCGCTTGAACCTGGGAGGCTGAGGTTGCAGTGAGCCGAGATGGTGCCACTGCACTCCAACCTGGGCGACAGACCGAGACTCCGTCTTAAAAAAAAAAAAAAAAAAAAAGGCCGGGGTGGTGACTCACGCCTGTAATCCCAGCATTTTGGGAGGCCGAGGCAGGTAGATCACGAGGTCAGGAGATCGAGACCATCCTGGCTAACACGGTGAAACCCCGTCTCTAATAAAAATACAAAAAATCAGCCGAGCGTGGTGGTGGGTGCCTGTAGTCCCAGCTACTCGGGAGGCTGAGGCAGGAGAATGGGGTGAAGGTGGGAGGCGGAGCTTGCAGTGAGCCCAGATAGTGCCACTGCACTCCAGCCTGGGCGACAGAGCAAGACTCCGTCTCAAAAAAAAAAAATAAGATAAACTAAAAATAAATAAATAAATAAATAAAATTACAAAAAAATCCAAAAAAATTTGTTTTAAAATTTTTAATGAGATGAGGTGTCACTATGTTGCCCAGGCTGGTCTTGAACTGATGAGCTCAAATGATCCTCCTGCCTTAGCCTCTCAGAGTGCTGGGATTACAGGCATGAGCCACCACACCCGGCTAATTTTTTGTATTTTTTAGTAGAGACGGGGTTTCACCGTGTTAGCCAGGATGGTCTCGATCTCCTGACCTCGTGATTCGCCTGCCTCGGCCTCACAAAGTGCTGGGATTACAGGCATGAGCCACCGCGCCCGGCCTCTGGGTGACTAAGTTTTAACATTAAGTAACTCATTAACAATTTCTAAGGCCCTTTATGTCACAACCTAAGTGAAAAGCCATTATCCTTTGCCACAAATAGAAGACACCTGTGAAAACACGACAGTTTCCTCTAGAAGGCTCCTATAAGTCCCAGTCTCTAGTTCGGAAAGTTCCAGGAGCACTGAGTGGGGAGCCCTCTCCTTTAACAGGGGGCCTCAGGATCCAGCCCACTTCAACCTCTGGCTCGGCCACCCCCTTCTTGGCATCAATCTCTCTGTCCAGACCCCTCGAAGCTCCCGATTCCACTCAGCCCCAGGTGTGGGCCGGGGCTGAACTAGGAAGACAAAGCCGCATTCAATCTCAGTCTGAGTCCAGCCCCTCGGGCCTCCCCCGGGCGGGTGGGGCAGAGGTCCCTGCAGCCTCCACCAGGAACCGGGCCCCTAGGTCTGGGAGGTCCAAGCCGGCAGCGGGCCAGGCGCTGCCCAAAGCCTGCCCAGAGGCGGCGCTGGGCCAGTCCCTTTATAATTTGCGCCCTTCCTGGTTCCACAGAGGATTGAGGAACGCCTGAAATTAGAACGCAAATGGGCCGTGCGTGGTGGCTCACGCCTGTAATCCCAGCACTTTGTGAGGCCGAGGCGGGCGGATCACAAGGTCAGGAGTTCGAGACCAGCCTGGCCAATACGGTGAAACCTCGTGTCTACTAAAAATACAAAAATTAGCCAGGTGTGGTGGCGGCCGCCTGTAGTCCCAGCTACTCGGGAGGCTGGGGCAGGGGAATCGCTTGAACCCGGGAGGCGGAGGGTGCAGTGAGCCGAGATTGCGCCACTGCACTGCAGCCTGGGCAACAGAGCGAGACTCCGTCTCAAAAACAAACAAACAAAAAACAACAAAAAACAACAACAACAAAAAAACAATGAAGGCGTGGGCCCCCATCAATATCGGGCTGGGCTGGGCGGGGCGAGGTGGCCCCTACACCACCGGGGGCAGGGCCCGTTGCTCCCGTTAGCGGCGCGCTCGGGCCGCCCCTGCCCCGGGAAGCCGGTACGGTTCTGGGCTGGTCACTGCTCTGCATCCACGAGCATCGGCCCTGATACCGCCTAGAAAGGCCCATCGTTCCCGCCTCCCGGGCCCCTGCGCGCCTCCGTCCAGAGGCCCAGAGGAAGCTCCTGAGCGGGGAAGCGCCCTGGGCGGCAGCGAAGGCAGCGGTCGCTCCCGGCTTCAACCGCCCAGTCCCCCGCGCCACCCAGAGCCCCTCACGCCCGGGAAAGAGCCCCGAGAACGTGCGAATGGGGTCGGGGTCCGCGCGCGGAGGAGATGTTGCTGAGAAGGGTACCGGGGTCCCGGAGCGCCGCCCCCGCCGCCCGCCCCCCGCCCCGGCTGCGGTCGACCTGCACTCCCACTCCAGCCTTACCTGAGGCCGACTCGCACGAGCCCACGCGGGGCTGCGGGAGCCGATCGGGATCCCGGCCGCCGGCCCCCACCCCACCCCCTCGCGGCGCCGGCGACGGCGGTGCTGCGGCCCCTTTAAATCCGGGCCGCCCCGCCCTGCGCCGTCGACTCCGCGGCGGCCCCAGATCCAGGCCCCAGATCCAGGCCGGGCCGCGGCTCTCGCCGCCCAGCCCAGCCCAGCCCGGCCCGGCCCGGCCCTGCCGCGGAGGCGAGGCCGCCAGTGTCCCGCGCCCCTGATATCTGCAGTGAGCCTGATACCTGCCTCTGCCCTTCTGAGCCTGTTCCTCTTCCCTGAGTACAGGGCACAAAGCTTGCGCCCTGAGGGGCGGCCGGCGCGCTCCCTGGCCCGGTCCCCGCCCGGCCCCGGGCCCCCCGCCCCTCCCCGACCCGGGGCCGGGGCCCCTGCCGCCGCCGCCGCCGCCTTCCGACCCCTGCGCCCCGGCCCCGGTCCCCCGGGCCATGCAGCCTCGGCCCCGCGGGCGCCCGCCGCGCACCCGAGGAGATGAGGCTCCGCAATGGCACCTTCCTGACGCTGCTGCTCTTCTGCCTGTGCGCCTTCCTCTCGCTGTCCTGGTACGCGGCACTCAGCGGCCAGAAAGGTGAGCGCGACCCCCGCCCGGCCCGCACCTGGCGCACCTGGGCGTCGGCGGCGGGAGCGGGCCCGGCGGTGGCCGCGGAAGGCGGCCGGAAGCCGACGCAGGCGCCCCTTCCCCGCCCGGGCGGCGCGAGGACGCCCCTCCCACCCTCCCCCACTTGTTTGCTGCTGGAGCCGCGGCGTTCTCCTCGGGCCCGGGCCGCGCCCGTGGGTGCTCCGGACCGGACTCCGCGGGCGCAGCTGTCCCGACGCTGAGCTGGGGACCCGTGGGGTTCTCGGAGAGGGGCAGAGACCCAAGGTCACAGAGGTCCCGGAACGCCAGCCACAGCCACCTGGGCAGGAGCTGGGGCGGCGTGAGGGACACAGGCGCGAGGGCACCCCCCCACCCTGCTGCCTGCTGCCCCGCGCCGGCCTGGGCGACCCCGGCGTGACACCCGGTCCTGGGACTCCCTTCGGCGCCCAGAACGCGTCGGCAGCATCCGGCCTGTGGGAGGGAGGGAGGGAGGGAGGCGTCCTGAGGCAGCCCGGCCCCTGCTGCCCTGCGCTCCCGTGCGGCCCCAGCCCGTCCTCCGCACCCCGAGCTTCCCGGGCTGGCCCCCGCCCTCCGCGTGCGCCCAGCGCTCTTGCAGGCGGAGGGTGCGGGCCGATCCCCCCGCGCCGCCCCGCTGGCCGGTCTTGGCGATGGTGGGGCCGAGTAGGGCCTGAGCCCTCGGAGGCGCTCTTCCCCCGGCCTGGAGGTTCCGGGAGAGTGGCCTCCTGCCTGCCTGCCTGCTGGAGGCCTAAGCGGGCTGAGTCCAGCTGCCCCTCGGCCTCCCCGCCACCTGCTTCCCTGTTTCCCTGTCCCGGAGCGCCATCCCAGAGAGGCTGCGGAGGAGGGCGAGGGAACCTGGACCCTTCCGGACCCTCCGAGCTCCATCTACCCACGCCGAGCTCTGCCAGCACGCCCGCCTGCCGCACTTGTTCTGCCAGAGCAGAGGCCTGGGCTGGCCTTGGGGCTCCAGGGCCAGAGAGGCATCACCCAGGGACTCTGCGGGGAGCCTGCCTGACACGGGAGGGATGGCTGGGCAGAGGCCGTGCTGGCGGGGTATATTATCAAGGGCAGGCATGGCTGGGGCAGAATTCTCTGTAGGTAGGGTGTGTCACCTGGGGAAGGACATTCTGGGTCCTTGGCAGGGTGACTATAAAAGCACACTGGCATGAAGGCCTAGGTGGGGCCATATCTGAAGGGCTGGGGCATGCTCTTTGAGTCGTGGGTAGAGCCGTGAGCCCTTGCCCTTTGTCCTGAGCCAGTGTGTGCCTCCCGCAGCAGCCACATGCCCGCGGATTGATGTCAGGAGCCACCTCTGCAAGCCTGGCTTACCACAGGGAGCCAGGCTCCAGGACAGCAGAGTGAGGGAGAGGCACTGGCTCCATGGCACCCACTGTGTCTGGGGGGCATCCAGGAGGCTGGCTCTCTGAGGGCCTGGGGAACAGGAGAGCAAAGAAGGGGAGCACTTAGATTCACGAGCCCAGCCCCTAGGGGATAGAAGCCTAAGGATCCTGTGAGGTATGAGTATGGGGTGACATAGGCCTCCCTTGTCGAGGGGCTGTCACTGTTTCTGTGGTGACCCAGTAGTACCAGGTCTTTGGAGGCCTCAAGAGAAGCTGGGAATCTGGGCTCTTATGTGAACCCATCTCGTTGTCACATGTAGAAAATCTGTCTTAAACCCCTGGTGAAACCAGACGTAGCCAGTCGGAGGCCAGATTGGAACCTGGCCTCCACTTTGCAGCCAGCGGGGGTCCAGGAACTTGAGGGAAGGACCCAGGAAGTGGAATCTGCAGGGAAGGAAGGAGGTGGGCAGGGAACCAGAGAGGAAGGGCAGCAGGTGTGGGCATCATCCTGGAAACGCAAGGTCAAGCCCAGGACGGCCTCTTAGACCAACGCAAAATGGACCCTGGAGAAGGGTTTGGGGCCCAATTTCCTATCTAGCCCGTGCAGCAGCTCTGCCAGCGCTCAAACTGTGGCCCTCGGTCAAGCACCTGCTGAGGATCTGCCCAGGGAGGCAGACCCTTGGGGGCAGCCCGGGGTCTCAGCCATGCAGCGCTCCCAGCCTTCAGGCTGTCCGCCTCCCCAGGCCTGGACTTCAGCAATGATGGACACCCTTACTCCTAGGAGGTTGCAGGGTCTGGAGAGGAGGCAGACACCTGCCACACACATGCATGGTGACAGCAGACCGTTAACGGGCCTGATATCTGCCTCTGCCCCTCTGAGCCTGTCCCTTTTCCCTGAGTACAAGGCACAAAGGTTGTGCCCCAGCTTGGCTCTTTAATCTTTCCCCAACCAAGAGGGAAGCAGGGGGAACTGTGGTTTGTGGGCCCCAGGATGTCCTAATGACTCGCCTCCAGGGGAGGGTGACACAGCCTCCAGGCCTCATTGCTGCTGCTCTTAACAACGTGGTCCTGAGGCAAGAAAGTGTGGCAGGGGCTCCCAGGCTGGTCCCTCTCCTCACCTGAGCTGCCTCCCCAGCTCCCGAGGGTTATAGGGTGCCAGCATGGCTTGGCAGAGCCCTGGCATAGGGCCTGGCCCATGGGGAGGCAGTCACAGAGTTGGACCCACAGTCAGAGAAGCTGAGGGCAAGGCGGGTGGAGGAGCTGGCAGGCGGGGGAGGCTGCCCAGGGCCAGGGCCTGCAGTGTGTAGGGAAATGACAGAAGGGTTGGTGTGGGCGGGAGCCCGTGGGGCCCTTTATCTCCTGGTAAACAGGACCCGGGGGAGAGGGGAGGCCCCTAGGAAGGAAGCGAGGGTAAGGCGCAGGCTGTTGCCAGGGTGATTCAGGCAGCATCACCCACCACTGCCCACCCAGCCTGTCCATCTGAGGCAGTCGTGTGGGACAGAGAAAGCCAGGGTGGGGCTCGGGGGTGGGGGTGGGCAGTGGCTGTAAGTAGGCAAGCGGGGACTGGCATCTAGGCAGGAGGGAGGCGCACCTGCAGGTGCAGGTGGCTCTGAACCCATTCCTGATGGCTCTCTAGGCCTCTGCACCTCCAGTCCCATCCCTGTGGGCGAGTGCTGCCTACACCTGGTGTCACCCAGCAATGGGTGAGCCCTGGGGATAGCCAGCTCTGCATTCAAGGGGTTAGGTTTCCAGGGTAACCGAGCCCCTGAGCCCAGCGTGGAGCCTGGCAGAGCCAGTAATCTGACTCCCCTTTCCCTCCCGCCAGGGGCTGTCCAGAGGCTCCGCTTTGCCTCAGCCTTTAGCCCCAGAGAGGCAGGGTGTGGAGGGTGGGGGCTGGCTTCTTGGGTAAGAGATGCCTCAGGGAAGATCTACCTGGCTCCCTGCTCCTTAAACCTTTCCCTCCTGCCCAGGTCCACCCCTTCCTCTTCCCTGGTCACTTGGCACTTCGACCTCCTGCCCGTTTCGGAAAGGGGTGTGCCCTGAGGTGACTGAACTTTGCCTGATCATGACCTTGATCATGCACAGGGCTGCTGGTGGGGTGAGGCCATCCCACGCAACTCTGGGGTCTGTGAAGCCACCAAGGATCAAGGAATGGAAGAGCTGCCTGAGTGTAGAGGGAGTTCGGTCAGGCTTCTTAAACTTGGAGACTTGGAAACAGAAGGCCTTGTAGGCCACATAGGTTTTCAGAGACTCGCCTGGCAGAGGCCTGGAGCGTCCTGCTGCGTGGACTGTGGGCACCGAGCCACCAGGAGGTTGTTGATCTCATTCTTGCTCACTGGTCCCTGCCAGACTGGTGGTGCCTCTCTACTGTCGGGCAGCCCCACCTCTGTGCTGCCCCATCCACCTACAGCCCTCATGCCTGGGCCCAGCTGGAGGTTCTGACAGGGGCCCCCTGGGGTGGCATGCGGACCCTTCAGGGTGCCCCAGGCGCAGCACAGGTCTCCAGAGACACAGGCACCAGGGCGTTCAGAGCTAGTCCCCTCGCTGCTGTTGACTGTCCTTGAGCAGCCCCAGGGCCGGTTTCTCAACCTCATTTGCTCACCTGAGCAATGAAGTGAGGTGGGCTCCTGGAACTGCAGCAGCCACCCCCCGGGGCCATCGTGAGGCTAAGAATCCAGTGCAGGGTGAGCAACCAGCGACCGCTACAAGGACAGTGAAGAGCTAGCACCAGGACCTTGGGTAGCCCACCCGCTGGAGGGAGCGTGTGCTGCAAAAAGCAAGAGTGGGCTTTGGAGGCCAACGGATGGAGCGGATTCAGTCTGAGGCTGTTCCAGCCCTTGCTTAGGATCCACCTACCTAGGTCTGGAAATCGTATTTCCACTTCAGATGCCTTCTCAGAGGATAAAATAACCCCCGGTGGGGGAGAGTACTGGAAGAGGGCTAATTCCCCTGGTTTTCTCCCCATGAGCATTAGTGTCAGTGTAATTTTAGAGTGACCCCAGCTATGTCACGTGTGGCAGGCACAAGAACAGATGTCAATGAGCTATTGCAGAGGTGGACACCCAGATGTGTGCGCTGGCACACTGGAGGGGCCCGTAGGGTGGCTCTAGACCGCCCCCTCGTGACGGCTTGCCTACCACCTGCAGGCGACGTTGTGGACGTTTACCAGCGGGAGTTCCTGGCGCTGCGCGATCGGTTGCACGCAGCTGAGCAGGAGAGCCTCAAGCGCTCCAAGGAGCTCAACCTGGTGCTGGACGAGATCAAGAGGGCCGTGTCAGAAAGGCAGGCGCTGCGAGACGGAGACGGCAATCGCACCTGGGGCCGCCTAACAGGTGAGGTCTGGGGCGGGAGGGGGAAAAGGCGGGGGCGGGCTGGTTGTAGGTTCCCTGGTCTCAGTCCCGATCCTTCCCGACCCACCCAGAGGACCCCCGATTGAAGCCGTGGAACGGCTCACACCGGCACGTGCTGCACCTGCCCACCGTCTTCCATCACCTGCCACACCTGCTGGCCAAGGAGAGCAGTCTGCAGCCCGCGGTGCGCGTGGGCCAGGGCCGCACCGGAGGTATGGGCGCAGACAGGGAGGAGCACGGGGTGGGGGGACGGGTGGCCCCCGCACCCTTTCCAGCGTCGGGCCTCCGTCCCCCATAGTGTCGGTGGTGATGGGCATCCCGAGCGTGCGGCGCGAGGTGCACTCGTACCTGACTGACACTCTGCACTCGCTCATCTCCGAGCTGAGCCCGCAGGAGAAGGAGGACTCGGTCATCGTGGTGCTGATCGCCGAGGCGAGTGAGCCGGGACGCGGGGTTGGGGGACATTCAGAGGAGCCCCCGCGGTGCAGAACTGACAGCAGGAACCATTCCGAGGAGAAAGCTGTCGGAAGTTCAGTTGCTAGTTTCATTCGCAAATGCTCCGAGATAGAAAGTTGAAAGGGCTTTCTGGCACCCTCTACCCCTACCCATCGCCCCCGCCACCCCCTAGTCCTTGGCCATGCGAGTCCCAAAGGGAAAGGGCCGTCTCTGGGGGCCCCCTTACTCCGCCCTCAGCACAGCAGGCTCACTCCCTCCACGTGGGGGGCATCTGAAGCCTGTGCCCCTTCTCCAAGCCCTTCCAGGCCTTTTGGGGCAGCAGCAGGGCTAAGGGAGGGTGCTTGGTCTCCCCACAGACTGACTCACAGTACACTTCGGCAGTGACAGAGAACATCAAGGCCTTGTGAGTACTGGCGACCCCAGAGAGCTGGTGGCGGGAGAGCTCGGTGCGGGGTGTTGTGCTGGCAGGTTCCTGCCTCCCCATGAGATAGTGCCTTTCCTATCTCGTGGGGAGGCAGGGACCTGGTGGGGGAGGGGTGGGTGTGCAGAAGTGGCCCAGCCCCTCTGGAGCTCTGCTACCTCAGTTGGCTGGGTGTAGGGGGTGGTGGGGGGCTGGCACTGGGTGAGCCTCAAGAAAGGGCCACAGTCTGGTGGGCTCGGCCCCTCTCAGCCCCTGGAGGCTGCATACGGACTAGGCCTTCCCGTCCCCCAGGTTCCCCACGGAGATCCATTCTGGGCTCCTGGAGGTCATCTCACCCTCCCCCCACTTCTACCCTGACTTCTCCCGCCTCCGAGAGTCCTTTGGGGACCCCAAGGAGAGAGTCAGGTACTAGTTACTCCCCCATACCCTCAGCAACCCGCCTGCCTGTGCTGAGAACCCATCTACTGGTGTTTGAGTCCAGGGTGTTTCCCTGCAGTGCCCTGAATTCTCCATGGGAGGACCCGTGCATGGGGGTGGGGGGACAGAAGCTGCCCACCCAGCGGCTTCTCTGCGGAGCCACAATGGAGGTGGAGGGGTCTGAACTTCTGAGGCCCCGCCCCGGCCCACAGGTGGAGGACCAAACAGAACCTCGATTACTGCTTCCTCATGATGTACGCGCAGTCCAAAGGCATCTACTACGTGCAGGTCAGCCCCAAGCCCTGCGTTGCCCTGCCCTGCCCTGCGCCGCCCTGCCCTGCGATGGGTCTGGTCCATCTGGGTGCCCTTCCTCAGCCCCAGCCCCTCTCTGCTCACCTCGCAGCTGGAGGATGACATCGTGGCCAAGCCCAACTACCTGAGCACCATGAAGAACTTTGCACTGCAGCAGCCTTCAGAGGACTGGATGATCCTGGAGTTCTCCCAGCTGGGCTTCATTGGTGTGCCCCTCCCCTTACCTGACGGTGCCTTTCAGTCCCACCTGCCTCTGCCATCCTCTCTCCCAGTCCCACTGTGTCCACTGTGAGCCTTTGCCCAGGTGGGCCCTGCCTGGTGTGCGTGCTACAGCCCCACCTGGCCTGTTCTCATTGCCTGTGCATCAGACATGTCTGCCCTCATCACCTGTCTGCCTCCCTGCCCCGTTATGCCCACACCTGCCTGAAGCCTGCCCCTGGGTTTGCTGTGGGACTCGGGGGCCGCTGCAGGGAGAAAGGAAGTAGGCAGAGCAGCACTGCCCACTCAGGCCCCTCCCCACCAGGTAAGATGTTCAAGTCGCTGGACCTGAGCCTGATTGTAGAGTTCATTCTCATGTTCTACCGGGACAAGCCCATCGACTGGCTCCTGGACCATATTCTGTGGGTGAAAGTCTGCAACCCCGAGAAGGATGCGGTGAGCAAGAGCTGGCGGGACTGGCAGGGGCAGGGCCAAGGGGCAGGCAGCCTCCACCCCAAACTGTGTCCCTGTCCTTGCATCTGCTCACATAGAGCACTGTCAGCTGTGGGAGGGCCCTGGTAGTCCCCAGGAGAGGCCGTGTTGAGGAAGGAGGGCTAAGCCGAGCCCTGGGGTGTTGCCCACCCTCCACAGAAGCACTGTGACCGGCAGAAAGCCAACCTGCGGATCCGCTTCAAACCGTCCCTCTTCCAGCACGTGGGCACTCACTCCTCGCTGGCTGGCAAGATCCAGAAACTGAAGGTGGGCTGCACTGCACGCTCTCCCTAGGCCGGGATCAAGGTCGGGGCCCACGCCATCACTGCTGTCCCTCCTCCGCTGCAGGACAAAGACTTTGGAAAGCAGGCGCTGCGGAAGGAGCATGTGAACCCGCCAGCAGAGGTGAGCACGAGCCTGAAGACATACCAGCACTTCACCCTGGAGAAAGCCTACCTGCGCGAGGACTTCTTCTGGGCCTTCACCCCTGCCGCGGGGGACTTCATCCGCTTCCGCTTCTTCCAACCTCTAAGACTGGAGCGGTCAGTGCCAGCACCATGGGTCTGCGATGGGGGCGGGGCTGGGTGGCCCCCAGGGTGTAGGCTTCACCGGCAAGTTATCCTCACGTTCTTCAGTTTCCGCATCTGAAGTGGGCCTCGTAATGGTAGCTACCTTGTGAGGACTAAGTCAGGCAGCCCCTAGGAGCTCAGGGATGTTTCCTGTCACCATCCTCCCAGAGGAAGGCCCTGGTCTCTTTGCACAGCCTGACAGCTGCCTGGGGGGCCCTCCTGGCGCAGGCCTGGCCTTTCTCTGCTGGGCCCTGGGTGCTGTGCTGGAACGCTGCCCCTGCAGCAGCTCACAGGCCTGCCTGGCTGCAGGTTCTTCTTCCGCAGTGGGAACATCGAGCACCCGGAGGACAAGCTCTTCAACACGTCTGTGGAGGTGCTGCCCTTCGACGTAAGTTCGGTGGGTGTGGTGTGCACTGAAGCCGGGCCTCCTGTGACCACCTGCCTCAGCCCTTGATTCTGCCCCCAGAACCCTCAGTCAGACAAGGAGGCCCTGCAGGAGGGCCGCACCGCCACCCTCCGGTACCCTCGGAGCCCCGACGGCTACCTCCAGATCGGTGGGTAGGGTTTGGGGGAGAGCGTGGGCTGGGGTTCAGGGACACCCTCTCACCACTGCCCTCCCACAGGCTCCTTCTACAAGGGAGTGGCAGAGGGAGAGGTGGACCCAGCCTTCGGCCCTCTGGAAGCACTGCGCCTCTCGATCCAGACGGACTCCCCTGTGTGGGTGATTCTGAGCGAGGTGAGGCTGGGCAGGGCCAGGCCAGGCACGGGGAGCAGCCAGGGAGACCCTGGCGGAGCTCAGAGGCCCTGCTGACCCTGGGTCCGGCTCTTCCAGATCTTCCTGAAAAAGGCCGACTAAGCTGCGGGCTTCTGAGGGTACCCTGTGGCCAGCCCTGAAGCCCACATTTCTGGGGGTGTCGTCACTGCCGTCCCCGGAGGGCCAGATACGGCCCCGCCCAAAGGGTTCTGCCTGGCGTCGGGCTTGGGCCGGCCTGGGGTCCGCCGCTGGCCCGGAGGCCCTAGGAGCTGGTGCTGCCCCCGCCCGCCGGGCCGCGGAGGAGGCAGGCGGCCCCCACACTGTGCCTGAGGCCCGGAACCGTTCGCACCCGGCCTGCCCCAGTCAGGCCGTTTTAGAAGAGCTTTTACTTGGGCGCCCGCCGTCTCTGGCGCGAACACTGGAATGCATATACTACTTTATGTGCTGTGTTTTTTATTCTTGGATACATTTGATTTTTTCACGTAAGTCCACATATACTTCTATAAGAGCGTGACTTGTAATAAAGGGTTAATGAAGTGTGTGCCTCAAATGTGAGCGCCCTGGGCATCTCCCTCTGCCCCTGCGGTTGGCTTCATTTGGTCTGTGCCCCAACATGCCAACTAAGCCTGGCACTGGGCCTCCCCAGCCAGCATCAGCAGCGACCTTTCCCTGCTAAGTCAAGGAGCCAGCCTGGCCTGCAGGCGCGGGGTCCAGCCCCTGGCTGTGCAGCTGCAGTGCCACCTCGGCGCCAGCGTACCCCCCTTCCTAGGATCAGGCCGCAAAGTCTGTCACTGGTGAAACCAGCTCAGAATCTGGGACCACAATGCCTATAGCAGGTCCCCCGAATGTCTCCCCCATGTCCAAGGCCTGCGATGAGGCCTTCCCTTAGCTCCTCAAGCTGAAGGCATTTCCCAGCCTCCTTGTTCCCCTCCGTGTGTCTCAGCTTGGTCCTCATCCTGGGTCCCCGACACTCCTCTGGCACATTAGGGTCTCCCGCTCACCTCAGGGCCTTTGCACACACTGTTGCCCCTCCTTGGAAAGCTCTCCTCCGTTTCTCCTGCATACTTGGCTAAAAGTCACTTCTTTGTTTCTGTGGGCCTCCCCTGGATCCCCAAGGCTTCTGGACATTTCCTTGAGACCGCCTGTCACTGACTCACTTCGTTCCCATGGTGCCCGCAGCTCTGCGGACCTCGGAGGGCTGCCCTGAACACCTACAGTTAACGAGGGGGATCCAGTGCTGACCAAAAGAAAAACCCCTGCCCTCACCTGGGGAGAGAGCCACAGGCTCTATCTAGTGTCAGCTGTGAAGGCCAGGGGACGAGGGACTGCGGCGGCTGAGAGTCGAGGGAAGGCCCCTGAGGAGGGGGACCGGTGAGGAGACCGCTGAGCGCTAGGAGGGTGAACCCCGGCAGGACTGGGCGGCCTTGTGACCCCGAGGCTGAGTAGGGAGTGGGGTAGGAGGTGAAGACCGGATCCAGTCCCGCCCCAGGGGGAGGGCTCGTTCCTTCGCAGCCACTCTCACGCCGCCACTAGGAAGCCCGCCCCGGGCTGCCCGGACTCGGGCTGGGCCCCTCCAGGCTCCGTAGCCCGCGGTGCGCCACCCCCGCGGACCCAGAGAACGCAGCCCGGGTCTCGGTCACTAGAACTTTAATGATAGAGACTAGGATGCGGAAGCGAGCGCCCCTCCCCGGGGCAGCTGGAGGCTCCGGCTCTTCTTTCCCGGCTCCGTCGGCCCGGGGGCCTTGGTCTCAGGCCCACGGCAGCAGCGTCCGGAGCCGTCCGAGGAGCGCGGCGCGCAGCGCGGCCGGGAGGAAGTGGGCGAGCAGGCCGAGCGCAGCCAGCGCCACCAGCAGCCAGAGGGCGCGCGCGCTCGCGTACAGCGGTGCCAGCCTGCGGGCGGCGGTCAGCGGGGAGGTGGCGCGAGGAGGCCCGCTTCTTCCCCGCCGCAACCCTGGCCCCACGGGGACTTCCTCTGGCCGCCGCCAGGGCTCGCCCACCGAATCCCCAAAGGCGCTGGGCTCCGGCCCGTCGCCCGCCCCCAGCTTCGGTCCCGCTCCCCAGGAGCCCCGCCCGCCCGCGATCTTTCCCCGGCCCCGCCCCGCTCCCCGCCCGGCCCTCACCTGAGCTGCGCGGAGCGCGCGTAGCCCTGGAAGTAGCGGAGGCGCGCGAACAGGTAGACCAGGCCGCACAGGGCCGCCGCCCCTGCGAGAGGTACGCACGGGCCTGGTGAGCGCCCTGCGCGGGTCCCGGGGGTCCAGCGCGTGCGCCCCTGCCCCACACCCCGACCTTCATGAAAGAAGATGCCGGCGACCCAGAGCGTGGCGAGGAACAGCGGGAAGTACTCGCTGCAGTTCACCCTGCGGTGGGCGGGTGGGATGAGCGCGCCGGCCGGGATGGTCCTGCGACCCGGACCCGCCTGGGGCTCGCTCCCCGCCCCGCGCCCTCCCGCCGCGCCTCACTGGGCTCGGTAGACGCGCTCGAACTCGGGTGGGCCGGTGGTGAGCGGCGGCGACACGCGGAAGGCCCTGCGCGCCGAGATCACCTGCAGGGAGAAGTAGGCTGGGGGAGGAGGGGGAGCGGGAGTCAGGTCTGGACACCCGAAGCCCCAGAGATGGGAGTGGGAGGGATCCTGCAATCTGGCCCTTCACTTGGCCGTGTCCTCTCCTCCCTAAGGCGGAACCCCGCCCCCTCCCCGCCCGAGGAGACCTCTCGTCTCACCCATCCCTGGCCTGCCCTGTGTCCCTGACATTCAGCGAGGAGGGCAGGGCTGAAGCCTGGGGCGCAGAGAGGCCCTGTCCCAACCTGTGAGTGTATGGGGGAGGGTGAGTGATTCAGGCACAGGGACACCTGCTCCGCGAGAGAGACCACTTGAGTCCTTGTTTCTGAATCATTTCACTCTCAAAACACAGGCAAATGCAGCTTTCAGGTCCCTGGCCAGGAAGTGCCTCGGGAGTCTGAGGGCAGAGCTGGCTGCATCCTCCCAGGTGCAAGGAAGCACACTCCCTGTAGCTAACAGTCCCTGGTCACCCACCTACCAGCGCCCACCAGCAGGGCCCTCTGACCCTGCCTCAGGCCGGGATCACTAAAGCCTGCGTCCCTGTGCCTCCAAACCTCAGTTTCTCTGTTCCTGCATTCCGGTCCCAGGCCTAAATCTGACAGACACCTTCTCTCCTGCTCCCAGGAGGTTGCAGCTGGGACTCTCCTAGCCTAACCCCAGGACCCCAGGGCTGGGGTAGTTGCAGAGGGTGGGCTGGCCCTAAAGTTTCTCTGTGGGCAGGAGCCCTTCTCTTGGTCAGGTGAGGCCAGGCCAGACCACACACAGACCAGTGCTGGCTGTGCGCTCCCTCCCCAGACCTCCCGTCGGACCATCTCCCCCTGAGTCCTGCAGCCCTGGCACCTTTGGTTCTGGGCCCTCTGCAGATGGGTGTCACAGGGTGGCCATCCAGCTCAGTGCAGGAGCAGCTGGAGGTCAGGCTGGCCTGTCTGTTCAGCCCCTTCAGAGCCCCCTCCCCAGGCTGTGCCTTATCCTAGCCCACACACTGTGGAGTAGTGGTGTCTCTTAGGTGGCAAGGATATCTGGCCAAGGAATGTGTCCTTTAGGGCCAGTCTGAGAAAGGCATTAAGCAGGCTCTTTTTAGGGGGCTGGAGGAAGGAGTCCCACCTCTACCCTGCTCCACGTGGTCCCAGTATGGAGGTGCCTTTGAAGCAGAGCCAGGGAATGGGGGCCGCTTGCTGGGACGCCCAGAGAGGGGACAGCTGGAAAGAGCAGAGATCAGCTTCCCCAAGCCCATGGCTATCCTACCATTTGTCCTGGCACCCTTGCCACCCCCAAGTCCTACAGCTCTCACAGCCAGGTGCCCCCCAGTTCCCTGAAAGTCCCCACCCTCTTCCAGCTTGGGCCTGGGCTGGAGTCCCCACCTCTGCCCTCCACCTGGGCCTAGGGGGCAGAGGGCAAGCTGTAGGGATCTAAGGCCCACCCTCTTCCTAGATAGGAACCAGCCCACCTTGCAGCAGGACTCCCAGGAGGGTGACAGCAGCCAGTAGAGCTACCTCGTCCTTCATGGTACCGTCGGTGTGGTGGCACGGGCTGTGTGTGAAGGCGAGCTGGGGAACGCTTAGCCCCGTCTGCTGCTCAGAGGACGGCCCAGGAGAGGAAGAGCAGCCTCGGTGCTCTCCCCGCCCCATCTCAGTGGAGGGGGTGCACGGGGGTGTGACCATACCACACAGAGCCAGGGAGCCAGGCCAAGCCAGCAGGGAGGAAACCAAAGTCTGGGCAGGGGAGAGCAGCTAGCTGGAGACCGCCTCACCACTTCCTGCTTGTTCGTGCCCCTTCCTTGCCTAGTCCCGCGTGGCAGAGCCCAAGCTGTCCATCTGGGTCAGCTCCAGCTGTGGGTGTGCCCCCTGCTGCACCACCCCACTTTCTCCAGGGCCTTGCAGACCCCCACATCATGCTGGAGCCAGCCCCAGGCTCCCGGCTAACTCCTCCACCCACCTTATCTGTTCCCTGTCCCCATCCAGGCTGTTCCTGGCAACCCCTGCCAAACCCTCCTCTGCGGAAGCCCTTCCCAGTGCCTTTGGCTTCAGAATGGAGTCCCAGCGCCCCCCCAGCCACACTGGGCCCCACAAGCTCTTTCTCCTTCAGGAAACCTCATGCCTGCCAGCCTTAGTCGTTGTAGGGGTTCCATGCACAAGGGCCACCCTGCCAGGAGGAAACCTGTCCAAGGCCCCCTGGGTGGCGGGAGGGTCAGCCCTTGTGGGCCATCCCTCTCCCAGGCCTCTCTTGGGCCTCCCACAACAGTCACCTGCTGTGTCTTTCTGCCCCGCAGCCCTCTTGCCTCAAGGTAACAACCCTCCACCACCTTCCTAGACGGCTGCCCTCCCCACACTCAGGCCCTGTGGTCTGGACAGTGCTGACTCCTGCCCCTTCCAGGCCTGTGAGATGGACACTGAGCCAAGGCTGACTCAAGATGGTGAGATGTAGTTCTGGAAACTTCCTTAGGACTTTGGGACAGGAAACTCAGAGTGGGGAGGGGGACTACGGCGGGCCACCCTGAGGACAGAGCCCACGCAGGGCCAGGTGGAGAGGAAAGGTGGCACCCGAGGACTCCTGCCTGGAGTTCTGGGTGTCTCCCTCGCCCCGCCTGGAGCGCCCCCGGCCGCCCCCCTCGCCCTGCCTGGAGTGCCCCTGGCCGCCAGCCTTCCCAGTTGGGCCTAACGGTCACTTCCTCTTTTGGCTTGAGTGGGTTTGCGGTGGCTTTTGGTCAGAAGTGGCAAAGTCCAGACTGACCCAGAAGCACGGGCAGGAGCTGGGGGAGGCCACAGGCCGTGCTGCAGGGGTCGGGCCGCATGGTTCTGCCCTCGCACCTGGTCCTTCCTTGCTGCCCCAAGCTCAGCTCCAGCCTGAGGCTCGGAGCCTGTTGGGCTCTCTCAGAATCCCTTCTTCCTCCTCTGGGTATCGCCCCTGCCCCCGGAAACCAGATATGCCCCAGCTGGGGGCTCTGTGAGCTCCTCCAGGGCAGGGGCCAGGGCTCAGGCCCGGCCCCTGCTTTAGACCAAGCTGTGACAGTCATCTTGGGGCTCAGTGATGGAGGACTGCCTCCTAGATCCCGGACACAGATGTAGTGCCAGGGAGCGATGGTGGCCGCGTCCTCAGACTCTGCCCACTCAGCCTCCTTCCTCCCTGAAACCTGCCCCACAGGGCCTGCCTGAAGGGTGGGATGCAGCCCACCACGCAGGGGTTGACGCTGGTGCCAGTGGGCTGTGCCCAGGGTGTCTGTGTGCACCACGCATACATACCTGCATGCCCCTTGGTCAGTTGTCACACACCCATGTCTCTGTGCTTGTGGGTGTCCAAGTGTCTTCGTGAGTCCAGGCCCTCCTGTCAGCCAAGCTCTCATTTCCTCCAAGGCCTGAATGTCCTCCCGTCGGAGTTCATCCCCTCAGTCCACAGCAGGAAGCCAAAGCCTAACATCAGCAGCTTCTGAGGAAGTCCCTTGGCAGATGTGCAGGGCAGGGACCTGGGTCTTGGCCCCGGGAGCCCTCCCCGGGTCTCTTGGTTCCCACCTCCCTCCCTCTGAGCCTGCCCAGGCTGTCAGGGCCCTGCCTGGGCTCAAGCCAGCTCAAGCTGACAGGAGGGCCAGCCAAGCCCCCACCCCTGCTCGGGCCACCCAGCTTCCATCTTCCTGTCTAGCTCTGGAGGCACCAGCATCAGGAGGGAAGCGAAAGCTCCTCCCTGAGCCTCCACAGAGCCCTAAGGAGTCTCTGATGCCCACTCACCAGGACCTCTGGGCGGCAGAAAGGCCGGCAGAACCATTGCACAGAGAAGAAATCAGAACTTCTGTGGAGTGGATCATAGGCAGTGCACAACTCAGACCCTGAGCTTGAACAAGAAAGTTTATTTAGAAATTATTTTATATTTGAGACAGGATCGTGCTCTGTTGCCCAGGCTGGAGTGCAGTGGCTCAACATGCCTCACTGCATCCTCAAACTCCCGGGCTCAAGCAATCCTCCCACCTCAAGCCTCTCAAGTAGCTGGGACCACAGGCTCTAATTTTTTTTTTTTTTTTCCAGAGATGGAGTCTTGCTACGTTGCAGGCTGGTCTCAAACTCCTGGGCTGAAGTGATCCTCTGCCTCAGCCTCCCAAAGTGCTGGGATTACAGGCATGAGCCACCATGCTTGGCTGAAATTATTTTAGACTTACAAAAAAGTTGCAAAAATCTACAGTCTCGGCCAGGCGCGGTGGCTCATGCCTGTAATCCCAACACTTTAGGAGGCTAAGGTGGGCGGATTACCTGAAGTTAGGAGTTTGAGGTCAGCCTGGCCAACATGGTGAAACCCCATCTCTACTAAAAATACAAAAATTAGTCAGGCGTGGTAGCAGGCACCTATAATCCCAGCCACTTGGGAGGCTGAGAGAGGAGAATTGCTTGAACCCAGGAGGCAGAGGATGCAGTGAGCCAAGATCACACCTGAGCGACGGAGCGAGACTGTGTCTCAAAAAAAAAAAAAAAAAAAAAAAAAAAAAACTTGTATAACCAAAATTCAGTTATAAACCAAGAGATTTCCATTGATACAAGTTAGTAATCAAGTATTTTACGGATCTTATTCAAGTTTCACCAACTGTCCTACTGGAATAGTACAAAGACCTCAAAAACTTTATGCTAAATTGTGCCAGGCTGGGCATGGTGGCTAACGCCTGTAATCCCAGCACTTTGGGAGGCCGAGGTTGTGGACCACCTGAGGTCGGGAGTTCAAGACCAGCCTGACCAACATGGAGAAACCCTGTCTCTACTAAAAATACAAAATTAGCCGGGCATGGTGGTGCATGCCTGTAATCCCAGCTACTCGGGAGGCTGAGGCAGGAGAATTGCTTGAACCCAGGAGACAGAGGTTGCAGTGAGCCAAGATCGCGCCATTGCACTCCAGCCTGGGCAACAAGAGCGAAACTCCGTCTCCAACAAAAAAAAAAAAGAAAAGAAAAGAAAAAAAAAAAAAGGCACAGAGAGGGCCAGGCGCGGTGGCTCACGCCTGTACTCCCAGCACGAGGTGGGCAGGTCACGAGGTCAGGAGATCGAGACCATCCTGGCTAACACGGTGAAACGCCGTCTATACTAAAAAATACAAAAAATTAGCCGGGGGTGGCGGTGGACGCCTGTAGTCCCAGCTACTCTGGAGGCTGAGGCAGGAGAATGACGTGAACCAGGGAGGCGGAGCTTGCAGTCAGCCGAGATCGCGCCACTGCACTCCAGCCTGGGCAACAGAGCTAGACTCCGTCTCAAAAATAAAAAAATAGAAAAATTAAACCATAGACTTAGAGAAAACATTTGTGAATCATATATATGATTAAAAAAATACTTTGAATTCAAAATATATAAAAACTCTCAAAACTGGATAGTAAGAAGACAGTTTCCTGAGTAAATGGGTGCAGATCCCTGTAGGGCAGAGATCACCTGCTGTACAGCTGAGAACTGATTCAGTCTGGAAGTGGCCTGGGATCGTGAGAACCTGAGTCTTTACTGGGGCAGCTGGCCTGGCTTCTCTCTGCTTCTCTGTTCTTCTTCTTTTCTTTCTTTCTTTCTTTTTTTTTTTTTTTGAGACAGAGTCTAGCTCTGTCGCCCAGGCTGGAGTGCAGTGGCGCCATCTCGGCTCACTGCAAGCTCCGCCTCCCAGGTTCACGCCATTCTCCTGCCTCAGCCTCCCGAGTAGCTGGGACTACAGGTGCCCGCCACCACGGCCGGCTAATTTTTTGGTATTTTTAGTAGAGACGGGGTTTCACTGTGTTAGCCAGGGTGGTCTCGATCTTCTGACCTTGTGATCCACCCGCCTTGGCCTCCCAAAGTGCTGGGATTACAGGCGTGAGCCACTGCACCCAGCTTTTCTTTTCTTTTTGAGATAGGGTCTTACTCTGTTGCCCAGGCTGGAGTGCAATGGCGTGATCTCAGCTCACTGCAACCTCCGCCTCCTGGGTTCAAGCAATTCTCCTGCCTCAGCCTCCTGTGTAGCTGGAATTACAGGCGTGCACCACCATGCCCAGTGTATTAGTCCGTTTTCACGCTGCTGATAAAGATATACCCAAGACGGGGCAATTTAACAAAAGAAAGAGGTTTATTGGACTTTGGGGAGGCCTCACAATCATGGCAGAAGGCAAGGAGGAGCAAGTCACATCTTACGTGGATGGCAGCAGGCAAAGAGAGAGGAGCTTGTGCAGGGACACTCCCTTTTTTTTAAATTTTTTTATTTTTATTTTTGGTTTTGTTTTTCGAGACGGAGTTTCGCTCTTGTTGCCCAGGCTGGAGTGCAGTGGTGTGATCTCAGCTCACTGCAACCTCCGCCTCCCAGGTTCAAGCGATTCTCCTGCCTCAGCCTCCCGAGTAACTGGGATTACAGGTGTCCGCCACCACGTCTGGCTAATTTTTTGTATTTTTACAAAAAATACAGCCTGCCCATGTTGGGCAGGCTGGTCTCCAACTCCTGACCTCAGTGATCCACCCGCCTTGGCCTCCCAAAGTGCTGGGATTATAGGCGTGAGCCACCAAGCCTGGTCCATTTGATGGTTTTAAAAACAGGAGTTTCCCAGGTGGGCCTGTCCTCACCTGAGGTCAGGAGTTTGAGACCAGCCTGCCCAACATGGCGAAACTCCGTCTCTACTAAAAATACAGAAATTAGCTGGGCATGGTGGCATGCACCTGTAATCCCAGCTACTTGGGAGGCTGAGACAGAATCACTTGAACCCGGAAGGTGGAGGTTGCAGTGAGCTGAGACCGCGCCACTGCACTCCAGCCCGGGCAAAAATTCAAGTTATAGCACTTTTGATCTCTTGCCACTAAGAAAGGCACACAGGCCTTGGCGGGCCTCTGGAGGCTTTGGATGCAACACAGTTCACACTCGGGACTGCTGCTTTGACTCCTGCCAGGATGCAGGGCAAGCAACCTTCTGCTTGGTTCAGAAAATCGAGCACACCCCCTGGTGCTAGAAATAGCTGTGGTAGAGACAGGGCCAGGTGGTGTTTCTAGCAGAAGCCTCGTGAGAGAGTCATAGTGCATAATCTTATGGTCCCAGATCAAGGCTGTGCCTTCCCCAGCAGGGAATGGACATTGTTCCAAAAACAAAACAAATGAAAACTGGACCTTGGGACATTGGGGCACCAAGTGACTGCGTGGCCAGGGCAGTCTGCCACAGGAGCTGGTTCTGTTGGGCCCAAGAAGTCCAACAGTGTGCAGGCCCAAGGCCATCCTTCCTGCAGTAGAAGGATGCTCCAGCACCCACGGCATCCCAGTGCACAGGTTAGCACAAGCAAACTCCTATGTCACCCACTGCTGTGGCTCCAGCATGCTCCCTGACAGTAGCCAAAACCTGCCTCCAGGGAGAGGCTCTCTTTCACCAATGGCTTGTGTTTCCAGGCTCCTGATGGTGTCTCCTGATGCACAGAAGCTCTTAAATTGACTGTAACAAATGAATCAGTGTTTTACCTTATGGTTAACTCTTTTTGTATTTTGTCTAATAAATTCTTCCCAACTCTGAGGTCATCAAGATAGTCTCCTATATTCAGGTCTGCAATCTACGGTAATCCCAGCTACTTGGGAGGCTGAGGCAGGAGAATCGCTTGAACCCGGGAGATGGAGGTTGCAGTGAGCAGAGATTGCGCCATTGCACTCCAGCCTGGGCGACAGGGTGAGACTCCTTCTCAAATTAAAACAACAACAACAAAAAAAACATTCATTCATGAGGGTTCTGCCCTCATGACCCAATCACCTCTTACTAGGCCCCACCTCCCAACACTGTTGCACTGGGGATTAAGTCCAACATATGAACTTTTGGGGCATGCATTCAGCAGATTTGCTTTGTCTGGATATTTCATATAAATGCAACTATACAATATGTGGTCTTCTGTGTCTGGCACAACTTAGCAAAATGTTTTTGAGGTCTTTGTAGTATTTTCACAACTTTTTTGTAAGGTTGAAAATATTTCAAAATGAAAAGCTAAAAATAGAAAACATGGCCGGGAGCCGTGGCTCATACCTGTAATCCCAGCACTTTGGGAGGCCAAGGCGGGTGGCTCACCTGAGGTCAAGAGCTGGAGACCAGCCTGGCTAACATGGTGAAACCCCGTCTCTACTAAAAACTACAAAAATTAGCCAGGCATGGTAGTGGGCACCTGTAATCCCAGCTACTCGGGAGGCTGAGGCAGGAGAATTGCTGACTCCTGCCAGGATGCAGGGCAAGCAACCTCCTGCTTGGTTCACAAAATCCGGAGGCAGAGGTTGCCGTGAGCCAGGATTGTGCCACTGCACTCCAGCCTGGGCGACCAAGCGAGACTCTGTCTCAAAAACAAACAAAAAAAAGAAAACATGAATTGCTCGTGGCCCTTTCCCGCGTGGAAGGGACTCAGTTTGCACCGGGTGGTGACTGGTCTCCTCACTCAGTCCCTTGAGGAGACCAACGCTGGTCTCTGTCACTGGCAGGCTGGAGACTTGGGCACTTGGGTGGCAGATCCGGGTTTGTCTGGGTGAGCCAGAGCCACGATGCTGGGATCCCGCTGGGCCCCACCCCTGCCACTGCTGCTTACTGCTCTTGAGCCCGCCTTGCTGGGCCCAGCACTCGGGGGCCATGACAGAGGCTGGCTGGTGGTCACTGCAGCTGCAACTGGGACTCAACTTTGCTGTGTTTGCAGCAGACTGCTGTCAGCTGCTAGGGATCATTTGCGTTTCGTTGGGCCCAGACTGGAAAATCAAATGGGCATCTATGGCCAGGCGTGGTGGCTCACTCCTGTAATCCCAGCACTTTGGGAGGCTGAGGTGGGCGGATCACCTGAGGTCAGGAGATTGAGACCAGCCTGGTCAACATGATGAAACCTCGTCTCTACTAAAAATACAAAAATTAGCTGGGCGTGGTGGCGGGAGCCTGTAATCCCAGCTTGGGAGGGTATGGCAAGAGAATCGCTTAAACCCAGGAGGCGGAGGTTGCAGTGAGCCGAGATCGTGCCACTCTACTCCAGCCTGGGCGACAAGAGCGAAATTCCATCTCAAAAAAAAAAAGGCACCTATGAGGCAGACGCCACCCTGTGTCTGACCCACTGGGAAGCAAGGCTCCTTGTCATTTCTTCTCTGGGCCTTCCCCACTGTGGCTTCCCAGGCCAATACCCCGTGTGAGGCTTCTGTCAACTATGAAGTGAGTCCTCTTTGATTAGATATCAAGGCCAAGGAAATGGCTGGGTGGAGCTGTGGACCCAGTGGTCCCACTGGGAGCTGGGCCTAGGCCAGGATGATTCTTCTTTCTTCTTTCTTCCTTCTTTCTTCTCTCCTCCTCCTCTTCTTCTTCTTCCTCTTTTCTTCTTCTTCCTTCTCTTTCTCCTTCCTCTTCTTTTCTTCCTCCTCCTCCATTTTTTTTTTTTGAGATGGAGTTTCATTCTTGCTCCTGGAGTATAATGGCACAATCTCGGCTCCCTGCAACCTCTGCTTCCCAGGTTCAAGCGATTCTCCTGCCTCAGCCTCCTGAGTAGCTGGGATTACAGGTGCGCCCCACCACTCTCTGCTAATTTTTTGTATTTTTACTAGAGACAGGGTTTCACCATGTTGTCCAGGCTGGTCTTGATCTCCTGACCTCAGGTGATCCACCCACCTCGGCCTCCCAAAGTGCTGGGATTACAGGTGTGAGCCACTGAGTGCAGCCCTCCTGCAGAACATATTTGGCTGGTAGGTGTCAGGGCCATCACAAACAGAGTACAGCCGACCCTTAAACATTGTGGAGGTTAGAGGCGCTGACCCCTGCACAGCCGAAAATCCACTACATCTTTTGGCCCCTCCAAAACTTAACTACCAATAGCCTACTGTTGACGGAAAGCCTTAGAGAGAACATAAAGAGTCCACGAACACCTGCTTTGTATGGGAAGTGTGTTGTCATACACTGTGTTCTTACAATAAAGTAAGCTAGAGAAAAGAAAATGTTCAGAAAATCATAAAACACATTTATAGTACTGTACTGTATCAATACCGTGCGTTTATGTCATCCATTTACAAGATGAATCGGCTGGGAGGGTGGCACCCGTGGCTGCAGACCTCAATCTATAATACCTATCAAGCAACTTAAATTGTTCTTATCGTCATGACTTTCCTTTGCTTCTTGGAGGCACTTGCAGCATCACTAATGGCACGTTGTATGGGTCCCATGGTGTTACTGAAGATTTACAGTACTGCACCAAACATGATGAAAAAACACAAGAACTGACAGAGATCCCTTTTTTTTTTTTTTTAAATAAAGTCTTGCTCTGTTGCCCAGGCGGGAGTGCAGTGGCACGATCTCGACTCGCTGCAACCTCTGCCTGCCAGGTTCAAGTGATTATCTTGCCTCAGCCTCCCGAGTAGCTGGGATTACAGGTGTGCGCCACCACGCCTGGCTAATTTGTATATTTTTAATAGAGACAATTAAAAGGTCAGCAGGAAAAGGTTTCACCATATTGGCTAGGCTGGTCTTGATCTCCTGACCTCGGCCACCCCAAGTGCTGGGATTACAAGCATGAGCTACTGCGCCCAGCCGAGAGATCCCTTTTTACTGTGATCTACAATTTACTGGAGGGACAAACTGCTCCCTTGGAGCTGATGAGACGCATGGCGCTTTAAGCAGATCATCGCCACTCTCAAGTCCACTGCAGTAACTACAGGAGATGGCTGTGAGATCAGCAGGGCAGTACAGTATGTGCTACGGTCAACTGTATGCAGTTATAAGTTTTTTGTCAAACAATTTTAATCCAGTTAATGGTAAGCAAAGTGCAATGCCATGAAAAGCCCTGTATTTTGCGTGTTTAAACTGTTTTTCATTGTCTTTGCTTGTCAGGTTTTGAAGATGGGACCCGCTCCTGTCTTCTTTCTAGTGGTAGAAAATGGCACATATTGTTCTGGGGTGCCACTCACGCTTAACTTATGGTTTGTCCAAAGAATCTGCGAGCAGGAGGTGGTTTTGTTGTTGGAGGATCATGAGTCTGAGTGAAGCAGAGGATGCCACTTGGGAGGCACCATGCTTCCAGCCACATCCCAGAATGTTTTTGTCACTCATTTCAGTATATGTGACCCATCAGTGGTAGCCAAACGTTGCTTGTTGTCTTCATAGTATTTGTTTCCATATTTTTCCTCCCCCACTTATGTGCCAACCCTCCCATCATTTGCCCTGAAAAAAATTCATAACTAGCCATGGAGGCAGCTGTAGCTGCTGACCTGCTGCAAGCTGGGCTTCAGGACCTGCAGTCATTTGGCCTCGTCTTTCAGGCTGCGGCTATATTTATACTGCACCTTTACATTTCTCTTAACTACAAATGTGCCACGTAGTGTTTGCATGTGTAACTTTTGACCAAAAAAACTTTTTTTTTATTTTCTTTTTTGAGATGGAGTCTTGCTCTGTCCCCCACATTGGAGTGCAATGGCGCGATCTCGGCTCACTGCAACCTCCGCCTCCCAGGTTCAAGTGATTCTCCTGCCTCAGCCTCCCCAGTAGCTGGGATTACAGGTGCCCACCACCACACCCAGCTAGTTTTCATATTTTTAGTAGAGACGGGGTTTCACTAGGTTGGCCAGGCTTGTCTCAAACTCCTGACCTCAGGTGATCCACCCGCCTCGGCCTCCCAAAGTGCTGGGATTACAGGCGTAAGCCACTGCGCCCAGTAAAAAACCTTTTTTTTGGAGACAGGGTCTTGCTATGTTTTCCAGGCAGGAGTACAGTGGTGTGACCTTGGTTCACTGCAGCCTCAAACTCCTCGGCTCAAGCAATTCTCCTATCTCAGCCTCCCAAGTAGCTAGGACTACAGGCATGTGCCACCATATCCAGCTAATTGTAGAGACGAAGGTCTCACTGTTTCCCAGGCTGGTCTGAAACTCCTGGCTTCAAGTGATTCTCCCACCTCAGCCTCCCAAAGTGTTAAGATTACACGTGTGAGCCACTGCACCTAGACTAACTTCTAACTTTCTGTAAT
This sequence comes from Homo sapiens, assembly GCF_000001405.40. NCBI lineage: Eukaryota > Metazoa > Chordata > Mammalia > Primates > Hominidae > Homo > Homo sapiens. Next base: position 549,260 of record NW_016107298.1, on the reverse strand, counting down.
AGATTTGTGTATATTTTATGGTAGTAAATGATAAAATAGACTAGTACCTACAAATATTTTATGCGTCCATGACATACCTAGCTTTTTCTTAATTTGTTCACTATCTCTAAGGCAACACGGTTCAGTTGTGAGTTTTTTCAAATTGTCACAAATTTCAAAAAAAATTTCCAATATATTTATTGAAAAACCCACATGTAAGTGGCCCCAGGCAGTTGAGACCTGCGTTGTTCAGGGGTCAGCTGCATTTCCACTCTCCCACACCCGCTTCTCTGGGCGTTCGTTCGCTTCTTGCAGAGCTGCCACGGTTGCCCCTAGGTTGCTATTCTCTTCCTTGTGGGCCATGGCTTCCTGGGAAGTTTCAGAGAGCCGACCGAGCTGGCAGCCTACGGGCACTGCTTCCTGGGGGCTCTGCAAGGGTGCTGAGTCCTAGGTCATAGCAGAGCCCCATATGGCCATGCCCTTGTCTCAGGCACACTCCTGCTCCCCCCAGGCAGCTCATCTTCTTTCTTCTCTGGCAGGCCCAGCACCCTCCTGCTGACCTTCTTGGTCCAGCGGCCAGGAGGGGTGGTGAGCACAGATCCTAAGGGGAGGTGGCAGAGGCCTGGGCATGACCTTCAAACAAGAGCAAAGCACCGGCCCTTAACAGGGAGGAGTGGGCTTAGAGGTTTCAGGGTGTGGGGGAGGGTGGCGGGGCTGGGGTGTCCAGGTTTTCTAGAGTTCTAGAGTATCGATCCAGATGTCCCCATCCCAGTGTAAGGGTCCCACATTCCTAACTAGGACAATGACCTTGGTATGGCACACTCGGCTAGGTTGAAAGTTCTACCTTCTTGGAGCTCTGAAGCCTTAGTAACAACCCCATGCCTGATCCCTTCAGCTGTGTCCACCCTCTTGCCTGGCTGCCAAGGAGGCCTCTAACGGATCTCACATCGTGTCTTTTCTAGTGATTAGTCATGATCAGCTTTTCATTATCTTTCTCCGAGGTATCACCTATAACCCCCGCAACATCTCTCTCAAGGTCACAGTCACTCCTCCACTTACACTTCCCAAAGGCCTAGGGTACTCTATTCCCTTCCCCAGTGTCCTGCCCTGGTGCCACCACAGCGAACGTTTAACAGTTCCTCTTTACAGCTGTCCCACTTGCCACAGGTGATGGGGTCATCATGGCCAGCAGTCAGCAGCGAGCCAGCTTACAGTCGGCTTCCTGGGACCACTCCCCGCACCAAGTCTCTCGAGCCAGGTGCCCCAAAGGCAGATTTCAAAGGGCATCAGCACCACTCATAAGGGAGCAAGGGCTACTGGATTGGGCAGGCGAGAGGTGGAACTGAGATGCAGACGCAGCAGAGGCCTCAAGACGACAGCACCGGTGCAGTGGAGCCAGGATGGCTCTTTGGAGATGTCCCAAATTGAGGCAAGGGTGTTGGGGTCTCCATACTCCCATATCGACAAGTCTCCAGACATGGGCTGCCCCTGGAAGAGGGCATAACCTTGGGCAGCTCCCCTCCACTGAACACAATTCCCAGGAAGAGTCAGCTATGAGCTGGCAGCAGCTCTGAACAATGAGTGTCCAACACTCCTGGAAATGGGTCTCAGTCCTGACAGGTATCTGGAGTGTATCACAGCCTCTGTAACTGTCCGCTCAGTCTGGTCCAATCTCCCCGCTTTGGGACAGCCACAGAGAGGTCCCATACATGGTTAGCAGTGGCACACTCAGGCTTAGACTCGCCCTGTTCTCCTGCTCTAGTGTTCCTATAATGCCATAGGTTTACTAAGAAGTGGACCCAGGGGAGGGGAATCCAGGATCAACTGGATAGAGTAGGTTAAATGCAAGGAATGACAGACAGCTGCAAAGTTTAAGGAACATGCCTGTTACTGCACAAGCAAGAATCAAAAAGAAGCCACAGATTTATCTTTTTATGTTTTAAGGGACAGGGTTGGCTGGGTGTGGTGGCTCATGCCTGTAATCCTAACACTTTGGGAGGCTGAGGCAGGAGGCTCGCGTGAGCCCAGGAGTTTTGAGACCAGCCTGGGCAACATACTAAGACCCTGTCTCTACAAATTTTTTTTAAAAAAATTAGCTTGGCATGGTGGTACACGCCTGTAGCCCCAGCTACTCGGGAGGCTGATGTGGGAGGAGTGCTTGAGCCCAGGAGGTGCAGGCTGCAGTGAGCTATGATCATGCTACTGCATTCCAGCCTGAGCAATTCATAGTGAGACCATCTCAAAAAAAAAAAGAGACAGTCTTGCTATGTTGCCTAGGCTGGAGTGCAGTGGCTACTCACAGGTAAAATCATAGCTCACTGCAGCCCCAAACTCCTGGCCTCAAGCGATCATCTCTCTTCAGTCTCCTGCGTACCTGAGACTACAAGCAAAGGCCACCATGCCCGGCAAGATTTAATTTTTCTCATTTTTCAGGCAGTATCTCACTCTGTCACCCAGGCTGGAACACAGTGGTACCATCATGGCTTACTGCCGCCTCGCCCTCCCAGTCTCAAGCAAGCCTCCCACCTCAGCCTCCCTAGTAGCTGGGACTACAGGAGTGTGTCACCACGCTCGGCTAACTTTTTGTAGAGATGGGGTCTCACCATGTTGCCCAGGCTGGTCTCAAACTACTGGACTCAAGCGATACTCCTGCCTTGGCCTTCCAAAGTGCTGGGATTATAGGCATGAGCCACCGCACCCTGCCAAGATTTAAATTTTTTATTACTTGGGGGCTAGGACCTCCTTAGGCCTCTAGCTCTAGAGAGCTCGGACGGCAGTATCTATAGCTCTTGAAGATTCTGCATGTGGTTGGACTCTGTCTTGCGTTATATAAAATCATCTGTTATTACAAGTATAGAACCAGCCTAAAACTTTAAAATTCATGAGAAATGTTATCAGTAGTAATAAATCCAGAAGTAGTGAGCAAGCAGTTGTCTCTGCTACATAAAATGTAGTTAGATCTTAATAAGGATGCAAAATTCCAGTTTTTCGTCCTCAGTCTTGAAAAGTTCTGCTTTCCAGGCACAAAGAAAAGTGGAGGCCTCCACACTGATCCCACATAGCAATCTAACACGGCCTGCTGCTTCTCACCACAGCCCATGTGGTCAGGGCTTGCTTAAGGTCGCCCGCAGTGTGGAAATCTTCAGAGTAAGTCCGTTCTGCAGCCCTGCCTCCAGCAGGCAGCTGGCTGCATTTGTTTGTTTTTGCAGCAGATGGCATCTAGTTCTTCCTAATGTACGTGACCCTTCCCAGAAGACTGACAGGGTGGTGGATCCCTGAATTCTCCCCTTGTGGCGCTGGTTTCTGCTTTGGGTGGGAGTCTGAAGTTATCTTTCCCAACGTCCATGAAATGGTTTTCATGCACTAGCTAAACTCTGCAGCTCAGCTTACTGTAAGCGTGCGAAGAGCAAATTATCCATGAAGCATAAGTAAAGCCAATCTGAAGAGTGGCCAGGACATTAACTGCTTGAACGCAAAAGGGGAAGAAAAGTCCAGTCAAGACATTTGCCACCACTCGCCATTTCCTGTGCTGGCCAGGGCAGTGCCTGGAACACTGAAGTTCAGCCACTAGCTTTGGACCAAGTTCGCAGGTAGCTAACATCTTGCATCTTTCAACAGCTTTAGAGCCACATTGCCAGCTCCAGGCATCAGCTGGCTGGCCTGCAGGGAGCATTACTGATAATGCCACCAACCATGGTGTGCCATCCAACTCCAGGGGCAAGCAAGAGACCCTGGAGCTTGTCCTTGACTTACCTTGGGCATCTTCTGGGGCTGGACAGGGGAGGCGGGCAAGTCTTGTCCAGGCTGGCAGAGGTTTCAGAACAGCACAGGCCTGCACTGCAGGCTGGTTGCAGCTCACAGGCACCTGGAGGATGGCAAGAGCCACCATCCTACTAAATGCAGTGGCATATTGCTTGCTTTCAAATTTGTGGGTTTTTGTTGTTGTTGTTGTTGTTGTTTTGAGACAGAGTTTAGCTTTGTCGCCCAGGCTGGAATGCAGTGGCACGATCCTGGCACTGCAATCTCTGCCTCTTAGGTTCAAGCCATTCTCCTGCCTCAGTCTCCCAAGTAGCTGGGACTACCGGCACGTGCCACCAGGCCCAGCTAATTTTTGTATTTTTAGTAGAGACAGGGTTTTGCCATGTTGGCCAGGCTGGTCTCGGAACTCTTGACCTCAGGTGATCTGTCTGCCCAGGCAGACAGATCCCTCCCAAAGTGCTGGGATTACAAGCGTGAGCCACTGTGCCCGGCCTGCTTTTAAATTTAACATGTGCAGGCATCTGTTAACTTGCTCCTAAGCACTCCTCCCTCTTCCTGTTAACAGCACTGTTTTTTGAGACAGGGTTTCTGCTGCCCAGGCTGCAGTGCAGTGGCATGATCTTGGCTCACTGCAGCCTCAACCTCCTGGGTTGAAGTGATCCTCCCACCTTATTCTCCTGAGTAGCTGGGACCACAGGTGTGTGCTACCATGCCTAATTTTTTTTTTTTTTTTTTTTACAGAGACAGGGTCTCTCTATGTTGCCCAGGCTGGTCTCAGTGATCCTCCCACCTTGGCCTCCCAAAGTGCTGTGATTAGGCCTACGTTGTGTGTCACTTTCTTAAGAGACCTACGTTGCTACCGTGTCTACAGTAGTCTGTGGCTCACCCCAGCCTCTGCAGCCCCACTGCCCTCTCTCATTACCTGGCTTTAGTTTCTCCCTAACACTTACCTCACCTGTGTAAGAACTCCTTCCCATGAGACTGTGAGCTCTGCGGTACAGGGACCTTACCTTCCTGTACTGCCGCAATTTCTATCATATTCCCTGCCTCTAGGGCAATGCCTGGCCACAGCAGGTGCTCCCTAAACATTTGCCAAGTGAACTGTCCCTTACCGAGTCCTCCTCCATCACCCCCAAGCCTGGCTGGTGACCTGGAGAGACTCGGGGTAGTGGCAGGCTGCAGGGATCTGGAACTGCCTGGGCCTTGCCACTACTGAGGCCTGGCCATCCGATGTCTCCTTTGATTCTGAAAGTTACTGGGAACCTTAAAAATGGGCTGTAGGGAAATAATTTATAGGATTATATTAGCCAGATTTCTTTTCTATTGGCTTGCAAGTTAAGAGCCCCAACAAAACCATTATTCCAAATGACTGTCCAAAACCTTCATAAATATTTCAAATGGCTGCATCCTATCTCATGGAGTGGAAGCACCAGTTTGCTTAACCAATCCCCTAGGGCAGCAGTTTAGCATCTCATTTTCTGCGACTGTAAACAGCCATACTAAGAACACCACTGTGCTGTACCTTTTTCTATACCCAGAATCATTTTCAAGGATCGCTTCTCAGAATTGCAACTGTCCAGGCAGACACAGCACGAACATTTTAAGGAGCTTGATAACTTCTACAAAATTTCTTCCCACGAACAATCATACGGCAGCCAGCCTCCCATCCTGCAGCCAGCGCTGGGTGCCGCTCAGCACTGTGCATCTCACAGGTAGGGCCACTCACTTCTGTTCTCGTTTGTGTTTTTAGATCACTGCAGATAACGTGCATTCTTAGCCAAGAATTCACAGGGAGTCTCCGGAGTTTTCCTCCTTTACTGCGCCTTCTATGGCAAGGCCACGAACACTGTTTCCTGTGTGTCACAGATGTCTTCCCCTTTTTATTAGCATAATCTAGCTTTTTGAGTCTATCATGGCATGGTTCCTCCCTGTGGTCCCCTGAAGGCCATTCTTCTCTGCCCTTTGAGGAACTCCAGCCTCTCCCAGGCTGCCCTGCTCCCTGCTCCCAGCAAAGCAAAGCAGGGAGAGTTCTGAGGTGAGCGGCCCCATTCACCCTTTCAGTCCAGGCTCCATCATCTGGTCCCCTTTCACAGTGTGACATGCCAGAGCACATCATTCTTACAATTAAAAAAAGGGAAAACCAAGCTCTATGCTGAAAAGCAACTAAATAGTACATGGAGCAGACAGACTTCAGGGGCAAACCTAAGGGTTCTACATGAAGCACGAGCAGCACAGTCGTCCGGCCCAGCTCCCTCCATCAGCCGCATGGATGCCCGTGAGTCCCGGAGACAGGCTGCTTTCTCAGGGTGATGCTAGAGCTAAGAGAGCACAGTCGTCCGGTCCAGCTCCCCTCCATCAGCTGCATGGACGCCCGTGAGTCCTGGGGCCAGCCTGCTTTCTCAGGGTGATGCTAGCTCTAATTTAGTATCTATCAGCAGATAACAGAAGCTCCTCTGAGGCTTCAACCAAACCAGCTCCCACTCAACAATGTGCAATAAGAAAGCAGCTAAATCTATGACTCGACAAGCATTTCTTTAAAAAGAAAAAATTAAAAAACCAAGAAAAGCAAGCAGCTAAATTACAAAAGAAAACCAATCCCCAAACTTCTGCCAGCAGACCCCAGGTGACGTCAAATACAAAGGTTGTTTCCATACTAGCAAAATACTTTATTTTTATAATGATAAAACAAGGAAAGTAAAGATTTCTTTTTGGTGTATACCAGAGTTAAGGGCAGTAGAAGAATATGGGGATTAATAGGACTTTTATGAACTTTTGATGACAATAAAAAGTTAACAATACCAACCGTTTGCCATAAAACTTATCATAGCTCCCCCAAAACACACATATAAAGGATCATAGTTTTAAAATCTATAAAAGTAAAAAATATACAGTTGGAAGCTCTAGCGCTTATTCCATCTTTCATATAAAATTGTAAACATTTATTTACACAAAGCAAATGTGTATAACAAAAGTCTGAGCACCCTTTTCTTCTGAGTCGTGGCTCCTGGAAGACGGGGCTGTGCACAGAAGCAAAGTCATCTCCTCCCCTGACTCCCGAAAACCAGGTTCATAAATAAAGCCATGGGCAGCTCCCTGGGGGGACCCCAAGAATCACATTTTATTGCTATGACACTGCAGCAAGTGAGGAGCCCCCACTGTGTCGCCGGCCCCAGGACTAAGGCGGAGTGCAGGGCCAGCGAGCCCCGGGGACAGGGGTGGGAGACGGGGCAGCAGCCAGATGGGGTCAGGAGAGGAACAAGGATCCACAACCAGCCTTCAGCCGATTTTTGGGAGAAAAGCCGCTGAGGTCACCCTCTTCCCCTTCAGATTGGGGAACTCCCTCAGAGGGTGAAATTTTCACTGGCTTTATGATTCACCCCTTCTTTGAGAGCTAAACTGAGTACATGGGAAAGGTAGGGAAGGTGTTTTAAGGAGAAATGGCCGACATACCACTTGGGGTGGCAAATGGCTATTAGAAAAGAAGATCTGAGGGTCCAAGTACCCCCAGTGAGAAAGGCACTGCTGGTGCAAAATAACTACCAATGTGTGTACAACCTCTCGTCCCCTCACCGCGACTCAGGCTGGTTGCATGAGTATTTTCCTTGGCTCAATTCTCACATAGGACACTCCTGAATGATCCATTGGGAGACTCCAGGGAAACAGAAGTGGGGCTGCAGTTTCTCCACAGAACACTCTGCATCTGAGCCACTTTTCAGCATTCTCTTTTCTCTCCACCATTCTGTGTAAAAGGGTCTCACCCTGTGCTTACCACTTTGCTTTCGTTACGGGGAAGTGCTCTCTCCATCTTCGTTTTCCAAAAACAGCTCACATGTCATATTCTATTTCGTGGACCCTCAGCTTAGTCAAGTCCACTTGAATCTTTAGAAAGGATGTCTTAGTGTTATAAAGCAATCTCTTTAAGAAGTGCAAGTCATCTGACATGGGAGTGGCAGAAGTTGTCAAACCAAGTGGAATTGCTTCCTCCGGGCCGGCCTACGGCCTCCTTCCCCAAAACCTTTATGCTAAGGTTCCCTTAGGAATTCTAAGACTCTTCCTTTCCCTCCAATGGAGTAAATAATTGTTTTCCATTTGGGCTGCAGAGAGGAAGGAGAGGCAGACAGAAAGGCCAACGGTAAAGGAAAGACATCTGTGCACAACTGCACAGTGACCACGCTCCCACCATGGGCAACATACATGTTCAGAGAAAACTGCAGAAGGTGGGGAGACATAATACTCCAGGATACAGGACCCCCACATCTCTACCTTCCATATGTAGCCTGGGGTCCTGCTGCCAGGACATGGGAGGAAGGGATTCCTGGGGGCCTTGGGAGGGAGGAGGAGGAGCTGCTAGGAAGACCCTAGCTGTGTCACCAGACCTGCTATCCCATGCCTCCTGTCCCTTTTTGGCATACGCAGTCAACAGCCTGCACTTAGGGAAATAATTTTCCAGTGGCCTCCTTCTCCCCTGAAAGCTGACAAAGAGCAGAAACAAAAAAGGCTCTTAATCAAAAGGAAACCCTAGGTTTCCAATGCCACTTAATTGATTTAAACCATCACCTACCCTAATCTGTTTAAAAACCTTTTGTAAAAAAATTTAAAAATCTTTTCTATGCTACAAATTGCAAATAATTCTGCTATCTAAAGTTTCAACAGAAACTTGTCCCCAGCACTGGGGTAAGTGGAGCAGTCTTGGATAAAATCACCATGATGGCACAGATTTTTATAAGCCCGACAGTGTGGGGTTTCACTGGTGTTACTGTTGGTTTTTTGGTCGTTTGGATAGAAAACCACCTTTAGAACCCTATCCTGCTGTCCCAACACCAGGTACTGATGCCAGCAGATGGGCTGGGGCCAGCCCGATGGACCTCAACTGCTGGCCTGAGGGGCGCAGCCACAGACCCTGCCCAGGGCCAGGCCTCACCTGGAGCTTGGGCTCTACCTGCCCAGCTCCCCAGGCCATGGGCTTTTGGTCCAAAGTAGTTGCTCTTTCTTTGAATCTGAGAATAAAAATATAGGATGAATGAACACTAAAAACACTACAAATCCTTCCATTACTGAGACCCTAACAGGTCGTCCAAATCACTCATCCACTCCTCTGAAGTCCTGTTCTTCAGCAGGGAGTCGATCAGATCGGTGTGTCCAGCCACACTAGAGAGCCCACTGCCACCTGGCTGCCCGCTATAGGCAAAAGGCAGCTCCTGGCCCGCGGTCCGCACAGGGTAGGCCTGGGTGCAGTGCAGCCCCGCCCGACCGCCCATCTGTGAGGCAGGGCTCTGGCTGAAGGCCCCCAGCTCAGGCCCTGCTGGGCTCAGGCCAGGCAAGCCCTGCTGAGGGGCTGTTGGGGGTGGTGCTGGGGCAGGGGCGCTGGTCCTCTGCTGTGCACTCACTGGGGGTAGCAAGGACCCCACGGCAGCTGCTGAGCTCATGGGAGCCATGGGCCTGTTGGGCACTGCCTGGGAGAATTGCGGGCTAGACATTTTCAGGTGGGCCTGCTGCTGCATGTGGAAACTGGAGGCTGCAGTGAAGGGACTCACGTTGCTGTTCCCTGGGGTCTGGCCACTGAGGTTCGGCATTCCCTGATGCTGCCAGGAGGAATTCTGGCCTCCCATGGCTGGTGACACCCTTGGGACCGGTGGCTTTGTTAAACCAGGGTTCAGGGTCCCCTTATTGTGCTGCTGGGAGAGGCCAGAGCTTCCCAGAGAGTTCTGCCCATAGGCAGCTGAGACGGAGGTGTTCTGGCCCACGTTGGTCTGCCGTGGAATGTGGGCATGTCCATTGGTGGCCTGTGGCGGGGGCTGGGCAACTATCTGGGTTATGCCAGAAGCCATGCCATAGAGGCTGCTCTGAGGCATGTTTTGGGAGCCAGGGAACTGAGCCACACCCCGGTCCTGTTGGCCTGAGTTTGTGGGGAGAGAGGAAACTGAAGCATGTCCAGGGCCCATTGGCATCAGATTCCCAGCCTGAGGGAACACTCGAGGACAGCTGGAGTTGGATGGACCCAAGGTGTTCATGCCGGGCACGGCAGCAGAGGACCCTACAAGACAGAGAAGAGTCTGGCAGTCAGGAGTCGACCACCACTGGGTCCCTCTGAGACTCGAGCCGCAGCACCAGAAGTCTCACGTTCACGGCACACTGGGAAGAGGGCCCCGGGGGCCATGGGGCAGAAAGCCTTCCACAGGTGGAATGGAGGCCTGGTCTCTGAAACAATGATGGGGTTCAGAAAGGCACAGAGGAAGGGCAAAGCCCCAGGGGAGAGAAAACCAGTGACCTACTTCATCTAACTTTCAAGCACCCACCAAATTTCTGCTCTGTGGGGACCCTGTGGTGGGCACCGGGGACTCTGAGGTGGACCCAACGCAAGATCCGCCTCTGGGAGGCAAAGTTAGCACATGGCACGATGGGGCGCGATGGGGCGCGATGGGGCGCGCCTGGCCAGCAGGCTGCAGGGTGCAGGCTGGAAGCCCTGGCATCTGGGAAGCCTTGGGCAAGGCTTGAGAGAGACAGTGATGAATCCACTAGGTTTAAAAGCACAGAAGTTTAGCAATTTAACAGTTTGGGGAAAAAGAGCATTCCAGGCAAGTGTGTGCAAAGGCAGAGTCAGAAAAAGGCATCTGTGTGGGGAACTTTCAGAGACTGGCCGTGGCCGGGATATGCAGACAGTGGCCAGCTGGTTAGAGATAAAATGGAAGAGCTAGTTCCGGCCAGATAGGGAAGAGCTGTGGATGGCGTGTGAAGAACGGGGTTGTGGCCGGGCGCGGTGGTTCACGCCTGTAATCCCAGCACTTTGGGAGACCGAGGCGGGCGAATCACGAGGTCAGGAGATCAAGACCATCCTGGCCAACATAGTGAAACCCTGTCTCTACTAAAAATACAAAAATTAGCCAGGCGTGGCGGCGCGCGCCCCCAGCTACTCGGGAGGCTGAGGCAGGAGAATTGCTTGAATCCGGGAGGCGGAGGCTGCAGTGAGCCGAGATCATGCCACTGCACTCCAGCCTAGGCGAAAGAGCAAGACTCTGTCTCAAACAAACAAACAAAGAACAGGGTTGTAAAGCCCAAGAGTGGCTGGACTGAGAGTGTGGCTGAGACCATGCTGGGGAGAGGCTGTTCAGTCACGGAGATGAGGGAGGGCAGACCATGTGGGAATGGGGGGTGGAGGTGCAGAACTGTGTGACAACATCTCACCAGACAATATACCATCTTATGGCACACCATTTATACTATGAAATGACAAGGTGGCCAAAGGAGGGAGGAGTCGCAGGAAATTACCAGATCTTCACTGAGTACCCACTCTGTGGCAGGTGCTGTGCTGGAGAGACAGCAGAGGGTGGAAGAGAAAGCACCCCTATGCTCAGGGAACTGCTGTCTAGGCCTCCTGGCTTAAGCAATGGACATATGACAACACCATTAACTGAATTAGGTTTTGTGGGTAGGAGAGTCATTGTTCAGGGATTGGCCGTAACTCAGTGCTTTGTTCTTCTTCCTCTCTACTAGCAACCATATAATAAAAATTGGGGCCGGGCACGGTAGCTCACACCTGTAATCCTAGCACTTTGGGAGGCCAAGGCGGGCAGATCACGAGGTCAGGTATGTGAGATCAGCCTGGCTAACATGGTGAAAGCCCATCTCTACTAAAAATACAAAAATGAGCCGGGCGTGGTGGCAGGCGCCTGTAATCCCAGCTGCTTGGGAGGCTGAGGCAGGAGAATCGCTTGAACCTAGGAGGTGGAGGTTGTAGTGAGCCAAGATCGTGCCACTGCACTGCAGCCTGGGCGACAGACCAAGACTCTGTTTCAAAACAACAACAATGAAATTGGGTTGAGGAAAAGAGGAGAGCTGAAACCGGCTATTTCATTCCCATCAATAATCCACAAAATGTCAGATGGGTCTGAAGGCAGAAAACATGGGTCAGACCCATGCTTCTGAAATGCCTGCAGATTTCAACCCCACGTTGACCCCAGGTAGCACATACATAAAACCGTACCTGGTCTCCTCCAGGACACACAGCTGTGGTCAGTCTCTCTGGGACCCTTTATAGCAAGGTCCCAAATAAGGAAAAACAGAGGTTTCTAAGACATTCTGAGAGGAGCTAGGAAGGCGGGCAGACCAGAGCTTCCTGTATCCATTCCCTGAAATCTTTGTGCATTTCTGGAGGGATGGCCTATGAAGTTCCCTGGCACATCTCAGAGGCGACAGCTAGACTCAAGTGTGCTTCCTGCCCTTTTCTGGCCAACTGTCCACTAGTGATGCTGCCATCTGTGATATTCAAGTGAGCAGACAGGAGGAGAGAAAGAAGCCAAAGGCCACGCAAGTGCATTAAGTCCTTATCTGGAAGATAGGAGTCATTTTTTGAAGACACATAAAAGCAGAAGCAAAGAACTTTCTTGAGAATTACAGAAGCTATTTCCTGCTGATAAGATGTCCTCCAACTAGAAATGATTTTGCTTCAGAAAACTGTACAGCCAGGGACCCAGCAAAGGTAGTTCTAGTGGTTTGCCTCTGTGCCCTCTTCTCCTGATGCCGTGGAGTAACTAGAAAACCAGGCCCCTTAGGCAAACTGAGGTGTATATGATGACAATGCATGCAGCCTGATGAAGTCAAGGCATAGAGCTGGGCAGACAGCAGGGATTCAACCAGCACCAGGCAGCGGCCTCCCCTGTCCCTGCTCGTCACACAGACACCCCCTACCTGTGAACTGTCCAACCTGCTGTGGGAAGCTGCCTTGTGTCGGGTCTTGGTACTGGGGTGGTGGGCGGGTCAGATGGCGCTGAAACTGTTGCTTCTCCTAGAAAATGCCAAGAACAACAAAACAAAACCAACATATAACAAAATCCAAAACAAAGGGAGTGAGGGAGGTCAGAGAAAAGTAACTTATCCAAGTTTGTTACTCACAAATGGGCTCCTGTGGAAATAGTGCTGATTTCATTTTGGGGTTTTTAAATAGTATGAAACAGATCTAGGGAGCAATGACTTTTTTAAAAGGTAGGTATACCTGTTTTTAAAAAATGGAGAGCTGGTTAGGAAAATGCAAATCACAGCTACAATGAGATCCCACTAGGATGGCCAGAATCAAAGTCAGATGATAACAAGTGGTTGGTGAGGATGTAGAGAAATCAGCACCCTCATACACCGCTGGTGGGAATGTAAAATGAGACAGCCTGTGGGAAACAGTCTGACAGTTCCTCCAAAGGTTAAACATAAAAATTACCATGTGATCCAGCAATTCCACTCCCAGGTATCTACCCAAGAAAAATGAAAACAGATGTCTATATGAAAACTTGTACATGAATGTTCATAGCAGCAATACTCATTAACAGCCCAAACAAGAAACCCAAATGTTCATGAACAGACGAATGAATAAAATGTAACATGTCCATACAATGGAATATTATTATCAAGAGGAATCAATTGCTGTTACCTAGCACATGATTGAAAATGACATAACATAAATATAAAATGTCCAGAACAGACAATTTTTTTTTTTTGAGATGGAGTCTTGCTCTGTCGCCCAGGCTGGAGTGCAGTGGCGTGATCTCTGCTCACTGCAAGCTCCCCTCCCAGGTTCACGCCATTCTCCTGCCTCGGCCTCCCGAGTAGCTGGGACTACAGGCGCCCGTCACCACACTTGGCTAATTTTTTGTATTTTTAGTAGAGACGGGGTTTCACTGTGTTAGCCAGGATGGTCTTGATCTCCTGACCTCGTGATCCGCCCACCTCGGCCTCCCAAAGTGCTGGGATTATAGGAGTGAGCCACTGCGCCCAGCCCAGAGCAGACAATTATAGAGACAGAAAGTAGATCAGGAGCTGGAGAGGCAGGGTGGATGGGAGAATGGCTGCTCATGGGTATGGGATTTGTTTTAGGGTAATGAAAATGTTCTAAAATGGATTGTGGTAATGGTTGCACAACTCTGTGATATACTAAAAATGACTAAATTGTTCACTTACGTGGGTGAAGTGTATGCTGTGTGAGTTACATCACAATAAAGCTGCTTTTCTTAAAGGCAGAACTGAGGCAGGGATTGTCCTCAATGAACTTCACTGTCTGGAGCCAGTTCTTATGTCTTAAAGATGTAATTTAAGGCCAGGCGTGGTGGCTCACGCCTGTAATCTCAGCACTTTGGGAGGCCGAGATGAGTGGATCACTTGAGGTCAGGAGCTCAAGACCAGCCTGGCCAACGTGGTGAAACCCCATCTCTACTAAAAACACAAAAATTAGCCAGGCATGGTGGTTCTTGCCTGTAGTCCCAGCTACTCGGGAGGCTGAGGCAGGAGAATTGCATGAACCCATGAGGTGGAGGCTGCAGTGAGCCAAGATCGCACCACTGCAGTCCAGCCTGGGTGACAGCAAGACTCTGTCTCCAAAAAAAAAAAAAGAACTCTCACTTGTAACCCTTAGTGCCTGCACACTACACTTGCTAACCAAGCGAGTGAACTGTGTTTCCCTCAGGGATGACTTCACTTCCCTCTTCACGTTCTGGCTTATAACAGGCTCTGTAGTGGCAGCAAAGCTGACTCCATAGTGGAATGACAGACACGTGAGCTCAGTGGCTTGGAAGCTGCTGACCTGAAACATAGGAAAATGTCCCTTCCACAAACAGTTTTAGCCCCCGAGTCTGCCTTGAGTACTCTCCACTAAGTGACACGAAGCAGCTTCTGACAAGACTACCCCTGTCTGAGAAATGCCACATTCCTGGAAAGATGTTTTTAAAAGGCAAAGCACTCTAACAACAGGCACGCAAGTCTGCGCAAATCCACACGCACAAGCAGAAGGTGTGACTGTAGCAGTGACGCAGGGTGCAGGCAAAGGTGGGAAGCGGTGGTTTCCTTCCACTTTTCTTTTTACCTGTTCCGCGAGAAGGTGCTGTTGCCTCTGAAGGAACTGCTGTTGCTGTAAATGCTTTTGCTGCTGCTCCCTTTGTTTCTGTTGGTCCAAAAGCAACTGATGCTGCTTCATTACAGCGGCCTGTTGCTGGCTGCTGAGATAGGGGGAGCTGTTGTGGGAGCTGGCCACGGACACGGCAGGCGGCTGGGTCCCAACACTGGTAGCCTGGGCTTGCACAGGGACACTGGAAGGGTTCTGCTCCTGTCAACACAGATAGGGGACTGTGAAGTCTCTAAGCTCTGATCAGACCAAATAAGCTCCATCCAGTGAATTCAAGGTTCACTCTCTTGAAGCCAAGTCTCTGCTTCCCTTCTGACCTCGAATAACAACCATCCCACAGGGCTGGAGCACAGACCAAAAGTGATGACATCTGAGCATACAGGCGCCTAGCAACGAACAATTACTCCATAGGTGTTAGTTTTACTCCCAGTGATTCACCAGTGACAAAGGTATGGTTTTACGTTAAGCATATGTAAGCTTTCATATTTGCACACAATAGTTCCAGTAAGCAATCGAGGCTTAGAAATGCTCACTTATCAGGACATCTGAGTGCAGAGCGGGCCAATAGGGGAAGAATACTTTTTGTTTTTTTTCAGACGGAGTTTCGCTCTTGTTGCCCAGGCTGGAGTGCAATGGCACGATCTTGGCTCACCGCAACCTCTGCCTCCCGAATTCAAGCGATTCCCCTGCCTCAGCCTCCTGAGTAGCTGGGATTAGAGGCATGTGCCACCACACCTGGCTAATTTTGTATTTTTAGTAGAGATGGGGGTTTCTCCATGTTGGTCACGCTGGTCTCGAACTCCCGACCTCAGGTGCTCCACCCACCTCGGCCTCTCAAAGTGCTGGGATTACAGGCATGAGCCACTGCACCCGGCCTAGGGGAAGAACACTTTGAAGGGGGCTTTGGTCAATGGAGACCACTCTGTCCCATGTGCATAAACCTTGGATTTCGGGCTATCCCTGAACGACCCGAAACTGTACATCTGCGCAAGCATTTTACTGGAAGAGACTGCTTAGCTTTTGTCAAATACCCATCCTCAAAAAATACTGAGAATCAATGAGAACTTTAACAGATATTCTCTGTCAATATATAGACCACAAGTGAGAGTCATGTCAAAGGCCACCACAATATTATCCCGTCATTACTGACACTTAGAAGAAAAGGGGAACTTAGCAGAAGATAGGCAAAAAGCAATCATTATTTAAACCAGTTCAAATTGTTGAGCTCCTTTCTAGTTATTCATTCTAAGATTCTGGTATAATTTCTTCACTCTAATCACCAGAAGCTTAAGAACTACTGAGAGTGCTTCGTAAGTTGCAAAGTGCTACCCAGATGGCAAGCACCCTCACTGTGTGCAGCTGAGCCTCTCTTCAGGGGGTGCTGAACGGCGTGAGACATCTTACTGGCTGAAGTAAGTGGAATTATCAGCACTGGGAGATGCTTAAATGGCTTACAGTTTTTGGCTATTAGAAATAACCACACAATGAATATCTTGGATATAACTTTTTATTTTGGATTATTTCTTTAGATCAACTTGTCGGGTATATAGTGTGTCAATGCATATGAACATTTTACAGCATGTGAAAAATACATAATGTCAAATGACTTCCCAAAAGCAGTGAGCTCATTTACACACTCTCATCAATACAGGAGTGTGTCTATTTCCTCATGATATTACCGGCACTGGGCTTTTTAATTTGCAAAATTTTAGCATGTATTACAAATTCACGTTCACTGCAGGCTTATCTGCACTAGCGGAAAACAGGAAACAACCCGAAGGGCCATTTTCCATTTGATGCTACCGGGCTTTAGAACCATGATGAAGTAAGCACAGAGCTGAGCTGTGCTGGGAAGCAGCACATGCCTACAATGTTATAAGCTTACCAAAAATTAGGGAATTTTGTACATGGAGATCTGAAAGGTAGTAAAAAAAAAAAAAAAAAAAAAAAGCCAAGCCTCTAAGAAGCACGTGAAACGTAATGTTTATCTGCAAAACACAGTCGCAAATTACTTAATTTAAATCCTACGGCACGAAAGAGACAGTGGACTAAATGCAGGTGATTCCTGAAACCTTCATGCAGTTAATAATCAAGCTATGCCAGGGAACTTTACCCTATTTTTTATTAACAATCAACCCTGGTTTATTTTATAAATTTCCACTCCCAAGAGGAGCAAGGATGACAGCAGCTATTCCCTCCTCCCTCTTCCCACAACTACCTCGGATCCAATTAACATCCAAAGTAGTGAGTAACCTCACTGAAGTGTCTGCAGCAGAGGAACAGAAAGCAAAGGCTCATACTTACCTGGCCAGGTGGAACCAGTGATCGGAAAGGCATATTTCCTGGCTTTGGCTTCATCAGAAACAGGGAGTTCTGCTCGTGACTTATATGGGACAGCTGCTGGGGAAGATAAGCCATCAGGGCTGGCTTGCTCTGGCCAGACCCCGGGCTGCCTTGCCCACAGTCCGCTTTGTAATGAGAAAGGGGTTTTGTATTGCCGTAGTCCAGCACAGACCCCTGGTTATTCGCGGAGTTCTGATTCAAGTTACTCGGTGGCTGGTGACTCAGCAGGTTCACATGGCTGGGCTGGAGGTAGGGGCCTCCGGGCCGAGGGGAACTCTTATTCACACTAGGCATCATGAGCAGTTTGGAGTTAGTGAAGTCTTGCTTGTAGCTGGAAGGGCTGGCAGGCTTCTCCATGGGGTAAGGGACATCTAAGGAACTGTGGGAGGGCCCCGTCTGCTGCCATGTGGACATCTGGCCCGGGGCTGGTGCCGGGGTGGCCTGCTGTGGGTTCTGGAGCATCTGCTCGCGCTTCTGCTTGGCAGCGATCTGCTGGAGCTGGTGGGCAGAGGACAGCTCTGAGGCCCCTCCTGGGCCCTGACTGGGCAATACCACACCTGCAAGGGCTCTTTGTGCGTTCTGGGCCTGGGCTGATGCCGGCATCAGGTTTGGACTGGGATTGTCCGCCCGGGGCTGACCAGAGGTGTGGAATAAGGTTTGGGAGCCCCCTAGGCTGGGGGAATCTGTACTCACAGGGGCAGAGGAAGGCCCCAGAAAGGTCTGCCCTGCAGACCCGGCCCTCACTTGTGGAGAGCCTAACTGTTCTTGCTCAAAGGCTGCTGGAGAGAATTCCGTCTTAATATTAATGTCCTGTGCCAAGGGGGTTTGTGTGGCAGAGCCAGAAGACTCTGGGTCCTTCTTCTCCTCGAAGTCCTCATTAAACAGGTCCTTCATGTCTTCATCGGGCACCGACCTGTTCAGCTCCTCGATGAGCTCCTTCCACTCCTGCTCGTTAAGGTTGAGGTCTGGCATGAGGTTGCTTTGCGATATGGAGCCGACAGTCCCAGTGATCATGCAAGGCAGGTCTTCGACAGGCTCCTGCTTCAGTTCTTTATTCAGGCTCAGAGGAAATGACTCACTGGGGTTACTGCCTCCATTCAAGTGAAGGCTGGAGTCAGCCAGACGCTTTTTGTTGAGAGAGTCTAGCCCCAGAGAGTGCTTCCCACTGGACTGCAGGGCGTCGGCTCCAGAAGGCTTGTCAGACTGACCGAGGGGGGAGGCTGGAGGCAGTCCATTGGAAGAGATGGCAACTCCCAGAGGGGCCTCCCGGCGAGTCTTCTTATGCCCAGGAAAGAGGTCCCCGTAGCCATTCTGTTGATCGCCATTCTGAGGGGAAGTGGCGCTGTCAAGATTCCTCTTAACTGTATCATGAAGATGCTGAAAAACATTGAAAAGAATGACTTAAGATACATATGAATTTGCTCTGCTATGACAGTAACAAGCCAAGGGCTGATGTCCCTGCAATGCTCGCCAGTGGGTTCTGCTTGCATAGTGTACACTCCCATTTCTGGGGACACACCTCCATTTTCCCTGACGGTCCTATACCTGGCCAGTCAGAACTGATGTCTAGCTAAAGTGCTTCTGCAGTCCTCTTTCTGCAGGAGACAGGCATGAGGCTGCCCACAGCCATCTCGTCTGGCGGTATGCCCAAGAATGGAGCCAACAAAAAAATGCCAGAGAGTACACACACACACACACACACACATATATATATTATATATATATATATGTTTTGAGATGGAGCCTTGCTCTGCCGCCAGGCTGGGTGGAGTGCGGTGGCACAATCTCAGCTAACTGCAACCTCCGTCTCCTGAGTTCAATCAATTCTCATGCCTCAACCTCCCAAGTAGCTGGGATTACAGATGTGCACCACTGTGCCTGGCTAACTTCCGGTATTTTTTGGTAGGGACGGGGTTTCACCATGTTGGCCAGGCTGGTCACAAACTCCTGGCCTCAAGTGATTCACCCGTCTCAGCCTCCCAAAGTGCTGGGATTACAGGCATGAGCCACTGTGCCCAGCCCCTCACTTTTTTTTTTTTTGAGACAGAGTTTCGCTCTTGTTGCCCAGGCTGGAGTGCAATGGCGTGATCTTGGCTCACAGCAACCTCCGCCTCCAGGGTTCAAGCCATTCTCCTGCCTCAGCCTCCAGAGTAGCTGGGATTACAGGCATGTGCCACCATGCCCAGCTAATTTTGTATTTTTAGTAGAGACGGGGTTTCTCCATGTTGGTCAGACTGGTCTTGAACTCCAGACCTCAGGTGATTTGCCCACCTCAGTCTCCCAAAGTGCTGGGATTACAGGTGTGAGCCACTGCGCCCGGCCGGCCCCTCACTACTTCTTATTGGGACTATTTGCTTGAACATAATCTGTCTGGTGTGACACTGTGACTCTGCTTCCCATCTGCTCCTCGATGGATTCATGCCACTGAAGTTATTAAGATTCTGCCTTGTGCCAGAGACAAGTGCTGTGGGGAACATAAAGACAAAGAAGACAGCTCCTCCTCTGGTGGGCTTTCAGGACATGGGACATACACAGACAGGGCTACAGAGTGAGAGCAGCACACAGTAAGTACCCTGGGAGTTCAGGGGCGGCGATTTCAAGATAAGAACATGTCAGAAGGGATGGGAAGGGGACAGAAGACGGACTCCTTCTACTGCTTCCTCACCTGCATGTGCTGCAGTCAGGACTCAACTCCACTGCTCAGAGGGAGTGCCTATGCTCAGCTTCCAAACACATGCTGCTCCTTTCCTGTGTTTACTTTATTACGTTTTTGTCCTTTATCCCCCACCCCCAGTACCATCCCCCCTTCCCATAAACCCTAAGCATCTATAGCATGTTATTAGAAAATGTTCCAAGTAACAGCCCTCATTATTATCTTTAGACAGGATTCAGAGGAGACGGGGAGCCCCCTGTGCTAGCTTCTCCGGCTGCAGAGAAAGGCCACCTGACTCTCCACACCAACCCCAGGGGCCCAGGTGAAGTGCCCTGGCCTGGGCGTCCTGCCTGGGGCAACTCCACGGGCATCAGTTCTCAACAGCAGATTACCCACTGGACACCAGGGAGGACCATTTTCTCAACCTCTAATCCCCAATTCTAATGTTCCTGTTCTTCTTTTCCCCACATCAAGATTTGCTTATTTCTTAACTGTTAAAGCTGACTACACAGTGCTCTATAAATCCTAGCCAAGTCAGTATTTTTAAAAATCCATATATGGGTAACTAAGTCGGTCTGAAAAAAAAAAAAATCGCAGGAATGCCTGACAAATGGAACTGCAGGGCAGAGGTAAGCAACAATCCTAGGATTCAGAACACCGCCCCACAGCTGCAGGACGTTTGCTTTACTTTCATGCAGGTTCTTCTGCTTTCTCCTGCCACCTAGGGGTGGAAGGGAACCACGCACATAAAATAGACCCTTTATAAAAAGCCATTATTTGAAAAGTTTTCCTTGTGGAAGGTAAATTCATACCCATTTAAATGGTCAGAGGAAATAAAAATTAGTTGCTAACATTTCCTTGATTTTCATCTTTTCTACCATTTTCTTTTGTTCCACAGTGCCAGGTCTGGGCTATCTGTAAACCTGGGAGCTCAGTTTTCCATCTTCCTAGGGGAAAAAGAAAGATGGAAATCTAAAGGGTCAAGGCACTTGATGAGTCAGCTGGTTGTCTCAGATTAGAAACAGAATCTTTCTTTGCCCTAACAATTACAAAAGCTACCACTCCCTCATTCAATATTCACATGCAAACAGCTGCAGACAAGTTCCAATGTAACAACTGAATTTTGTAATACCTATTGCTTTTAACCAAAGGAAACAGTAGGGCATTTTGTCAACTACTCACAAAATTTAACTGGAATAACGTAGACGGGGATAGGAGTGTGTAATGTGGTGGCCCCGGCAGATTTTTAAGCCCTGAGCATTTGCAGGAGTGTCTGATATGCAGGGCAAGGATGAGTGAGCCTTGGAGCCTGAACTCAAAGAATCACAATAGAGATGGGCAAACAGCCTGAACAGATTAAAAGTTATGTAAGAACAGACACAGAAGGTGCTATAAAGCAATACTAGACTGGCTGCCACGTATAAATACAGGAGCCTGCTCCAGCACATCTGGTACTTCTGGGTGCTCAGCTCAAAGGTTCCTGTTGTAACTACTGAAGAGTTTCTGCAGTGTACAGGGTTCCAGGAGGACCCAGTCCTGGGAGATAATATGATCAGATGCTCGTGGTCGGCTGGAGAACCACGTGTGCTCAGCCTTCCACCAAGACACCCCGCTGACCTAAGTCCCATCCTAGCCTGTGCCAGCTCCCTCGCTGGGAGGCCACACTCTCCAGGCGCCACCTGCCATCCTCTGCTCTGGGAGAGGAGCTCCAGGATACCACCACTGCTCTGAATCAAGCTGGAGCTGGCCACACCTTTTGGACTCCTAAGCAGCATCCTGTCAGTCTCTCACCCACCATGCACTAGCCTTATAGGAAGGATAATCCTTTGCCTATCTCCACTTCCTCCTTCTTCAACCACCCACCGCTGCACTCCCAGAATGCTTTGTGGCCAAACTCACCAAAAAATGACAATACCTACATGCTTCCACTCTGAGCTGACAGACACAGCTGCTGAAGACACGCGTGGTTCTTTCATGAGTGCTCCTTACACACTGGCAGCCAATGCCCCTTTCTAGCCCTACTCATCAGGAAATTTGCTTTTCCTCCTGCCTCCTCTTTTTTACCTCTTCTATCATCTTCCTGTCAGCCAAACTCCACCAGTTCCCACCCCTTAGAGCCAGCACCTTGATCTATGGCAATATGGATTACATTCCTGGCCAATCTGGAAATCAATGGGATGTGGGGAAAAGGAAGGGAGGAGTTGAGAACTGCTTTCTCCAAGGCCAGCAATGATCTTCCTACTGTTACACATAGGCCATATTTTCAGTCCTTCCTTTCCCTCTCTCCCTGCACTCCCTTCCTCTCCCTCTTATCATCTGCCACTTAATAATTCATCTTTATTATTATTATTGAGACGGAGTTTCACTCTTGTTGCCCAGGCTGGAGTGCAATGGTGCAATCTCGGCTCACTGCAACCTCTGCCTCCCAGGTTCAAGTGACTCTCCTGCCTCAGTCTCTCGAGCAGCGGGGATTACAGGCGTGCACCACCATGTCCAGCTAATTTTGTATTTTTAGTAGAGATGGGGTTTCGCCATGTTGGCCAGCTGGTCTCAAACTCCTGACCTCAGGTGATCCGCTCACCTCGGCCTCCCAAAGTGCTGGGATTACAGGTGTGAGGCACCTCACCCAGCCCTTTATTAATTTTTTTTAAGAGACAGGGTCTCACTCTGTCACCCATGCTGGAGTACAATGGGTGATGATCAAGGCTCATGGCAGCCTCAAACTCCTGGGCTCAAGTGATCCTCCCGCCTCAGCCTCCTGAGTAGCTGGGACCACAGGCATGAACCACCATAACTGGCTAATTTTTTTGCTTTTGTGGAGACAGGAGTCTCACTATGTTGTCCAGGCTAGTCTCAAACTCCTGGGCCGAAGCGACCCTCCTGCCTCAGCCTCCTAAAGTGCTGGGATTACAGGTGTGAGCCATTGCACCTGGCCTCCTTCCATCTTTTCTTTTTTTTGAGACGGAGACTCGCTCTGTCACCCAGGCTGGAGTGCAGTGGCGCGATCTCGGCTCACTGCAAGCTCCACCTCCCGGGTTCATGCCATTCTCCTGCCTCAGCCTCCCAAGTAGCTGGACTACAGGCGCCCGCCACCACGCCCGGCTAACTTTGTTTTTGTATTTTTAGTAGAGACGGGGTTTCACTGTGTTAGCCAGGATGGTCTCGATCTCCTGACCTTGTGATCTGCCCACCTCGGCCTCCCAAAGTGCTGGGATTACAGGCATGAGCCACTGCGCCCGGCCTGCTTCCATCTTTAAAGTTCCCTTTTTCTTTACCACTTTTCTTGTATCCTCTTCTGCTTTTATGGTTGGTTGTTTCTAGTATCCTTTGAGAAGTCTCCCCTTCTCCTGCCCTTCTATCAAATAGTACAGTCCTCTCCCCCTTTTACTCTACATAGTCTACCTGAGAGATTTCACACATTCCCATGCCTTCAAATTCCCATGACTGAACATCACACTCAAATAAACCCAACTGTCTGGGAACCAAACGCTGATCCACTCAGCCCTTGTCCCTTCCAACTTCCCTCATAGCCCTCCCTGCTGTGCAGCATGCTGGGGTCATGCGGCTGGCTTACAGCTTATAGCTTCTCAAATGTGCCTGCTCAGTGCTGCCTGGGGCCTCTGCACCTGCTCTTCTCTTTGCCCAGAGCACCTCTTCCCTCTAACTTTTCTGGGGATGACTCAGCTTCTAATTCAGGTGGCTTATCTCCTCCATCATCCACATCACCTACCACCCACACCATAGTACTTTCTTGCTGATCCCCTCACCAGAGGCACTCATCTAGTGTCAGGGCCTAACCCGACACTAGAATGCCAAGCAGAGACCCCAGTGCCTTCGACAGTGCCCAGCACTTGATAAGTGTCTGTGAATAAATGTGCCATCTGATGCCCCACCTCTGCAGAGCTCTTACTTCTGTCTATCCGAAGACCTACTGAGCCCCTGTCCACTTGAGTGATGACTCAGATGACATCTGTCCAAAGCTGAGGCCAGCCTCTCCCCAGTCCTGTTTCCTTTCCTCTGTTCCCACATAAGACTGTCACTACCAGCCGCCCTGTCACATAAACCAGAAACCAGCCTCCCTCCCGCTCCTCCTTAGTCCCTACATACAACTGGTACCCAAGTCCTGTAGAGTCTACCTCCTTAATATTTCTTGAACCCACCCACTTCTCTCCATTCATTAACACACATATCTCTCACTTGAATTATTTTAACCATGTGTTGAGATCCTGCCCTCCCAACCTGTGTTCCTCATCAGAGTCAGAGGGACTCCACCAGCGTGGCTCACTGGGACTCCACGTGAGGGTAGGACTTACAACATCAGAAGTTTTTAAGGCAATAATTGTTAACTATTGGCAATTCCAACCCAATCCCATGGTCAACATTTCTCTCCCAGTCCCTGTATGTCCACAGGACACTCGGGAGCCCTGACCCTCTCTTCAGGTAAAGTAGGTCCATTTCATGAAACACTCAAGTTTTCAGTGACTTGAGGAAGGGAAATCCATGTCAAGTAGCAACTTGTTAATTTGATAAAGCACAAATCTGAACCAAGTGCTGTAGGAAGAAGTCCTGACTTAAGTCATGTGCTTGCTGACCCCTCATTTCCAGTTACTTATGATGTATTCCCAGTTAATCATTCTTAACCTATTATTCCCAGTTAATTCAGGATCTCACTCAACCTTCAAAACAACCCTAGAGGATGAGCATCATTGTTCCTGTTTTATTGCCACTGAAACTAAGAAAATTACACAAGGTTTCCTGAGGTTTGATGTCTCAAGAAGGATCCCTTCTGAATGCTGGGGTCTGCTGCCGACAGACTCCCTTTGTCAGAACAGACTTGGTGAATTGATCCCACTTCCGAGAGTGATGCCGAAAGAGAAGCTTGCATGTCAAACACCAGCAGCAGGACAGAGTGAGTCAGTTTCAAACCGTACAAATAGGAGCACCTTCGTGAAGCGCAGATACCCAGCAGCTGTCATTACCAGAAAAATGAACTGTGCTGTGAGGAAATCCCACATACCAGCGCCACAAACAATCTTTGTAATTTTTTTTTTTTTGAGTCGGAGTCTTGCTCTGTTGCCCCAGTTGGAGTGCAGTGGCACGATCTCAGCTCACTGCAACCTCTGCAGGTTCAAGCTATTCTCCTGCCTCAGCCTCCCGGGTAGCTGGGATGACAGGCGTGCGCCACCATGCCTGGCTAATTTTTGTATTTTGAGTAGAGACGGGGTTTCACCATGTTGGCGAGGCTGGTCTTGAACTCCTGACCTCAAGTGATCTGCCCACCTTGGTCTCCCAAAGTGCTGGGATTATAGGTGTGAGCCACCGCGCTGGGCCAGTAAAATATTTTTAAAAAAGAAAAAAAAATGGTCGGGTGTGGTGGCTCACGCCTGTAATCCTAGCACTTTGGGAGGATAAGGCAGGAGGATCACTTGAACCCAGGAGTTCAAGACCAGCCTGGGCAACACAGTGAGACGCCATTTCTAAAAAAAATAAATAATTAGCCAGGCACAGTGGGGCATATCTGTAGTCCCAGCTATTTGGGAGGTTGAGGTGAGAGGAACACTTGAGCCCAGGAGGGAGACTGCGGTGAGCCATGATCGTGCCACTGCACTCCAGCCTAGGGGACAGAGAAAGACCCTATTAAAAAAAAAAAAAAGAAAAGAAAAAGAAAAAAAAATCAGAGAACTGTCTAAACGTTCTAAAATTCCTGCTAGTAAAATTCCCACTTTTAAAGACATTATTTGTCTTACTAGTTTGGAATAGTCACTGATTTAGAATACAAACCACTCAGCATGATAAGAACTAAAGATCCCTATAAGCTCCATTCCTGTCACTGAATCCACTTGTCGAGGACATAGAGAAGGTAAGTTCCAGTTCCGGTATTTTCCAGAAAACTCTGTAGTTTGGTGCCTAAACGTTTTCACATCATCTTTTTAAATTTAAACGTTTTTGAAATAATTATACATTCACAGGAAATTGCAAAGATAGTACAGAGAGGTCCTGTGCACCCTTCACCCAGTTTCTCCCAATGACTGTGTTTTACGTAATTACAGCACAATATCAAACCCAGGAATCTGATATCAGTATAATGCATGTGTATAGTTCTATGTGCATATAACCATCACCTTTTTCGATGGAAAGTTTTTAAAGAGATTTTTTTAAAGCAAAGCTATGTAAGTATTTAACAATACAATCTCTTCCTGCAGGATAAGCAAAGTTAGAATTCACTGAGAAACAAAATTGTTAAATAGATTGATTCTTGTGCTTGGCAGGCAGTCAGTATATTCTCTTCACTAGAGAAAAACCAATTTGGGAAACCAGTGAGGCTCAGAAGGTTGCTTGGTAGACATGAGAACAATGCAGGCGATTGCTAACTGGATGTGTGACGTTAAGACATAACCCATTTAGAACCTGAAGATGGCTGGGTTAGATGATCTAGAGTTCCATTGGCTTTAAAACTCCACATTGCTATACTTCTTTTTTTTTTTGAGAGGAGTCTCACTCTGTCACCCAGGCTGGAGTCCAGTGGCACCATGCCGGCTCACTGCAACCTCCGCCTCCCAGGTTTGAGTGATTCTCCTGCCTCAGCCTCCCGAGTAGCTGGGATGACAGGCACCCGCCACCATGCCTGGCTAATTTTTGTATTTTTAGTAGAGACGGGGTTTCACCATGTTGGTCAGGCTGGTCTTGAACTCCTGACCTCAAGCAGTCTGCCCGCCTTGGCCTCCCAAAGTGCTGGGATTACAGGTGTGAGCAACCTCACTTGACCCACATTGCTATAATTCTAATACCAACTTTTACTCTGAACAAGGAGACGCTCTCAGGGGCTCATAGAGTACTCATTCACCAAAGTCCTCCTATACAGCAGACACTGCTCTGTACAGGCTGTATATAAATTAACAGTAAATAGAGTGCAAGTCATTATTCCAAACTCACAGCCGGGCACAGTGGCTCAGCCTGTAATCCCAGCACTTTGGGAGGCTGCGGGTGGGTGGTTCCTTGAGCTCAGGAGTTCAAGACCAATATGGTAAAAACCCTGTCTCTACTAAAAATACAAAAATTAGCCAGGCGTGGTGGCGCACGCCTGTAATCCCAGCTGGGTTTACTGTAAACCCAGTCCGAGCTGGGTTCTTTGCCTTCCTCCCCAAATCCACACCTTGCTCTCATGCACCCTGTCTCAGTGCATGGGTCAATCCTTGTCCTCTCCGATGACCAGGCATTGAGTTCTGATTCGCCCTTCTAAATCTCTCTCCAGTGAGATACCTCCATACTACGCCCATGTTAGTTCAAGTCATTTTTTATCCTAGATGACAGAAATAACTTCATGCTGACTTCTGTTTCTATTCTCTCTCGGATCTAACACACCCTTTATGATGTTATCCGTGTGACCGCTATAAAACACATATCTGCACCATTTTAAGTGTCTTATTTCCCCATTACTTACAGATAAAGTTCAAACTCCTTAACCTGGCACATAAAGGCCTGTTTGATCTGATTCCCAATTAACTTCTCTGTTGAATTCCCTGCCATTCCCTTGGGGCCCCAACTTAAACTGAATGTCTTTCAGGACTGAGAATATACTTCCAGGCTGGTGACCGCCTAATTTTTTTTTTTTTTTTTGAGACAGAGTCCCGCTCTGTCTGTCGCCCAGGCCCAGGCTGGAGTGCAGTGGCATGATCTCAGCTAACTGCAAGCTCGGCCTCCCAGGTTGACGCCACTCCCCCGCCTCAGCCTCCCGAGCAGCTGGGACCACAGGCGCCCGCCACCACACCCGGCCAATTTTTTGTATTTTTAGTAGAGATGGGGTTTCACCGTGTTAGCCAGGATGGTCTCCATCTCCTGACCTCGTGATCCACCTGCCTCGGCCTCCAAAAGTGCTGGGATTACAGGCATGAGCCACCGCGACCGGCCACCTCCTACTAATGTTTTAAGATTTAGCTCGGGGTGTCCAATCTTTTGGCTTCCCTGGGCCACACTGAAAGAAGAAAAACTGCCAGGCATGGTGGCTCACACCTGTAATCCCAGCACTTTGGGAAGCTGAGGCAGGTGGATCACGAGGTCAGGAGTTCGAGACCAGCCTGGCCAACATGGTGAAACCCTCTCTCTACTAAAAATACAAAAAATTAGCTGGGCGTGGTGGTGGGCTCCTGTAATCTCAGCTACTCGGGAGGCTGAAGGAGGAAAACTGCTTCAACCTGGGAGGTAGAGGTTGCAGTGAGCTGAGATCACGCCATTGCATTCAAGCATGGGTGACAGAATGAGACTCTGTCTTAAAAAAAAAAAAAACTGTCTTGGGCCACAAATAAAATAAGCTAACAATAATAGTAGCTGATGAGCTTAAAAAAAAAAAAAGGTCCATGCATAAATCTCATAGTGTTTTAAGAAAGTTTATGAATTTGTGTTGGGCTGCATTCAAAGCCATCTCGGCCGCAGGCTGGACAAGCTTCATTTAGCTCAAACATCAACTCTGCAGTGTTTTCTCTCCAACCACTTATCCTACTGCTGGTCAAATTCCTTATTCTATCCCTAATGCTCTAACAGTACTTTGTATACAATACTACGTTTCATGTTTGTGGTAAAGCATTTGTGTCGTACTGTACATGTTCACTTTCTCTGCATCTCCTTCCATCCCTGAAGACCAAAGCCTTGCCCTTTTCATCCCCAGGGCCAAGTCTAATGCTCAGCAAATTACAGGTATCCAGTGAAAGTTCACAGTTAACTTTCCCACCTCCCCCACTGCTACAGTCAAGGTCACTCTGTTCTTTGTCTTTTTGTTTCCCAGGCTCGCTCTCTCTGCTCACTAACAGGAAGCAGTACTAGCTCATCACTCAATCTTCACAACAACCTACAGGGTAAGTGCTGTTCGGTTATCCTGAATTTCAAGATAAAGGCACTAAGGCTTGGAGAAGTTATACAACTTGGAATGTGAGTGTGACTGCTGAACCAGGATTTGGACACAGATCTATTTGATTTAAAGCTGTGTCTCAAAGTCCAACTTAGGTGACTCCCTTAAATATGCCTCTCTTTCACCTCAAAACCTTTTAGCGTCTTATCAACTCTTTTCTTTCTCTCTTCTGTAAGAGGGAAGCACTTCTCCTTGCAAAGATTAACTCCCTTCAGCTGCACCTTCTTATTCCCTCTGGACCTGCCTCATCTGAGACTTTCTGTCCTTCAAATTCGTCCCCTCTTCATCTCAAAAATAACTTGAATTTGTTTTGTTCTAGAGCAGTGGTTCTCTAAGTGTGATCCCAGGCCAGTAGCATCAGCATCACCTGGGAATCTATTGGAAATGCAAATTCCCAGGCACTACCCCATACTCACTGAGTCAGAAACTCTAAGCGTGGGGCACAGAAAGTGGTTTTAGTCAGCCCTTCAGGTGATTTTGACAAAGGCCAAGTTTGAGAACCACTGTGGTAGTGGCTTCTTTCAAATATATGCTCAATTTCACATTTTTTTTTTCTTTTTGAGACAGGGTCTTGCTCTATCACTCAGGCTGGAGTGCAGTGGGGTGATCCTAGCTTACTGCAGCCTCCACCTCCCGAGCTCTATCTTCCCACTTCAGTCTCCCCAGTAGCTAGCACTACAGGCATGCGCCACCATACTCAGCTAATTTTTTACTATTCAAATAAATGGGGTCTCATTATGTTTCCCAAGCTGATCTGGAACTCCTGGCCTCAAGCAGCCCTCCTGACTTGGCCTACCAAAAGGCTAGGACTGCAGGCGTGAACCACCATGCCTGCCTTCAATTTCATATTCATTTATTTCTTCTTCTTGAGACAGCGTCTCGCTCTGTTACCCAGGTTGGAGTGCAGTGGCGCAATCTCAGCTAAGTGCAGTCTCCACCTCCCAGGCTCAAGTGATCCTCCCATTGTAGCCTCTTGAGTATCTGAGACTACAGATGGAGCCACCACACCCAGCTAATTTTTGCATTTTTTTAGAGATGGGGTTTCACCATATTACCCAGACTGCTCTCAAACCCCTGGGCTCAAGGGATCCACCCACCTTGACCTCCCAAAGTGCTGAGATTACAGGCGTGAGCCATTGTGCCCAGCCCAATTTTACATTCTAAAACAATCCAAACAAGGCCAGGCAAGGTGGCCCACGCCTGTAATCCCAGCACTTTGGGAGGCCGAGGTGGGTGGATCACTTGAGGTCGGGAGTTCGAGACCAGCTTGACCAACATGGTGAAACGCCATCTCTACTAAAAATAAAAAATTAGCCAGGCACCATGGTGTACACCTGTAGTCCCAGCTAGCTACTTGGGAGACTGAAGCAGGAGAATCACTTGAACCCGGGCCCGGGAGGCGGAGGTTGCAGTGAGCCAGTATCGCACACCATTGCACTGCAGCCTGGGCAACAAGGGCGAAACTCTGCCTCAAAAAAAAAAAAAAAAAAAAAAAAAAAATAATAATAATAAAACAACCCAAACAGAAACACTTCTCCCCCCCGATTCATCTCATCCACTACTGTCTTAATCCTTTGCCATTCGCTTTCTTCGAGGCATCAATCACTCGGTGTGTAAGTCCAGAACATGCATGTACTCCTCAAACTCCTTTGACCAAGCTGGACACCCTTATTCCCTTTACAAATAAAACAATTGAATCTACTTGTCCAAATGGATCTGGGAGTTAAGTGCAGCAATTCTATCTTAAGGAGAAAAATTTGAAATATTATCAAACGTAGCACGGAGGGTAATAAAAGTAAAAACGCATTAAAGATGTCAAGATAGACTGGTTTAATTGAGTAGTGAAATCAGAAGGCAGATTGCCAGAGGCCAAAGACAGACAATGTGAATTCAGGACTCCTTCACCCCAGCACGCGCACGCGCGCGCACACACACACACACACACACACACACACACTAAAAAATAGCATCTAGGATTTAGGTGAGCAAACTGAAATCAGTAATTATAAATACAGTCTTTCCTGTTCCAATGATTGTGAAGTGACAGTGAGATAAGAGTTCCACAGATGGGCCAGGTGCTGTGGTTCACGCCTGTAATCCCAGCACTTTGGGAGGCCAAGACGGGCGGATCACCTGAGGTCAGGAGTTCAAGACCAGCCTGGCCAACATGGTGAAACCCTGTCTCTACTAAAATACAAAAATTAGCTGGGCATGATGGCGGGTGCCTGTAATCCCAGCTACTCAGGAGGCTGAGACTGGAGAATCACTTGAATCTGGAAGATGGTGGTTGCGGTGAGCCGAGATTGCACCACTGCACTCCAGCCTGGGCAGCTGAGTGAGACTCCTTCTCAAAAAAATAAAATAAAATAAATGAGTTCCACAGATGAAAGAGGACATAAAGAGTAATATCCAGAGGCTGAGGCAGGAGAATGGCGTGAACCCGGGAGGCGGAGCTTGTAGTGAGCTGAGATCACGCCACTGCACTCCAGCCTGGGCGACAGAGCGAGATTCCATCTCAAAAAAAAAAAAAAAAAAAAAAAAAAGAGTATCTAATAAACTGTTAAACTCAACACAGTACAAACGTACTCATTACTCAACAGCACTAATAGAAATATGCCAGCCACAAGTGTGGGCAAAATATGCAACTTTAAATTTGCTAGTAGCACATAAAAAGAAACAGATGGCGCCAATTTTAATATCATATTTAACCCAATATATATGAACTTTTTAACATATAATCAGTATTTTTTGAGAAAAAATCTTAATATCTTTAATAATGTTATTTAACCATATATATATATATATATATATATATATATTTTTTTTTTTTTTTTGGAGACAGAGTCTAGCTCTGTTGCCAGGCTGGAGTGCAGTGGTGCGATCTCGGCTCACTGCAACCTCCACCTCCCGCGTTCAAGCGATTCTCCTGCCTCAGCCTCTTGAGTGGCTGGGACTACAGGCGTGCGCCACCACACCCAGCTAATTTCTGTATTTTTAGTAGAGAGGGGGTTTCGCTATGTTGGCCAGGATGGTCTTGATCTCTTCACCTCGTGATCCACCCACCTCGGCCTCCCAAAGTGCTGGGATTACAGGTGTGAGCCACCACACTGGGCCTATATTATCTTTTTAACATGTAATCAGTATTTTTTTTTCTTTGAGACAAGGTCTCACTCTATTGCCCACGATGGAGTGCAGTGGTGCAATCACAGCTCACTGCAGCCCTGACCTCCCAGGCTCAGATGATCCTCTCACCTCAGCCTCCCTAGTAGCTGGAACTACAGGTGTACACCACCAAGCCTGGCTAATTTTTTGTAAAGATGGGGTTTTGCCATGCTGCCCAGGCTGGTCTTGAACTCCTGGGCTCAAGTGATCTGCCCAGTTCAGCCTCCCCAAGTGCTGGGATTACAGGCATGAGCTACTGTGCCTGGCCATAATCGGTATTTTTTTCTTTTTTTGAGATGGAGTCTCGCTCTGTCACCCAGGCTGGAGTGCAGTGGCATGATCTTGGCTCACTGCACCCGCTGCCTCCCGGGTTCAAGTGATTCTCCTGCCTCAGCCTCCCGAGTAGCTGGGATTACAGGTGTGCGCCACCATGCCCGGCTAATTTTTGTATTTTTAGTAGAGACGGGCTTTCGCCATGCTGGCCAGGGTGGTCTCGAACTTGACCTCATGATCCGCCCGCCTTGGCCTCCCAAAGTGTTGGGATTACAGGTGACAGCCACTGAAGTGAGTGCACCAAAAAAATCTGTGGTACTAAATTATCAAAATCCAGTGTGCATTTTACACTTTTAGCACAAGTCAAGTTTAACAAGGTGCATTCCACGTGCTTAAGAACCTGACCTGGCTGATGGCTACCCTCATGGACAGTATAACTATAGAAAGTAGCCAGCTGGGCACGGTGGCTCACGCCTGTAATCCCAGCACTTTAGGAGGCCGAGGCGGGTGGATCACCTGAGGTCAGGAGTTTGAGACCAGCCTGACCAATATGGTGAAACCCTGTCTCTACTAAAAATAAAAAATTAGCTACGCATCGTGGTGTGCGCCTGTAGTCCCAGCTACTCGGGAGGCTGAGACAGGAGAATCGCTTGAACCCAGGAGGCAGAGGTTGCAGTGAGCCAAGATCGTGCCACTGCACTCCAGCCTGGTGACAGAGCGAGATTCTGATTTAAAAAAAAGTAGCC
This sequence comes from Homo sapiens, assembly GCF_000001405.40. Classification (NCBI taxonomy): domain Eukaryota; kingdom Metazoa; phylum Chordata; class Mammalia; order Primates; family Hominidae; genus Homo; species Homo sapiens. The sequence goes on along the minus strand of NW_016107298.1, from coordinate 516,564 downwards.
TTGAACAACTAAGTTTTCAGGACAGCACTGAAGATAAGGGAAGCCCCCGGGACCTGCCGCCTGGGCCCAGCAGCAGCTCCTTACTGCACAAAGGGCTCCATACAGCAGGCACTGTGGCTCTGTGCCAGCTGCCTCCTTGCTGGGAATCGTCATCCTTGCCCACCTTTCTCTTTCTAGCAAACTCTTCCTCATCATCTCATTCAATTTATCCAATAAGAATCTACTGAGAGCCGTCAGGCCTGTAATCCCAGCACTTTGGGAGTCCCAGGCAAGCGGATTGCTTTGCACTCAGGAGTTCGAGACCAGCCTGGGGAACACGGCAAGACCCCACCTCTACAAAAAATACAATAATTAGCCGGACATGGTGGCTCATACCTGTAATCCCAGCTACTCAGGACACTGAAGCAGGAGAATAGCTTGAGCCCGGGAAGCAGAAGTTGCAGTGAGCCTAGATCGGGCCACTGTACTCCTGCCTGGGAGTCAAGAGACCCTGTCTTAAAACAAAAACAAAAAAAATCTATTGAGAGCTGACTGAGCCAGCCACTCTCTGGGCCCTAGGGATACAGCAGAGAAACAAGCAAACAAAACCACAGGCTCTCCTAGAGCCTATATTCTAGCTGAGACGTACTCCCGAGAAAACAAATCACTCAAAGAGAGAGTTGGTGGGACTTATGATTCCAAATAAGGTGCTCAGGAAAGGGCTCACAGAATAAGCATGTGAAGTCTAAGCAAGAATCCGCAGGAGATAAGAGCACATGGCCACATCCACAGAAGATCATTTGGTAATTTTATTTACTATTTCACTATTTGGGCAGCTATTATAACTACATGTAAATGAATATCAAAGATGATTAATATTAAAGCGGAGAGCAGGTGCACACTGGCAGTGCAAGGAGAGGGCAGCACTGCCCCTGCTGGATGGAGGCTCCAGGAGGTGAGCGCATCAATCTCCAGGTTGTGATCTGACTTCTGCTTCTCCGGGAGCTGACAAAGCCCCTCCTGAGGAAGTCGTGAGCAAGATCTTGGAGTTTTGGGAAACACAGGGCTCAGCATAGTCAGGCACCAGGCAGGGCCAAGGTGGGGACCAGGCGCTGGACCTGCAGTGGAAATACAGTCAGAGCAAGGGGGCTGCCCTGTACTTCCTGTTTCTAAGCTCACCATGGCCTGCCTTCACCTCTCGGTGGGTTGCACTGCTGCAGTATGGCTCAGTTGCCCTCCACGTCTGGTGCAGAGCCGCCACCCTAGGATCACTTCTCGCCATCCTCTGTGGGCCTCCCAGGCCATGTCTACTGTGTTGGGCTCCTGTTTGCTGTATCTGTGTCTTACTCTTTCATGATTTAGTCTTTCAATTTGGTGGAACACATCTTCCAGTAGCTTCTTGAGAAGGAGTATGACATTTAAATTTTTTAAACCTTTTTCGGCCAGGCACAGTGGCTCAGGCCTGTAATCCCACCACTTTGGGAAGCCGAGATGAGTGGATCACTAGAGGTCAGGAGTTCAAGACCAGCCTGGCCAACATGGTGAAACCCCTTCTGTACTAAAAATACAAAAATTTGCTGGGTGCGGTGGCTCACGTCTGTAATCCCAGTACTTTGGGAGGCCGAGGCAAGCGGATCACTTGAGGTTGGGAGTTCAAGACCAGCCTGACCAACGTGGAGAAATCCTGTCTCTACTAAAAACACAACATTATCCAGGCGTGGTGGCGCATGCCTGTAATCTCAGCTACTCGGGAGGCTGAGGCAGGAGAATCGCTTGAACCCAGAGGCGGAGGTTGCAGTGAGCAGAGATCGCGCCATTGCACCCCAGCCTGGGCAACAAGAGCAAAACTCCATCTCAAACAACAACAACTAGCCAGGTGTGGTGGCAGGCGCCTGTAATCCCAGCTACTCAGGAGGCCTAGACAGGGGAATTGCTCAAACCCAGGAGGTGGAGGTTGCAGTGAGCCAAGATCATGCCACTGAATTCCAGCCCGGGCGACAGAGTGAGACTCCATCTCAAACAAACAAACAAAAAACAAACAAACAAAAAAAACAAAAACACCTTTTTCTCACTTATTCTTGTTGTATAGTTAGGCTAGGTACAGAAGTCCAGGTTAGTAATCACTTTCCTTCAGAATTTTGAAGACATTGTTCCAATTCTCTTTTTGCTTCCTATGCTGCTGCCATGAAGTCCAAAGACATTCTGATTCTTGATATGTGACCTGGTACCCTCCCATCCAGAAGCTTGTAAATCTTTTCTATCAACTCAATGTTCAGAAATTCCATGCCTGGTGCAGGTCTATTTTCTTCCCTAGTGCTAGGCACAAGTACACAGTTTTAATCTGTTGGCTCATGTGCTTCTGTTATCAACTATTTTATAGGTCACTTCCCACCTTGTTTTCTCTCTTCCTGTAATTCCTATTATTCGGATGTCGGACCACTTACACTGGTCCTTAAATTTTATTGATATGCCTTTATTAAACAACTCTTATAATATTGTTAGAACATTTTTAGGGCATGTGGTTTATAAAATCACAGTTTCTGTCTCACTTTTCAAAAACTGTGGTCAAAGGCACAGAACATAAAATTTACCATCTTAACTTTTTAAAGTATACAGTAGTCGGCTGGGTGCAGTGGCTCATGGCTGTAATCCCAGCACTTTGAGAGGCTGAGGTGGGTGGATCACTTGAGGTCAGGAGTTCGAGTCCAGCCTGGCCAACATGGCAAAATCCCATCTCTACTAAAAATACAAAATTAGCCAGGCGTGGTGGCAGGCACCTGTAGTCCCAGCTACTCAGGAGGCTGAGACACAAGGATCGCTTGAATCCAGGAGGTAGAGGCTGCAGTGAGCCAAGATATCACCACTGCACTCCAGCCTGGGCGACAGAGTGAGGCTCCATGTCAAAAAAATTAGTAAATAAAGTATGCAATAGTGTTAACCAAATGCACATTGTTGTGTAAGTAGAACTTACTCATCTAGTTATATCCATGAACAACTCCCCTATCTCTTCCCCGAGCCCATGACAACTACCATTCTACTTTCTGTTTCTATGAGTTTATTTTAGACATCTCAAATAAGTAGAATCATGCAATATTTATTTTTTGTGACTGTCTTATTTCACTTAGCATAATGTCCTCAAAGATCATGTTGCAGCATAGAACAGTATTTCCTTCTTTTTTTTTTTTTTTTTTTTTTTTTGAGATGGAGTCTCGCTGTCGCCCAGGCTGGAGTGCAGTGGGACAATCTCGGCTCACTGCAGGCTCCGCCTCCCGGGGTTCACGCCATTCTCCTGCCTCAGCCTCCCAAGTAGCTGGGACTACAGGTGCCCACCACCTCACCTGGCTAATTTTTTGTATTTTTAGTAGAGACGGGGTTTCACCGTGTTAGCCAAGATGGTCTCGATCTCCTGACCTCGTGATCCGCCCGCCTCGGCCTCCCGAAGTGCTGGGATTACAGGCATGAGCCACCGTGCCCAGCCTATTTCCTTCCTTTTTAAGGCTGAATAATATTCTGTTGTATGGATATGCCACATTTTCTTTATCCATTCATCTGTGATGGACATTCAGGTCGCTCCCTCCTAGTGTGATCAATGAAGCCCTAAACATGGATGTGCAAATCAGGACCTCCTGCCTTACCTCTACCAACTCCACTTCCCAACTGGTCCTAGCCCAAAGCCATACAGCTTCTGACTCTCACTTCAGAGCACCTTCTATAATACCATTAACACACAGTCAACAGATGCTTGATGACTGCCAAATACAGCAGGTACAATGCCAGACTCTTGGTCTTGCTCTTAAGTTGCTCATAGTCTAATACAGAACAGCAAAAACACACTAATTAAAAGTGTGAAAGCCAGGTGCATTGGCACACATCTGTAATCCCAGCTACTAGGGAGCTAAGCCCAGGAGTTGAAGGCTGTAGTGCACCATGATAGCACCTATGAATAGCCACTGCACTCCAGGTTGGGAGACAGAGCAAGACTTCGTCTCTACCAAAAATAAAAATAAACCCAGCCTGAGACTCTGTTTCAGGGGTAGGCGGCTGGGAAATAACAAAGAAAGAAAGAAACAAGGTACCTCTTAACTGAAAGAATAGCAGGCATAATCAATAACCAATTTATAAGACTTGCTAAAGGCTTTTTGTTATATTTCTCACTGAGAGTGAAGACTAATGACTAGATAAATCCTTTTGCAAGTCGGATGGTTTCTAATTCTTAGTTTTCAATGAAATTAAAAGACTAACCAAGTTGTCAACTGATAAGTTAATTTTTGATTATATGTAACTGTGATTTTTTGGCACACAATTCAGGTTTCAAAATATTGAGTAACATTGCTGGCTAGGTGTGGTGGCTCACGCCTGTAATCCCAGCACTTTGGGAGGCCGAGGTGGACCAATTACCTGAGGTCGGGAGTTCAAGACCAGCCTGACCAACGTGGAGAAACCCTGTCTCTACTAAAAATACAAAATTAGCCGGGTGTGGTGGCGTATGCCTGTAATCCCAGCTACTCGGGAGGCTGAGGTGGGAGAATCACTTGAACCCTGGGAGGCAGAGGTTGCGGTGAGCCAAGATCACGCCACTGCACTCCAGCCTGGGCAACAAGAGCGAAACTGTCTCAAAAAAAACAAAACATTGCTATAACTAAACTTATTCCCTTTTTTTTTGAGACGGAGTCTCGCTCTGCCGCCAGGCTGCAGTGCAGTGGCACAATCTCCGCTCACTGCAATCTCTGCCTCCCAGGTTCAAGCGATTCTCCTGCCTCAGCCTCCCAAGTTGCTGGGATTACAGGCAACAGCCACCACACCCGGCTAATTTTTGCATTTTTAGTAGAGACGGGGTTTCGCCATGTGGGCCAGGTTAGTCTCGAACTCCTGACCTCAGGTGATCCGCACCTGCCTCGGCCTCCCAGAGTGCTGGGATTACAGGTGTGAGCCACCGTGCCCAGCCATTTTTTTTGGTTTTGTTTTTTTTTTTGAGGCAGAGTTTTGCTCTGTCACCCAGGCTGGAATGGAATGGCGCTATCTCAGCTCATCGAAACCTCCGCCTCCCCAGTTCAAGTGATTCTCCTGCCTCAGCCTCCCGAGTAGCTGGGATTACAGGCACATGCCACCACGCCCGGCTAATTTTTTTTTTTTTTTTTTTTTTTTGAGATGGAGTTGCGCTCTGTCGCTCAGGCTGGAGTGCAGTGGCACGATCTCGGCTCACTCCACGCTCCGCCTCCTGGGTTCACGCCATTCTCCTGCCTCAGCCTCCTCAGTACCTGGGACTACAGACGCCCGCCACCACGCCTGGCTAATTTTTTGTATTTTTAGTAGAGACGGGGTTTCACTGTGTTAGCCAGGATGGTCTCGATCTCCTGACCTCGTGATCTGCCCGCCTCGGCCTCCCAAAGTGCTGGGATTACAGGTGTGAGCCACTGCACCTGACCACGCCCGGCTAATTTTTATATTTTTAGTAGAGACGGGGTTTCTCCATGTTGGCCAGGCTGGTCTTGAACTGCTGACCTCAGGTGATCCGCCCGCCTCTGCCTCCCAAAGTGCTGGGATTACAGGCGTGAGCCACCGCGCCCAGCCATTATTACTTTCCTTTATAGTTTATTTATGTGAGCAAGAATTTCTGGGACTTAAATTTACAAAAACAAAAACAAGAACTGAACTGAGAACTCTTACTTTGGCTACAAGTAACTCCATAAATGACATGAATAAATCAAGGCAGGTAAGGGAGCCCTATCTCATTAGGGAGGGCATTTCTAATAAACTTGTACTTTTTTACATAATAATTACTTATAAAAATTTATAATGCGGCCGGGCACGGTGGCTCACGCCTGTAATCCCAGCACTTTGGGAGGCCGAGGCAGGCGGATCACGAGGTCAGGAGATCGAGACCATCCTGGCTAACACGGTGAAACCTCATCTCTACTAAAAATACAAAAACAAAATTAGCTGGGCGTGGTGGTAGGAGCCTGTAGTCCCAGCTACAAGGGAGGCTGAGGCAGGAGAATGGCATGAACACGGGAGGCAGAGCTTGCAGTGAGCCGAGATTGTGCCACTGCACTCCAGCCTGGGCAACAGAGCAAGGCTCAGTCTCAAGAAAAAAAAAAAAAATTTATAATGCATGCGTTGTTTTGTACTAAATTACTATAACTCAACTTGTTGAAATAAGAAATAGATGTAACAGAATCTTATAAATGCTACATCTATTATTCTGCATGAATCAACTTGAAAGAGAGCAAAAGCAGCTGGGCGCGGTGGATTACCTGAGGCCAGGAGTTCAAGACCAGCTTAGCCAATATGGTGAAACCTCGTCTCTACTAAAAATAAAAAAATTAGCCGGGCATGGTAGCTACTCGGGAGGCTGAGGCAGAACTGCTTGAACCCGGGAGGCGGAGGTTGCAGTGAGCCAAGATCGTGCCACCACATTCCAGTCTGGGAGACAGAGTGAGACTCCGTCTAAAAAAAAAAAAAAAATCCTGCCAAAAGGATCCAGCTTAATGGTGAAAGTAAATTTAAAATTTTTATTTTGGCCAGGTGTGGTGGCTCACGCTTGTAATCCCAGCACTTTAGGAGGCCGAGGCAGGTGGATCATGAGGTCAGGAGGTTCAAGACCAGCCTGGCCAACATTGTGAAACCCCATCTCTACTAAAAATACAAAAATTAAGACAGGCGTGGTGGCAGGTGCCTGTAATCCCAGCTACTCCGGAAGCTGAGGCAGGAGAACTGCTTAAACCCGGGGGAGTGGAGGTTGCGGTGAGCCAAGACCATGCCACTGCACTCCAGCCTGGGCAACAGAGAAAGACTCCATCTTGAAGAAGAAAAAAAATTTAATTTTTTATACCTCTTTTTGTTGCAAAGAAATGTGCTAGAATGATAAATAAAAGGCTTCCAAACATATATTACGTTAAAATAAAACATATTATGTGGGCTAAGTGTAAAAAGAATGCAAGTTCCAGGAGAAAAAGGAATTTAAAATTTCTGTTAAAGCATTCTTTAAACAGTTGATGAAAGATAGCATATCGCTAAGATATTCGGATTCCACTGGCTACATTTTAAAAACTGATGTAACCATTTTATTTTTAAATGATAATATTTATAATTCTCTGGAAGTTATATACCCTGCAACTATAAATAGCACCTTCTTTTAAAAGAGTTGATTCAAATTAAATATATGTAGCAATTATAAGACTGTTACCTAAATGTATTATTTCATATATTTAATTTAATAAAATTGAATTATGGTAACTTAGTTTACAATTGATAAACAAAAAAATGCATTATAAGTTTTCATAAGCTTAAAAACTTAAGATGAAAAGTGCTAGGTGTCAACTTAAAAATGTGTGAGCGAGGGCCGGGCGCAGTGGCTCACATCTGTAATCCCAGCACTCTGAGAGGCTGAGGCGGGTGGATCGCAAGGTTAGGAGATCGAGGCTGGCTAACAAGGTGAAACTCCGTCTCTACTAAAAATACAAAAAAAAAATTAGCCGGGCGTGGTGGTGGGCGCCTGTAGTCCCAGCTACTTGGGAGGCTGAGGCAGAAGAATGGCGTGAACCTGGGAGGTGGAGCTTGCAGTGAGCCGAGATCACACCACTGCCCTCCAGCCTGGGAGACACAGTGAGACTCTCTTAAAAAAAAAAAAAAAAAAAAAAAGCGTGGGGCAGGGGGTCGGGCATGGTGGCTCACGCCTGTAATCCCAGCACTTTGGGAGGCGGAGGCAGGCGGATCACCTGAGGCCGGGAGTTCGAGACCAGCCTGACCAACATGGAGAAACCCCATCTCTACTAAAAATACAAAATTAGCCTGGCATGGTGGTGCCTGCCTGTAATCCCAGCTACCCGGGAGGCTGAGGCAGGGGAATCACTTGAACCCGGGAGGTGGAGGTTGCAGTGAGCCAAGATGGTGCCATTGCACTCCAGCCTGGGCAACAGGAGTGAAACTCTGTCTCAAAAAAAAAAAAAAAAAAAAAAAGTGTGAAGGGGTTCACAGTATTTCAACATTATTTTGTCCAAACACCCAGTCTCAAATATAAGGCTTTTCATGACCTAACTCACCTTCTTGCCTTTAAGTCCCAAATTCAAAGAACTACTAGTGCTTTTGCTTAGTGCCCTAAAGGAAATCAAAGTCCTATTAAATACCACCTGATAAGAGCTCATGTCTTCATGCATAGCCGCATATTAAAGATTTGAAATGTTCTTTCTTTTTAGATGGAATCTTGCTCTGTCACCTGGGCTGGAGTGCAGTGGTACAATTTCAGCTCACTGCAACCTCCGCCTTCTGGGTTCAAGTGATTCTCCTGCCTCCTGCCTCAGCCTCCCAAGTACCTGGGATTAGAGGTGTGTGCCGTCACGCCCAGCTAATTTATTTTTATTTTTTTAGTAGGGACAGGGTTTCACCATGTTGGCCAGGCTGGTCTCGAACTCCTGATTTCAAATGATCCACCCACCTCAGCCTCTCAAAATGCTGGGATTACTGGTGTCAGACACTGAATGTGGCAAAAATGTTGGTTTTTTTTTTATTATTTATTTTGAGATGGAATCTCACTCTGTCGCCTGGGCTGGAGTGCAGTGTCACGATCTCGGCTCACTGCAACCTCCGGTGCCCAGGTTCTAGGGATTCCCCTGCCTCAGCCTCCTGAGTAGCTGGGATTACAGGCACGTACCACCACGTCCGGCTAATTTTTGTATTTTTAGTAGAGATGAGGTTTCACCATATTGGCCAGACTGGTCTCAAACTCCTGACCTCAGATGATCCACCCGCCTTGGCCTCCCAAAGTGCTGGGATTACAGGCATGAGCCACCGTGCCTGGCCAAAAATGTTCTTAATAAAGCAAATTAAGTTTGTTGGCCAGGTGCGGTGGCTCACGCCTGTAATCCCGGCACTTTGGGAGACCGAGGCGGGTGGATCACCTGAGGTCAGGAGTTCGAGACCAATCTGGCAAACATGGTGAAACCCCGTCTCTACTAAAAATACAAAAAATTAGCCTCAGCTACTTGGGAGGCTGAGGTGGGAAAATTGCTTGAACCCAGGAGGTGGAGGTTGCAGTGAGCCGAGATCACCCCACTGCACTCCAGCCTGGCGACAGACGGAGACTCTGTCTCAAAAAATAAATCAATAAAACAAATTTAAAAAATAAAATACATTTGTTTAGCCAATATGTGCAGATGCTCAGAGGGAAAAAGAATTGTTTAGCCCAGTGTTCCTCAAATGTGTTCCACTGTAACTTTCAACAGCCCATGAAATTAGTGTTCCATGGAACACCTCTGGGGAAAGCATCTGGCTAAAGCTTAAGATCCACCTTAAAAGTAAATTCTTTTTTTTTTTTTTTTTTTTTGAGACAGTCTCGCTCTGCCACCCAGGCTGTAGTACGATGTCACAATCTCAGCTCACGACAACCTCGACCTCCTGGGTTCAAGTGATTATCCTGCCTCAGCCTCCTGAGTAACTGGGATTACAGGTGTATGCTACCGTGCCCGGCTAATTTTTGTATTTTTTACCAGAGACGGGGTTTCACCATTTTGGCCAGGCTGCCCTTGAACTCCTGATCTCAAGTGATCCGCCCACCTCAGCCTCTCAAAGTGCTGGGATTACAGGCGTGAGCCACCACGCCTGGCCAAGAGTCAATTCTTTAAAGCCTTCCAAACTTCACCAAAAAGGCATCCCCCTTCCTCAATATTCTCACAGGCTTTAGCCCTGAACTCGGCTTTGCAATGACCTGTGTATCATCTGCTCCCACTTAGGCTCCGCGATACAGGTTCACCATCTACCACGATTCCTGGCTCCAGCAGGACTTCAATGTTGGTTGAAAGAACCACCAACTGAACGCTGGGAATTGTGGAAAAGGAGTGGAAAATTCCCAGGTTTTTACTCTGGATGACTGGGTTAGGGAAAATACTTAGAAGGAACATATGATTTGGTAGGAAAAAGGGAAAGTCCATTTTGGATATGTGGGAAATATATCCTGGAAAGATGAAAATGTCCAGCAGACAGCTGGAAATGTGGATTTGAAATCTGGAAGACAGATCTGGACTGGGGATTTGAAGAGTATTATTACAGGTGACAAATGAAGCTATGAAAGAATCAATAACATCACCCAGGGGAAAAAAAGAGTGAAAATGGCCAGGGATATAGTTGCCTAGAGAACACTAATATTTTTAAAGTGCAAAGAAAGTTTCTCAAGCCATAAAACTAGGAATTTCCCTTGAATACTCCCCTCTCCTGCCCGCAAAACAAAGCCATCTAGTCCAGCAACCCAGTCCTGTCACCTCTGCCCTCAGGAACTGTCCAAAACCCATCTCCTCTTCTCCATCTCCACTGCTACCACCAGCCCCAGCCCTGGCATCTAGAGAGCTACAAAAGCTTTATATGCATCCACTCCTATCCACACCAACCCCAGGCATCCTCCACCTAGCACCAGAACCATCTTCCAAAACTTAAAGATCGGCCGGGCACAGTGGCTCACACCTGTAATCCCAGCACTTTAGGAGGCCGAGATGGGCGGATCACGAGGTCAGGAGATAGAGACCATCCTGGCTAACACGGTGAAACCCGTCTCTACTAAAAAAAAAAATACAAAAAAATTAGCCGGGTGTGGTGGCGGGCACCTGTAGTCCCAGCTACTTGGGAGGCTGAGGCAGGAAAATGGCGTGAACCCGGGAGGCGGAGCTTGTAGTGAGCTGAGATTGCGCCCCTGCACTCCAGACTGGTCAGCAGAGCAAAAAAACCTAAGTTGGATCATATCATGTTTCTGCTCCCTATCCTGCTACTGCTTCCTACTGCACTTGATCTGGTCCTAGGTGCCACGCTGCTCCAGACACACTGGCCTGCTTTCTGTTCTTCATGCCAGCTCAGAAGGGTCCTAACTCAGACACTTGGTACTGGTGGTTCTCTCTAACTGGAATGTTCTAAGACTTTCAGCTGACTGACAGCCTCTCAATCATCAAGCTCAAATCAAGGCATCTTAAGCTACGACTGTCATTTAGTATCACATGACTCTGCTTTTAATTTTTGCTTAGCACTTATTATAACAAAGTTAACAAAAATACTGACCTCCTCTTTCTCCATGACAGCAGAATTTTAATTTGTCCTATTCGCTACTGTACACAGCAGTTCCCTTGGTGTCCATGGGGAATTGGTTCTAAGACCCCTGCCCAGCCTCGCCGGGACACCAAAATCCAAGGATGCTCAAGTCCCTTACATAAAATGGCCTAGTATTTGCAATAATATATACACATCTTCCAGGATACTTTAAATCACCTCTAGATTACTTACAATACTTCGTATGATAGAAATGCTATGTAAATGTTGTCATATTTTTATTTTTTATTTATTTTTGATGCAGGGTTTGGATGTCACCCAGGGGCTAAGGTGCAGTGGCGCAATCATAGCTCGCTGCAGCCTTTACCTCCCGGTCCCACGCAATCCTCCTACTTCGGTCTCCCGAGGAGCTGAGAATACAGATGCATGCCACCATGCTTTTATAGAGATGACATCTCACTATGCTGCTCAGGCTGGTCTTGAACTCCTGGGCTCAAGAAATCCACCAGCTTTGGCCTCCTGAAGTGCTGGAATTACAGGTGTGAGCCACCATACCCAGCTATATTTTTATTTTTATTTTTCTATTCTATTCTATTCCGTTCCGTTCCGTTCTATTCTATTCTATTTGAGAGATGGAGTCTTGTTATATTGCTAAGCCTGGTCTAAAACTCCTGAGCTCAAGCTATCCTCCCACCACAGCTTCCCAAAAGTTCTGAGATTACAGGCATGAGCCACCATGCTGAGCTGCATATTATAATTTGTGTTAATTGTTGTACTGTTATTTTTTTACTTTTTTTTCCAAAAAATATTTTCTATCTACAGTTGGTTGAATCCGCAGATGCAGAATGCGCAGATACGGAGGGCTGATTGTACTCTGGCCCACAGCAGGTGCTCAAATATTTGCTGCATGAATTAATAAGGGAAAATAGTAAGGAGACTGAGAAAAAAAGTCAGAAAGCTGAAAAGGAAATCAGAAGAGAGGAGAAGCTAAGAAAAGGAAGAAGTCACGAAGAATGATGACTAAGATGCCAATGAGGCTGGGTGTGGTGGCTCACGCCTGTAGTCCCAGCTACTGAGGAGGCTGTGGTGGGAGGATCACTTGAGCCTGGGAGGTTGAGGCTGTAGTGAGCCATAATGGTGCCACTGCACTCCAGCCTAGGCAACACAGTGAGACCCTGTCTCCAAAAAAAAAAAAAAGATGCCAATAAATTTGGCAAGTCCATCCTTGGTGTCCTTTACGGAGGCAACTTCAGAGTAATAGAAGAGGTAGAAGGCATATTACCATAGGCTAATGAGTAAATGAGAAGTTCAAGTGGGAAGGGCAAAGGGAAAGAAGAATATGGAATACTATTTTGACAGTGAGAAAACACAGGACTTGTCAGTGTGGAGAATATTTGTTCATAATTTCAAGCTGAAGGGAAAGACTCAGTTGGGAAGGGAGATACTGAAGACAAAAAAGGAAAGAGGGTTCTAGACAAGGTCTCAGGCATTACAGGAAGAAATGAGATCCTAAAGCCACACTGATCATCTTTTTAAAAAAACTAATGCCCCACATGATTACAGTACAGTATCTGTTTTATATTCAGAAATATCTACTTCCTGGAAATAATTTGTTATTTCATAATTCTTACAAGAGTTTGGTCTACAAAATTAACAGCTTTCTTAACTCTTAAAAGGTACACATGGGGTGGTTTGGCAGCAGAGAGCTATGAGGTGTGCAGCATACTCTCAGGTGGTTCAGAGAATAAAAGTCTGAGAGAGAGAGAAAGAGGCAGAGAGTGGGAGAGAGAGAATGTGCAAATGATAACAAATGGGGCACAACAGTGACAACAGGTAAATCTAGGTAACCAGATGTTCTTTGTACCAAACTTAGAGCTTTTCTCTAAGTTTGACATTATTTACAAATAAAAGGTTAAAAAAGAGAGAAAGAAACTTCACACACCTAAAACTAAGTAAGAAAATCAACTTTCGGCCAGGCAAGGTGGCTCACACCCATCTCTACAAAAAACTTTAAAACCTAGCCGGGTGCGGTGGTGCACACCTGTAGTCCCAGCTACTCAGGAGGCTGAGGTGGGAGGACCCCTGGAGCCCAGCAGTTCAAGGCTGTAGTGCCCCACGATCGCGCCACTGGGTGATAGAGCCAGACCCTGTTTCAAGAAAAAAGGAAAAGAAATGAAAACCTAATAGACTCATTCCTTGAAAATTAGAATAGAGAAAAAGCCTGAAACAGTGTTTCTGATTCATCTCTAACAGACTAAGCAGATAGTGGCTAAGACTTCGCTGTGGTGGGATATCCTAAGAAAACAATAATCTGAAGTGAAGTAAACTCTAGCAGTAAATCTGATCCCTTCTCAGTCATACAAATGGGTTGCTGGTGAAGTAACTATGAAATGACTGCCAAACAGTATATAGTTCACTTGGAAAAAACTTAAGAACTTATAATATTCCTTAAGTAAGAAATATTAATGAGATCAAATACATGGAGTTGTCAAAAATAACAATGACTAAGAGGTACCTTCTTTCCATCTCTTTCTGCAAAGCTGTTTTCTCCAAGCCAAAATCGTACATACTCAAGGACTCTCTTCCCCCCTGAATTGAAGGAGCCACTGTTTTCTTAATGATACTTATCTTCTGTTCCGATGACCCCATTCCAAGGCCAAAGAGCTCAGCTAGACTAACTTGGAGTCCAAATGCAAAGCGTCCCTCTTCCTAGCAGAGACACAGAAAAGCACATCCACCGTAGAGTTTAAACTCAAGAAATCCATAAGTCAAGGTTTAATGTGATAAAAAGACATCACCTTAACATGGCACATCTGATTAAGCTCTGATATCAAAAGGAATGACTGACAAATTAGATTCAAATTCTAACACACTCAGAATTAATTTCTCTTCAAACAGCATGCCCAGTTTCCCCCACTGACTCAGGACTAAAAAAAATCATACAGGGTCTAAATTCTTAGAACAACTTTAAACAAAAATTGAATCATTACTAATATACCTTTTTTTTTTTTTTTTAATTTGAGACGGAGTCTCCCTCTGTTGCCCAGGCTGGAGTGCAGTGGTACGATCTCAGCTCACTGTAACCTCCGTCTCCCAGGTTCCAGCGATTCTCCTCCCTCAGCCTCCCGTGTAGCTGGGACCACAGGCGCACGCCACATGCCCAGCTAATTTTTGTATTTTTAGTAGAGACGGGGTTTCACCATGTTAGCCAGGCTGGTCTCGAACTCCTGACCTCAGGCGATCCACCCACCTCTGCCTCCCAAAGTGCTGGGATTACAGGAGTCAACCACTGCTCCCGGCCCCCCTAATATACTTTCTAGGGAGGATTCAAGGCAACTATTTGTGTATTAAACTATGATTTTTATGAGCTTTCATTATTTACTTCAATTGCAATGACCACGAACTACTCTTAAAAGTCCTTCCTTACACAGGCCAAGCGTGGCGGCTCATGCCTGTAATCCCAGCACTTTGGGAGGCCAGTGCGGGAGGATCACAAGGTCAGGAGATCGAGACCATCCTGGCCAACATGGTGAAACCCCGTCTCTACTAAAATACAAAAAATTAGGGGAGCGTGGTGGCACAAGCCTGTAGTCCCAGCTACTTGGGGGGCTGAGGCAGGGGAATTGCTTGAACCTGGGAGGCGGAGGTTGCAGTGAGCCAAGATGGCACCATTGCACTCCAGCCTGGCGACAAAGCGAAACTCCCTAAAAAAAAATAACAAAAGTCCCTCCTTACAAGAGTTGTTACTATGAGCCATGAAAGGTGGCTCATGAAGTTACATCAACTTGCTTTTTGAAGTTAGTGTATAGGAGGAGAGATTACTGAGTAAAGCACTACCAAGTTTCTATCAATAACTCAACAAACAGGCACTTAAGATGCACCTCAGATGTGTACTACCCAAGTGTGAGCCCTCCCTGCCTCCAAGAGCTGACAGTCTAGTTGAAAAGATGCGACCTAAAGTAACAAGTGACCATGTGCTAAAAATAAATAGCATAGGCCGGGCGCGGTGGCTCACGCCTGTAATCCCAGCACTTTGGGAGGCCGAGGTGGGTGGATCACGAGGTCAGGGGTTCGAGACCAGCCTGCCCAACAAGGAGAAACCCTGTCTCTACTAAAAATACCAAAATAAGCCAAGCGTGGTAGTGTGCGCCTGTAATCCCAGCTACTCAGGAAGCTGAGGCAGGAGAATCGCTTGAACCGGGGAGGCAGAGGTTGCAGTGAGCAGAAATCATGTCACTACACTCCAGCCTGGGTGACAGGGCGAGACGCTGTCTCAAAAAAAAATAAATAGGCTAGGTGCAGTGGCTCACACCTGTAATCCCAGCACTTTGGGAGGCCGAGGTGGGTGGATTATCTGAGGTCAGGAGTTCGAGACCAGCCTGGTCAACATGGTGAAACCCCATCTCTACTAAAAATACAAAAATTATTAGCTGGGCATGGTGGCCAGCACCTGTAATCCCAGCTAGTAGGGAGGCTGAGGCAGGAGAATCACTTGAACCTGGGAGGCGGAGATTGCTGTGACCCTAGATCGCGCCATTGCACTCCAGCCTGGGCAACAGGGCAAGACTCCATCTCAAAATAAATAAATAAATAAAACAAATAGCATAGATAATATGTTTCCTAAATGTTTTGACAAAGGAGATTCTTACTGCTGTGGGTTAGGCTGGTCAGGAACTAGCTTTAAGGCAGAAGAAAGAGATAAGCTGGGACTGGCAGGGTGGCAGGATTCTGAAAGGGATGGAGGAGGGTCCCACAGGCGGCCTTTAAATTTATGAAATACTGTATTTTATTTATTTATTTATTATTATCATACTTTAAGTTTTAGGGTACATGTGTACAATGTGCAGGTTAGTTACATACGTATACATGTGCCATGCTGGTGCGCTGCACCCACTAACTCGTCATCTAGCATTAGGTATATCTCCCAATGCTATCCCTTCCCCCGAAATACTGTATTTTCATGTCCACACTCATTTCTTTTTATTCTTAAAAGAATCCTGGGGGCGGCACGGTGCGGTGGCTCATGCCTATAATCTCAGCACTTTCAGAGATCAAGTTGGAAGAAAGGATCACTTGAGCCCAGGAGTTCAAGACCAGCCTAGGCAATATAGTGAGACCCCATCTCTAACAGAAAAAAAACTTTTTTTATTTAGCCAGGCATGGTGATGTGCAGCTGTGGTTGATCCCAGTTACTCAGGAGGCTGAGGCGGGAGGACTGAGGAGGCTGAGGCGGGAGGATTGAGGAGTCTTGAGCCAGGAAGGTTGAGGCTGCAGTGAGACATGACTGTGCCTCTGCACTCCAGCCTGGGCGACAGAGTGAGGGGAGGGCGGGGAAAGAACACGGGGCGATAATAAGCCCAACATGCCCCTAGTTTACAGATGAGAAAAGTGAAGATGAGAAGGCTTGACCAGTTGATACAATAAGCAATGAAATCTGAGTGGTTTTTTTTCTTCTAACCCAGCAATCGAGGCTAGTGTGGAAGAGAATGAGAAAAATAATTCAACCAGAGCAGAGGACCTGTGAGGGACATTAAAAGATAGGTTAGGTCAGACTGGTCCCAAATGCCAAACTAAAGACTTTGAACTTCATCCTTTCAAGCAAGAGAAGGATTTCCAGCATTTCGAGAATAAGGGAGAAAGAAACTAAATGCCTACAGACTGGTTAGTTAGCTAGGGACAGGCACTGCAATAGCCCAGGTGAGAGATAATAAAGGTATGAATTTAAAAATACACATAACAAATTAGATTTTAACATTGGTTTTAAACTAAAATCCCCAAGAAAACCACTGAAAAACCTTGTCTCTTTTGTAAATCTGTTTCAGGAAGAAAAACCTCTAACCAACAAATTTCAGGAACATTTACTGAGAGCCCAAAGGGAGTAATAATTGACCAACAATCTAACATCATCAGAGATTTTAAACAGGCCTGATAAATTAAAACTAGAATTGTCAACAATATTGCAGGAATCTCAAGTTCACAAAGTTCAGGCTACCTAAACAAGGAATACTTATATGCAACTCATTGAACATTTTACTAAGTTTTCCAAAAATTTCTTGATTTTCCATTCAGAGGAGTTTCAGTTGGTCAACCAAAGGCCGACTTATTTCCACATGAAAGCCCTGATCCTGCTCACAGCACAGGATCTTGTAAAGGGCAAGGACCCAATAAACATTTGCAGAATAAATGAGGCCAGGCCTACGGTGCAGGAACTCCCTCCATCACAGGCGACTCGAATGCTAGTCTATTTCGAATAAAGATCTCAACATCCCGGAATCAAGTCTGGAAGAAAAACCCTCCGGTTAGCGTTCGCCAGCCTTCCCAGGTCGGGCCTCCTGCAAGGCCCTCAAGGCGCTGTTTTCCCAAAGTAACGCCACCGTGCCACTTCCCAAAGATGACAACCTCTCAGCTCCCTGCCATGTTACCCTCTCTCCAGCCAGATCCAGGAGTCGCGGACGCCTGGGGAAGTCTCCCAGCGGCCCGATCCGCGTCAGAGGAAGCGTTTTCGGGAGAGGGGGCTGCCGCCACGACAAGCGCCTTCCCGCGCCCTACTCACCGTGGCCGGGCGGCCGTGCTCGGGGCCGTCAGCGGCGTCCAGGCGCGGGGCCGGGGCGGCGGGCGCCGGGGCCGTGGCGGCGGGCGGCTGCCTGTGCTTCCCGGCGCGCTTGGCCTTGGCCTGGATGCAGCGCTGGTGCAGGGCGAAGGTGTGTTGGCGCTCCAGCTCCAGGCGCTCGGGCGACACGGCCTCGTAGCGGGCCTCGCAGGTGCTGTGGTGGCGCCGGCACAGCTCGATGCGCCGGCGAAGGCGCTCCATGACCGCGCTGTGCCGCGGCAGCGCGAACTCCGCCATGGGGCAGGTGGGCAGCACCATGGGCCGCGGGCTGCACGGGCCGGGCCCGGGGCCGGGCCTCTCGGGGCCGGCTGGCACTGCGGGCTTCGCTCCCCGCGGCTACCCCTCTCCGCCTCACGGCCGCGCCATGCCCCCGAGGGCAGCGGAGCGGGCTCGCGCGCGGCGGCGGGTTTTCCTCCTGCCCCGCTCGGCCCGACCCCCAGCCGGCGCTTGCTGCCTACCTCAAGCCTCGGCCTCTCCCCACCGCCCCGGCCCCATTGTTTTCCGCGCTACCGCCGCGGCCGCCATCTTAAAATTGTTTTCGGGCCTCTCGGAAGAAGGCGGGGCCTCGGTAAGAGACCTTGTGCATCACGACTGATGAGCAGGGGCCCTGGCCAATCAGAGAAGGAAGAACCGGCCGCCCGAGGGCGTGGGGACGAGCACGCAAGAGGCGCGCTCGGGCGCCAGAGCGGTATTTAAAAGGAATTCTCAAGCGAAGGGCGGAGGGAAGCCCCTGGGCGGGCCTTAGTCCTGGGGGCGGAGCTAAGCGTGACTGACAGGAGCCCGTCCAAGAGGCGGCTATTGGTTTCCTGCACAGCACCCGCTGAAGGCAGGCCCTTCCGGCTACCCCGAGAAAAGGGGAATCTGGCAGGCGAGTGCGGCGCAGCTGGCCAGTCCCTGTCGCCCGCCTGGCAGTACAGAGACCTTTTTTTTAAATTATTTTTTAAATTTCGACTTTGATAAACTCTAAGTAGCCACGCTATTTTAATGTCAGCCGTTTTACTTTGACCTTATTCCTTGTATCCAGCCCCATAATTGGTCAGAATCGTCTAGTGAGCTGGTAGTTTCCTCTTGCAACATTCCGAATCACTGGTAGTTTCCACCTATTTGTAAAAGCCCGAGCAAGTTTCAAAAGTGCAGTATTACTCACTACTTAAAAAAAAAGTCCAGAAGATGTGAGCAAAAGCATGCAAGAGTGCAGCTCCATTAGAGGGAACTGGAAATGCAAAGGACGACGTTTCACCACAACCACCGCCTTCCAGGCTCAAGCGATTCTCCTGCCTCAGCCTCTCCAGTAGCTGGGATTACAGGCATGCGCCACCACGCGCGGCTAATTTTGTATTTTTAGTAGAGACGGGGTGTCTCCATGTCGGTCAGGCTGGTCTCCCACTCCTGACCTCAGGTGATCCGCCCACCTCGGCCTGCCAAAGTACCGCGATTACAGGCGTGAGCCGCCGCGCCGGACCAAAAACAGTCCTTTAGGTAAAACTGAGTTACTCAACAAAACCAAACCAAGACAAATTATGCCCCATTATTAAAACTAATAGGCAAAGGGGAGTAGAGGGACTGGAGCAATCAAACAGTGTTAGTACTAAAACTAGATAGTGTGATGCCAAAGGATATCAGGAACTCTAGATATGGGCACTCTAATTGCTAAAAGGTTAAGCAGGAGGTGGCAGGAGGCTGCACATTGAGATACACCATCAGTAGTTCAAACATTCGTTACTCTAGCTTTTTACTAGGGCTCATGAGGTTTTATTTTAAAATCAAGAGAAAACAACAATCAAATATGTCTTCATACAAACGCAGCAGAAAAATACAAATCCTAATGTTTTAAATGGAGAAAGTGGGCCACCAAGGCAAAAGTGCCATAATGCAGTCCTGCTTTTTTTTTTTTAGCATTCAAACAAATTTTACACCAGAACTAAACTATTTCTTAATAGAAAAAATAGTAACTAGGAGCACTACATTCTGTGTACATACTTTTCTTTAGTATGTAATCTAAAAATTTAATAGCACATAAAAAACTGGGCTAACTTTCAAAAATACCCCTAAAGTATTTAAGTATATGTAAAATAATGGAGTCTGATTCTGAACAAATAATTTTCTAATAAAAATTTCAAAGTTCAATGGTTCCCCTAAGTCTTAAAGAATATTATCTACAAATTATCAGTAGCATTCCCTCCTTTTCTGAGCTGCTGTCCACACTATTATACAACAGAAACTACTGCACCGCAATCACATGGGCAGGAAGAGGCAAGGGCTAGACAGAAAAGACTGCATCAAACTCACGTGGTGAGATAAAAGTCATTATTTCACTGTCCATAATAGTTTCTGCCTAGTAGTGAACTCTCACATAGTGGCCAATTATACGAAGATCAACCCACTAATTGAACATAGTCACACACACACACTGAAGGTTACTATGAAGAAATTCAGTCAAAAGCAGACACTTAACACAGGGCTTTAATGTAACACCATTTAGTAACATGACAAATTGAAAAGTGAGGAGTACTTTGTGGATAAGAAAATGGAGGAACACATCTGATGGAGAGTGGGCATTTGACAACAATGGAACAGGTAACCAGCATGTAAAATCAAAATATAAGTGTCTTTTTAAGAGCTGAAAGCTGCTGCTGGTCATTCATTAATGTGTCAGACATTTAATCAGGATGCTGGACCTTCAAAATAACTGAAAAAAGAACCAAGAAAAGGCGTTTTTGTTTTCAACAAACTTTACTAAATAACCCTGGAAAGGCAATGAACGATCTGACAATTTAAGCTCTAATGATTTAAAGCTCAGCTAGAAGAAAGTGAGGCATGACATATACTGTCAACGGAGGGTGAAGGAGGCAGATTTCTGGAAATGCAATGATCCCACACATTTGCTTCAAGGAGAAACCTGCAGACATATTTTCAGGTCTTGCTAAGTAACAACTGTTTATTTGTAATCAATACATTTGGGAAAGTCTGCTATGTAGCTAAGGTCACTGTGACCACAGAACAACAGATGAAAAGGAAAAAGCACTGAACAGCAAGAAAAATACATCCCATCCTCAAAAGAATTTAAGTGAACAAACTTTAAAAAGAAAAAAAAATAGATACAGCCTTCATCTTTTACAAATATATTTCCTTCCCAATATCTTCCCAATATAAACACTGTGGAGTGTTTATATATTCAGTGCAAGAAACAGTATCATCGGTACATTTGAAAGCCTCTAAAGAACAACTGAAGCTAAAATAATATCTAACTCTGAATACGTTTCAGTGTAGAGTAATAATAACATTATTACACTATAGTGGTGTGGGAGAGGCTCTGATAGCACCCATCTGCATCCCGCATGAAAAAACAAACCTAAGATCACTTTTTTAAAAATTCTACAAGCCACGTTAAAAAAAAATTTGAACAGGACTGCTTTATTGTGTAATTTATGACACAACTGTTACATGAATTGCAAATGAAGGCTTAAAATATATAGCAGCTACAAAAAAAATCAGATAACTCATGCTTCATGTCACTCCTCCCACAAATACTTCTAGTCTGTTCAACTGCAGTCAATTCTGTATTGGTTTGCCTGTGAATTAGACTTCTCAAGTCTTTACACAGAGTAAAAGAAATGGATAAAAATCAAAGTATTTTTCTGTACTTTGTATCAATGTATTCTATTCTGTACTTTGACCCTGGAAAGGTATGGGTCTGCTTAAAAGAAAGAAGAAACATACACGTAATCACAATAAAGCTTAACATTATGCAGGGCTTATAATCATTTTCAGCAACGGACTGCAAGCTGCACTGTGAAGAAAATGCATAGCAGAGGAGAAAGCTGGGGATCTGAGGAAATAGGTAAGGAAAACAGTGTCAACACACAGTGGAAGAAGTGATGAAGACATCTATTCCGGAGCTCACGTGCCATGCCCTGCTAGCGTTCCTTAACAAGCCACCTGCTCCAGAAGGCCACAGCCTGACCCTCCCAAGTGGAATATAAATGCCCAAGTGCCACATGAAGCCACCTCCTCCACTACCTAAAAAGCTGTCTGGGAACTGAGCTACAGAACACACACACTTTCTGGTCTAACAAACATCAAGTGAAAGAATTTTTTCTTATATATCTATTTTTAATACAACTTAAACGCAACTTTTATATGAATTTGGGCTTCTATTCAGTCCCTCTCCTCAATTTCCTTAGGAGGAACTCAATAATGGAAGCAAACAAAACAAGATTCTAACCACAAATGACTGCACTTTAAACGTAATTATCAATTTTGAGGGACAGAGGTGTGAATGTTTTACAATACCAAACTTTAAAAAAAATCTATTATAAAAACTGCAACTCATCTCCCTAACATTTTTAAATGGTGGTATTATGTTTGCACAAACAGATTAATACATTAAATTAAGCCAAGATCTTAAAGACTGGCAAAGTTCTATCATTCTATTTTAAAAACAAAGATGTTAAAAAAAAAAAAGTTAGTTTGCTTCATGTTACATTTCACAACCATTATGTTAAATGTTTTCTTTTCTACAGAAACAGGGTCCTTTATATCACAACTGCAAGTATTTACTGCTAGATGTTTAAAGTTACACAGACTAGTGTTCAACTGGAGCCTGCTGATGGTGATGTCTTGAAGTTTTCTGAATGTCAACCTAAGGTGTGCCAGGTCCTCTCCTAGGACCACTCTTGCAGGGGAGGAGGGAGAAGAAATCACAGATCAAGCTCTTAAGATTGTTTCACTCTCTTCGTGGCTTTCTGTTTCTTGGTGATCTGTTCAAAATTTCATCCTCCTATTGATTGAAAAGAAATTCATTATAATTAGCACATTTAAAAAATAATAAAAGTTCACCATATTTTCAAGATCAGCCAGACTGAGGGTAACTTATTTGAGGAAAAAAATGAGGAAAATGATGAGAAGAAAATGCACCAAGAAGAATGGTTGTCTCAGAGGTGGTGGAATTATGCCTACTCTAATTCAGTTTAGTCTTTATTGTTTTCTATAAACATACACTTTTCTCAATCTAACCCATAAACATTTTCTTAAAAAAGGATCAGACACTGTGATTTCTTAATCTTGCTTAATCCCAAACAATCTACTGGCCTATGGCACACTAGCCCCATTCTGAGGATAAGAAACCAAGGATTCATGAAGATGGAAGGCTATCCAAGTAGACTGACTCCAAGGCTGCTGCTCTGTACTCTATCACAAGTTGCTAAGATTGTAAATTACCCTATGAAAATATTCCCTTTTTTTAAATGCACCAGCAACTTTTTAACGTGTGAGGGAGTTTGGGGGAAACATGGTCTCTACTTTTAAGAATTGCATTCTAGTTAAGACAGAACATATCCATGGAAAATATACAAAAGATACAGATAGCAATGATCTTTATTAATAGGAAGGCAGAGTTGTAGCTGAAAGTAAAACCTGAGGAGAGCTTTCCGGGAGAGACCAGATTTAGACACAGAGGTGCTGGGTAAAGGACTTTAGTAAGCAATGGTACATACAGACAGTGACTGTTCCCTTTCTCTCATACTCTATATATCCAATCTACCACAAAACCAAGATCCAGATCTCCAACTAGTTCTCATACCCTCTGTTCCTCTCCTGTCACCCTTTGTGGGGCCACCGTATCTTTCCTAGATGATTACAGGGACCTCCTAACTGGTCGCCCTGATTCTCCCTGGTATATAGGAAACACAGCAGACACAGTCATCATCCTGTGACACCTGTGTCCAGTAGCCTGTGATGGCTGCCCGCTTCACTAGGAGGGAAAGCCAAGTCCACACAACAGCCTGTCTAACCTGGAGCCTTCTCCACCCTTCTTTTCTCCACTCTCTCTGTCCACTCACCATACTGGCCTTGTAGACAACCACTTTAGGCCTCAATACTGGCTGTTCTCTGTGCCTGGAATGCTCTTCCCACTTACATCCCCATGGAAAAGTTCTCTACCTCTTTCAAGTGTTTGGTTCGATGTCATCTTTCGAGTAAGGTTTTAACATGGTGACCCGCCTACCTCTAGCACTTTTAGTATCTTTTCCTGTTTTAATTATTCATCGTTTCTTACTTCCTAATACGCTGTGTTGTTTACTTCCTTAAAATGTTTACTGCTCATTGCCTGTTTCCCCCAAGTAGAATTTAAGCTCCCTAAAGGCAGAGTATCTTTGTCTGTCTTACTCACTGACAATGCCTGGCACAAAATGGGCACTCAACAAATGTCAGTTAAATGAATGAATGAACCCATCTATGGACAACGGGGACAAAAAGTTTAGAACACAGTGATTTGTATAAGAAATACTTTTCAGGGCACAGTGAGGAGAGGCAAATAGACTGTTAATGACCCGAAGTTTCCTTCTTAGCAAGCATTTTATTTTCCCCCTATAACCTTCTGCTTATTTCAGAAAATGATTTTCAGCTAAAAAGATACTTCTGAGATTAATATGTAGCTTAAAATTATCAAACAAAACACTGACCTGTATCACAAAGAATCCCACTTCAACAAAATTGGCTTTAACAGAATTTTTACTGCCATAAGCCACTGTAAACTACCCTATTAAAATATTCCCTTTACATAAATGTACCTTCAGCTTGGTAAAACAAAATGTGTGACCCCTTTCCTTTACCTCTGCTTTAGGTTTTCTGTCTTCCTCCTCTTGACTGACAGTGCCACCATCTTCTTCAGCATCACTTTTCTGTTTCTCTTCTAAGACAGAAGTTAAACAACTGAGCAAAACCTTATTATTTTTGGTGATTATATATTAGCATTAGAACACATCTCTAGATCTACAATTTTTTTTTTTTTTTTTGGAGACAGAGTCTTGCTCTGTCGCCCAGGCTGGAGTGCAGTGGCGCGATCTCGGCTCACTGCAAACTCCGCCTCCCGGGTTCACGCCATTCTCCTGCCTCAGTGTTCTGAATAGCTGGGACTACAGGCGCCTGCCACCATGCCCGGCTAACTTTTTTTATTTTTAGTAGAGACGGGGTTTCACCGTGTTAGCCAGGATGGTCTCGATCTCCTGACCTCATGATCTCCTCGGTGGCCTCCCAAAGTGCTGGGATTACAGGCGTGAGCCATCGCGCCCGGCCACTATTTTTTTTGAGATCGACTTTGCTTGTCACCCAGGTTGGAGTGCAATGGCATGATCTCGGCTCACTGCAACCTCTGCCTCCAGGTTCAAGTGGATCTCCTACCTCAGCCTCCGGAGTAGCCGGGATTACAGGTGCCCACCACCACGCCTGGCTAATTTTTGTATTTTTAGTGAAACGGGGTTTCACCATGTTGGCGAGGCTGATCTCGAACTCCTGACCTCAGGTGATCCACCCACCTTGGCCTCCCAAAGTGCTGGGATTATAGGCGTGAGCCACCTTGCTCGGCCAACAATTTTTTTTTTTTTTTGAGACTCAGTCTCGCTCTGTCGCCAGGCTGGAGTGCAGTGGCGCAATCTCGGCTCACTGCAACCTCTGCCTTCCGGGTTCAAGTGATTCTCCTGCTTCAGCCTCCCGAATAGGTGGGACTACAGGCGCCCGCCACCATGCCTGGCTAACTTTTTTATTTTAAGTAGAGACGGGGCTTCACTGTGTTGGCCAGGATGGTCTTGATCTCTTGACCTCGTGATCCACCCACCTCGGCCTCCCAAAGTGCTGGGATTACAGGCGTGAGCCACCATGCCTGGCCAACAATTTTTTTTTTTTTTTTTTTTTTGAGACAGAGTCTTGCTCTGTCACCCAGGCTGGAGTGCAGTGGCCCAATCTCGGCTCACTGTAAGCTCTGCCTTCCCAGGTTCACGCCATTCTCCTGCCTCAGCCTCCTGAGTAGCTGGGACTACAGGCACCTGCCACCATGCCCGGCTAATTTTTGTATTTTTAGTAGAGATGGGGTTTCACCATGTTAGCCAGGATGGTCTCGACCTCCTGACCTCGTGATCTGCCTGCTTCGGCCCCCCAAAGTGCTGGAATTACAGGCGTGAGCCACCGCACCTGGCCAACAATTTTTTTTTAAGAGACAGGATCTCGCTGGGTCTGGTGGCTCACGCCTGTAATCCCAACACTTTGGGAGGCCCAGGTGGGAGAATCGCTTGAATCTGGGAGGCAAAGGCTGCAGTGAACCGAGATCACACCACTGCACTCCAGCCTGGGCAACAGGGCCAGACCATATCAAATAAATAAATCAATAAACAAACAAACAAACAAACAGCTGAGCATGGTAGCGCATGCCTGTGGTCCCAGCTACTTGGAGGGGTGCTGAGGTAGGAGGATCACTTGAACCTATAAGGTCAATGCTGCAGTGAACTGTGACTGTGCCACTGTACTCCAACCTGAGTGACAGAGTGGGACCTTGTCTTAAAAAATAAAAAAGAGAGAGAGAGAGAGACAGGGTCTCACTCTGTTGCTCAGCTGGAGTGCAGTGGCACTATCCTGGCTGACTACAGCCTTAAACTCCTGGGCTCAAGTGATTTTCCTGCTTCAACCTCCCAAAGTGCTAGGATTACAGGCTTGAGCCACCACGCCTGGCTAAAAACAATCCTTAACTTGACTGTAAAGGTTTAACAACATCGTAGGGTCTTGGCTTAAAGCAGATTTTCTGGACTCTGTTTCTTACCAAGTTTCTCTTCTCCTTCCTCCTCCTCATCTCCCTTGTCCTTTTCCTCTTCCTTCTCTTCTTCCTCTTCCTTCACATCCGGTTGAGGTGCATCAGTTTTCTTATACTCCATACCACTGGTCTGTTTCTGAAATGTTCCCCAAAGTACAATTTTGTTTACATGTTCATGTATTATGTTATATAATTCCTGAATGCCTACAGGCAAAGTTCTGTTCCAGGCTGTATACAGGGATAGATATACAGAAACGAATAGGATGTAATTCCTACCCTGAAGAGCGTGTATGTACGTGTGTGTATGCACATGTGCTTGTGTGTTTCAAGGTAGAACAATAAAAACAAAAGGGCCAGGCAGGAAAATAAAGGTCAAAAAAGTCAAGGTGACTGAGGCACCGATACACAGAATAGTGGCAGAGGCTGAGGCTGGAAAAGGAACTTGGGATCCAGTTACAAAGTGCTATGAATGCCAGATGAAGCATAATCCTCATTTAGCAGAAGTAGAGTCCAAAATAAGACTTTCTTTTTTTATGATAGCATGCAAAAAAAAAAAGGCTAAACAAGAAAAACTAACAATAAGGCTGTGGTACCCCAACATACTGTTTTGAGAGTGGGGAAGGTGAAGGCAGAATGGATAATGAGGAATCAAAGACTGAATTACAAAGAATAGAAATAGCTATGCCAGCAGGCAAAGCTGATTATTGCCCAAGTGGCTAGTTTGGTATCTAAGTTTATTGTTTTTTTTTAGAAAGTTGCTGCCGAACACTATGGAGAGTAACAGATTAGGATAAATAATAATAGCAACCAAGGGGCTATAAATCCTGCTCCCATCTGGGCACAATAAACGGCCACTGAGGAACAGTAAGTAAGGTTTCTGAAGTCAACACCAAACATGGCTTGGTCATTACTGAGCCACTACAAAGAAAACCTCAGGCAACATATCTTAGTTATTTTTAATAATCACTAGAGTGATGTCTCTAAAATTGATTCTAAAAAAAAAAACTTCCTACCTTTCCAGAACAGCAGAAGAGGATAACCAGGAACACAGGAAG
This sequence comes from Homo sapiens, assembly GCF_000001405.40. Classification (NCBI taxonomy): domain Eukaryota; kingdom Metazoa; phylum Chordata; class Mammalia; order Primates; family Hominidae; genus Homo; species Homo sapiens. The sequence continues at coordinate 489,317 of NW_016107298.1, read as the reverse complement.
GGCTACAGTTAGAATATAGACTACCCACAGCCACGGGCGCTCTTCAGCTGCCTCGATCATCTGCCCCACAACGCCTGGCTGAAAAACAAGACAGGGCTGATTGAAAGTTCCAGCTTTTGACACCAAACATAGGCCGTGCTGTTTTTCTGCAGTTCAGTTATGGCATGGCACTACGCAGGACCTTCTTTTTCAGAGAAAATGCTCATAAAATGTAAAAAAGAAATTAGAGAAAGCCTCCATCCTCTTGCTCTCCTTATAATCAAGATGATTTCACTCTCATAGGTGCAAAAGCTGGCTTCTACATCACCTGCAAAAGGCTCCCTTAACCTCAGGATCCAGTGAATTTCTTATCTCAGTATCCCTGGCTCTCCAATTCTTAAATCGGCCACATGACCAGTTGTTTGAAAATTCTGTATGTAGTGTAAACCGAGATTCAACATATAAGAGTGTATTAAAATATAGCCTAAATGACAAATTTCGAAATATATACCCAGACAAATAATAAAAAAAAAACCCTGAACACAAACAGACTCTAAAGCCACTACATTAGACTAATGAAATCATGCCCCAAAACCCAATATTGTGTCTTTTGCAGGCATATGGTTATACTTTTTATGCCAATATTGCCAAATGAAGAAAAAAAACCTTAACACAGACTTTCACAAAATAACAGCTCCTTACAATAACAGACACAAATGCACAAGCAGCAAACACGAACCTCAGCAGCCCCATCAGCAGCTTTCTTCAGGCCCCATCCATCATTGGCCCAATCATCAACTATTCTTCGATCAGCACAAATGATAAAGTTGTCAAAAAAAATGTCAGAGGTCATGGACCACAGCTCCAAACCAATAGCACTAAAAGGAGTCATTCTGAAAGGTTCCAGATCTTCAAAGAAATCTGGATTTGGTATTTTCCTGGGTTTCCAGATTCCCTAGAAAAAAAAATGTTTCAGAAAATCATTTCAGATAATGATCAACAAAAGTTTATGGTGAATCTACCGTAAGAGAAATTTTGCATGAACAATGGAGAGAAATGCCAACTTCATGAAACTTGAAATAAGCAACAGGAAAATAAATAACAAATGCTACAGATTATTTTACGCACTCTGCCTCTAAGACTGCAGGATTCCAACTACTTCCAATTTCTACTGTCACCCATGACCTTGGTCCAAACCAACCCCTCAAGTTCCTGGCCCATTCAACAGCCTCCACTCTTAGCAACTGCTAATGAGAGTGGGAGCATAAGTCAGTACGTACTTCTTCAGTGGTGATTTAAAATAAAACGCACATGATCATCAACCAGCAATTCACTTCTAGATAACTACCTAGAGAAATACTCACAACATACACCCAGACATGTACAAGGATTATTACAGCAGCAGTGACTCTGAAAGCAAAAGTGACAATCCACCTAAATGGCCACCAACAGGAGAACAACTAAAGGGCAACTTCTTTTTCACTGTAACTTCTGCCTCCTGTGTTCAAGTGATCCTTGTGCCTCAGCCTCGTGCCTAAGCAGCTGGGACTACAGGTGTGTGCCACCATACCAGGCCAATTTTTGTGCTTTTAGTAGAGATGGTGTTTCACTATGTTGGCCAGGCTGGTCTCGAATGGCTGACCTCAGGTGATCCACCCACCTCAGCCTCTCAAGTGCTGGGATTATAGGCGTGAGCCACTACGCCCAGCCTAAAGGGCAACTTTTTTAAAGTAAAACTTTTATCTTATTGTTTGACTACACAATTAAAAATACATTCACATAACATCTTTAACGACTATGAGGAAAAAAATAAAAAATTTACAAACAGAAAAACATATATTAGTATATGTATATATACATATACTATGCCAAGATCCTGCTGAAATGTTTTCACAGTATCAGACCAGCTTCTCCTGTTTCTGTATATGTATATACATATATTAGTATTTGTATATAAATAAAGTAGAAATTAATGATTATAAATAATTTTAATTGCCACTCTTTGTAGAGATTATAAATAATTTTACTTGGCTAGAAAGATAAAAGGAACAAAGGTCTGAGGGTGTACATTTTTGCATGAGGCCTAAAGCCTCACAACCTTACTACTTGTATCCTTACCATCTCTTTTGGGCCTCAGTCTTTTTATAGTTGCAAGCATTGAGGCCAAGCAGTGAGCTGACTTGATGTAGTCAAGATGCTGACTCAAACCACAGTCCTCTACCCACCACATCACAGATTGTCCAGACTCAGCTGTGGATCCTATGGCTGAAGCAACCCTGGCACCCAAGAGCAGGGTACCCAAATCAACAGTTTTCCATTTCTCTTTTGTTTTTAAATATAGTTACAAAGCAACTATGAAAGTTATTCTTGGCTGGGCACAGTGGCTCCCGCCTGAAACCCCAGGACTTCGAAAGGCGAAGGCAGCTGGATCACCTGAGGTCAGGAGTTCGAGACCAGCCTGGCCAACATGGCGAAGCCCCGTCTCTACTAAAAATACAAAAAATCAGCCAGGTGAGGTGAGCACACCTGTGAGCACACCTGTGCTCCCAGCTACTCGGGAGGCTGAGTCAGGAGAATTGCTTGAACCCAGGAGGTGGAGGTGGCAGTGTGCCGAGACTGAGCCATTGCACTCCAGCCTGGCCACTAGAGTGAGACTCAGTCTCAAAAAAAGAAAGTTGACCAGATGCAGTGGCTCACGCCTGTAATCCCAGCACTTTAGGAGGTTGAGGTGGGCGGATCGCGAGGTCAGGAGTTCGAGACCAGCCTGGCCAACATGGTGAAACACCATCTCTGCTAAAAATATAAAAATTAGCCAGGCGTGGTGGCAGGCACCTGTAATCCCAGCTACTCGGGAGTCTGAGGCAAGAGAATCGCTTGAAACCGGAAGGCAGAGGTTGCAGTGAGGCGACATCACACCACTGCCCTCCAGCCTGGGTAGAAGAGCGAAACTCCATCTCAAAAATAAATAAATAAATAAATAAATAAATAAAGTTAAAGAAAGTTATTCACTCCAGTTTCTAGGTTTATCTTTGCAATACCTAACCCATTAAGCTCTCTTTCAACTTAGGAAGTCTACTTTCTGCTTTTAATTCAACAGCTTGAATATAATGACCAACCTAGCAGCCTTACTCTAGATAAAACTTCTATCTGAATACAAACAGATTAATGAAAGCAACTCAACCATCAAGAGGCACAAACCTGGTAACTGGGATTGTCAATCATAGGAGGCTTCCATTTGCCTTTATAATTGGGGTTGTCAATCACAGGTCGCTGCCAGACACCACATCCAGGAGCTGACTCACATCTAGGGTTGGCAATCTGAGGAGCCTCCCATTCTCCATCCATGTCTTCATCCCTACGGAGGTACAAACAACAAATTATAAACAGGTTCTGTGATGCAGGACTATGAACAGCTGGCTGGCCCAGGGCTGCCAAGATCCTGCTGAAATGTTTTCACAGTATCCCAGACCAGCTTCTCCTGTATTTCCAGTAATAACAGTTTTTCAGGAAAAATTTATTTTTTAAAAAAGAAGAAAATATAATTAAAATTGTCAAATTCTACCCTGAAATTAGGGAACTTGGCTATATTTAAGTATTAAGATTGACTTCAATAAAAACAGGTAACTTATGCTGGGTGTGGTGGCTCACGCCTGTAATCCCAGCACTTTGGGAGGCCAAGGCAGACAGATCACTTGAGGTCAGGACTTTGAGACCAGCCTGGCCAACACGGTGAAAGTCCGTCTCTACTAAAAATACAAAAAATACAGAAATTTGCCGGGTGTGGTGGCACACACCTGTAATCCCAGCTACTCGCAAGGCTGATGGAGGAGAATCACTTGAACCCAGGAGGTGAAAGTTGCAGTGAGCCGAAACTGCGCCACTGAACTCCAGCCTGGGAGACAGAGTGAGACTCCATCTCAAAAAAAAAAACAAACAAAAAAACCAGGTAATTAAAAAAAGTTAACTGAAGTTCTTACCAATCCTCAGGTTTCTCTGCGTCTGGATCAGGTACGTACTCAGGCTCATCATCTAACCAGCCTTCGGGTTTTGTGGCCTCTTCATCTGGAATCTTAGCAGGGGCATCTTCATCCCTTAAATACAAAAGAAAAAGCCAGTTATGACAACACTGGTCACAGTATAGTACCACTTTGTGGATCAGAACAGAGTATTCTAAAAAAATTTGTTTTTAATCTCAAAATTTAAAATAATTCCTCTTAGAAAATACTTGTAAATCATATATCTGCTAAGGGCCTAGTAAAATAACTCTTTACAACTCAATAATATAAAGACAACCCAATTTAAAAATGGGCAAATGATTTTAATAGACATTTCTCCAAAGAAGACATACGAATGTAAAAATATACAATATGAACATACAATAAGCACACGAAAAGATGCTTAACATCATTAGCCATCAGGGAAATGGCAAATCAAAACGATACCACTTAGTACCAAGTTGGCTCTAATAAAAAAGACTCATAAAAACAAATGCTGGAAAGAACGCAGAGAAACTGAAACCCTCATACACTGCTGGTGGGAAAGTAAAATGGTACTGCTCATTTGGAAAACAGTTTGGCAGTTTCTCAAAAAGTTAGTTACCACATGACCCAGCAATTCCACTTTTAGGTATATATACCCAAGAGAAATGAAAATATATATCTATAGCTAGACAGAGTGGCTCATGCCTGTAATCTCAGCACTTTGGGAGGCCAAGGCAGGAGGATCACTTGAGGTCACACCAGCCTGGGCAACAAGGTGAAACCCAGTCTCTAGTAAAAAAAAAAAAATACACAAGGCCAGGTGCGGTGGCTCACACCTGTAATCCCAGCACTTTGGGAGGCCAAGGCGGGTGGATCACCTGAGGACAGGAGTTCAAGACCGGCCTGACCAATATGATGACACCCTGTCTCTACCAAAAAATACAAAAATTAAGCCAGGTGTAGTGGCTCATGCCTGTAATCCTAGCACTTTGGGAGGCCAAGGTGGGCAGATCACCTGAGGTCGGGAGTTTGAGACCAGCCTGACCAACATGGAGAAACCCCATCTCTACTAAAAATACAAAATTAGCTGGGCGTGGTGGCACATGCCTGTAATCCCAGCTACTCAGGAGGCTGAGGCAGGAGAATCACTTGAAACCGGGAGGCAGAGGTTGTGGTGAGCCAAGATCACGCCACTACACTCCAGCCTGGGCGACAAGAGCGAAGCTCCGTCTCAAAAAAAAAGAAAAAACATGCACAGCCAGGCACGGTGGCACACGCCTGTAATCCCAGCACTTTGGGAGGCTGAGGCTGGTAGATCACTTGACATCAGAATTTTGAGACCATCCTGGCCAACATGGTGAAATCCCATCTCTACTAAAAATACAAGAATTTTTTGTAGTAGTGCGCGCTTGTAGTCCCAGCTACTTGGAGGGTGAGGCACGAGTGCAGTGGTGCACGCTTGTAGTCCCAGCTACTTGGGATGCTGAGGCACGAGAATCGTTTGAACCCGGGAGGCAGAGGTTGCAATGAGACGAGATCGTGCCACTGCACTCCAGCCTGGGTGACAAAACGAGACTCTGTCTCAACAAACAAACAAAAAACCCATAAAAATTAGCCAGGCGTGCATACCTGCAGTCCCAGCTACTTGAGAAGCTAAGGCGGGAGAGGATCGCTTGACCCCAGAAAGTGGAAGCTGCAGTGAGCCGTGACCGTACCACTGTACTCCCACCTGGGCAACACAGAGATCATGTCTAAAGAAAAGAGGCCAGGTGTGGTGGCTCACGCCTGTAATCCCAGCACTTTGGGAGGCTGAGGCGGGTAGATCACCTGAGGTCAGGAGATCGAGATCAGCCTGACCAACATGGTAAAACCCCGTGTCTACTAAAAATACAAAAATTAGCTGGGTGTGGTGGCATGCGCTTGTGATCCCAGCTACTTGGGAGGCTAGGGCGGGAGAATCACTTGAACTCGGGAGACAGAGGTTGCAGTGAGCCGTGATGGCGCCACTGCACTCCAGCCTGGGCGACAGAGCTACACTCCATCTCAAAAAAAAAAAAGCAAGAAAAGAAAAAACATATTTATGTAAAAACCAGTACATGAACATTCATAGCAGCATTATTCATAATCACAGACAAAAAGGAGCAAACAACCTAAATGTCCACCAAAGGATGGATAAATAAAATGTGGCATTATCAAAACAGTAGAATTTATTCAATCATAAAAAGGAATGCAGTACTGATACATGCTTCAACACAGATAAACCTGGAAAACACTGTGCTAAATGAAAGAAACTGGACAGAGAAAGCCACATACTGTATGATTCCATTTTATATGAAATATACAAAGTGGACAAATGTAGAGAGGCAGAAAGCAGGTTAGTGGTTGCTGGGAGTTGGGGGAGGAAACAGGGAGTGGCCGCTTAATGGGTACAGGGGCCTTCTTAGGTGATAAAGCTAGTTAAGGAATATAATACTGAACAAGGCTAAGTCCAAATCTAATATACACCAAATATACAAGTAAACTTGGCATTTATACTAGTGCAGTACAAAAGTTCAGTTATATGTATCTTACCTTTCAAGGAGGAAAAAGATAATCTAGAATGTAATTGCTAAGCATAGGAGGATATTTTACAAAGGGTAAGAATTTCTTTGTTCACTTTCTGACATTTCTGGAGTCACTGTGTGAAGTTGCAAGTTCAAAGACAGCCATATACAAGAATACAGCCCCAGCTATCTTCATTTCTCCTCACTCTTCAATGTGCACCCTACATAAAAGGCCATGTAATTTCTCCCTCGCATGTCAAGCTCATTGCTGCTCCTCTACTTCTGCATACGACATTCTTCAATCAGAAACACCCCTTCCCATATTCACCAACTCCTTAATTCTCACCTCACTGCCAAGTCTCAATCTGATTTGCCTTGCTCCAAGAAACCATGCCTAGTTTAGGTACACCTGGTGCTCTGGTCTCCTGTGGCACCTTCTCATGAACCCTTACGATACCACATGCCAACATCATGCCTCACAACTGGACTTCAAGCTCTGTGTAGGCAGATGGTGGTGTCCTTGTGGCTTTGTATTCTACCACCCAACCCACAGCAGAGAATTGACTGTTGTTTAAATAGGAAAAAGGTTATTTTTCAAATTAAAATTTAGCATTTCAGAACTTTGGCTTTAAATGTGAGTTCACAGAAGCCCTGGAGTAGCCAGGTTAAAGGACCTGAGATTCTGCCACAAACCAACAGTGTCACCACAGACAAACTCTTATCAAGTGTGGCATTCTGTGGCTTGTAAAATGGTGAGTCAATCCAGATGATTACACTATGGCCCCTTTCCAGCTATAGTACTCTATATTTTCCCTACAGATTAGACTGCATCATGGATTACTGAAATTATCAGAGCTTACTCAACCAACATTTCGTTGTTCAAGCCACATGGAATATATGAAATGCTCCCTTACACTTGAAGACAGTTCCCCAAGACTCACCAGTCATCTGGCTTGACAGCTTCTGGATCTGGGATTTTTGGTCTTTCATCCCAATCCTCGGGCTTCCGGTCTTCTGGGTCCTCAATTTCACGTGAAGGATTTACAGGAGGAGTCATGTCATTGAGCAGATTTCCACTATTCACCACAGATTGGTCAACCAGTATTTCAAAACTATTATCTGGATTCAAGACTGAAAGAAACATTAAATGGAATTAAAAGTACTTAATTTTCCAAGCTCCCTTTACCATAATACAAAAGATCATGACTTCTAACGTGAAGCAGCAGAAGTCTGACCTGAGGCTTTGGGGTAAGAACAATGCCTGGCTCCTGGGGTCTTGGGGAAGCTAACGCCCATTTCCTTATGCACGAAACATAAATGATTAGTCCCTCGGCTTTCTAAGAATTACAGCAAATGATAGTTAAAATCTTTAACACCAAAGACTTGACTTATAGACACTAAAAAAAAAAAACAAAAAAAACAAGAAACTACATAAACTAACACAATTATTGGGCTTACACATATACACCAGTGAGAAGACAAATACGTGGACTTACAACTACTTCCCAGTACAAAAGGTCCATTTCTTCATTTTTAATAGAGCTGGTATTATTACGTTACTGAAATTACACAAACCTCCAATTTATTAAAACGCATGTCCACTCATGATTCTACTTTCTACTTTTTAACTCCCATGGAGAATGAAAAAACAATTTTAAATCCATAAAAGCATTTTTTAAAATTTTATTTTATTTTTTTGAGACAGAGTCTCGCTTTGTCTCCCAGGCTGGAGTGCAGTGGTGTGATCTCGGCTAACTGCAACGCCCGCCTCCCAGGTTCAAGCGATTCTCCTGCCTCAGCCTCCGCAGTAGCTGGAACTACAGACGGCCCCGTGCCACCATGCCCAGCTAATTTTTTGTATTTTAAGTAGAGATGGGGTTTTGCAATGTTGCCCAGGCTGGTCTCAAACTCCTGAGCTCAGGCAATCTGCCCAACCTCAGCCTCCCAAGGTGTTAAGACTACAGGTGTGAGCCACCGTGCCCAGCCACATGGGCCCCATAAAAGCATCTTAAGTGTGATGTATATTAAAGCCCAGATTCCACACCTAGATATCTAATACACAGGAGACTGAGTTACAGCACATCCAAACAAGGAATCCTATGCTGCTGTGTCAGTGATAATGAAAATGAATATTTCTGTGAGGAAGAACTTCACACTCTTTTGTTGTTAAGAAACGGGTGTGGTGGCTCATGCCTGTAATCCCAGCACTTTGGGAGGCTAACGCAGGTGGATCACTTGAGGCCAGGAGTTCGAGACCAGCCTGGCCAACATGGTGAAACCCTGTCTCTACTAAAAATACAAAAACTAGGTGGGCATGTTGGTGCACACCTGTAAACCCAACTACTTGGGAGGCTAAGGCACAAGAATCGCTTGAACCTGGGAGGTGGAGATTGCAGTGTTTCTGTCTCAAATAAAAAAGGGCCGGGCGCAGTGGCTCACGCCTGTAATCCCAGCACTTTGGGAGGCCGAGACGGGCGAATCACGAGGTCAGGAGATCGAGACCATCCTGGCTAACACGGTGAAACCCCGTCTCTACCAAAAATACAAAAAATTAGCCCAGCGTGGTGGTGGGCACCTGTAGTCCCAGCTACTCGGGAGGCTGAGGCAGGAGAATGGCGTGAACCCGGGAGGCGGAGTTTGCACTGAGCGGAGATCGCACCACTGCACTCCAGTCTGGGAGACAGAGCGAGACTCCGTCTCAAAAAAAAAAATAAAAATAAATAAAAAAATAAAAAAGTTAGATATAGCATGTAAAGTTGTATATGTGTATATACACATATTGACAAATATATATCACAATGCTGATGTTTAAGATAATTTTAAGTGACTTCTTTGTGTATGTTTTGATTGACATATCGTACTTGTACATATTTTCGGGGTACGTGTGATATTTTGATACATGTATATAATGTGTAATGACCAAATCACAGTCATTGGACGGGCCCAGTGGCTCATGCCTATAATCCCAGCACTCTGGGAGGCTGAGGCAGGCCCATCATTTGAGGTTGGGAGTTCGAGACCAGCCTGACCAACATGGTGAAACCCCAACTCTACTAAACATACAAAAAAATTGGCCGGGCATGGTGGCGCATGCCTATAGTCCCAACTATTCGGGAGGCTGAGGCAGGAGAATCGCTTGAACCCGGGAGGCAGAAGTTGCAGTGAGCTGAGATCAGGCCACTGCACTCCAGCCTGGGCAACAGAGCGAGACTCCCATCTCAAAAAAACAAAAAGAACAAAACAAAACAAAACAAAACAAACAAATCACAGTAATTGAAATATCTGTAACCTTAAACATTTACCTTTTCTTTCTATTTTATAGAGACAGAGTCTCATTCTGTGACCCACGCTGGAGTGCAGTGGCCCAATCATAGCTCACTGCAATCTCGAATCCTGGACTCAAGGGATCCTTTTATACCACAGCCTCCCGAGCACCTGGGACTAGAGGTACATGCTACCAAGCCTGAATAATTATTTTTTTTGTAGGAACAAGGTCTCACTATGCTGCCCGGGCTGGTCTAGAACTCCTGGCCTCAAGTGATCCTCCCACCTCAGCCTCCCAAAAGCGCAGGGATTATAGGCCTGAGCCACTGCACCTGGCTCCATTTACTTTTTCTTTGTATTGGGAACAGTACAATTCTCTTCCAGCTCTTCTGAAATACACCATAAATTGTTCTAACTATAATTTCCCTACTGTACTATCAAATATTAGAATTTATTCCTTCTACCTTATTTCTGTACCAATTAACCAACTTGTCTTCAACCCCTCTCCCTCGCTTTAAGTGTTTTCTTTTTGCTTACTTATGGCTTCTGAATTTCTATACCTTAAATATGTATTACTTTTGGAAATAACAAAAAAAGGTTAAGCTGGGCTCAGTGGCTCACGCCTGTAATCCTAGCACTTTGGGAGGCCGAGGTGGGCGGATCAACAGATGGCCAAGAGTTTGAGATCAGCCTGGCCAACAAGGCTCTACTAAAAATACAAAAATTAGTTGGACATGGTGGTGTGTGCCTGTAATCCCAGCTACTGGGGAGGCTGAGACGGGAGAATCACTGGAACCTGGGAAGCGGAGGCTGCAGTGAGCCAAGATGGCGCCACTGCACTCCAGCCTGGATGACAAAGCAAGACTCCGTCACAAAAAAAAGAAAAAAAGGTTGTTATATTCTAGGCTGGGTACAGTGACTCACACCTGTAATCCCAGCACTTTCAGGAGCTGAGGCGGGCAGATCACTTGAGGTCAGGAGTTCGAGACCAGCCTGGCCAACATGGTGAAACCCGGTCTCTACTAAAAACAGAAAAATTAGCTGGAAAAAAAAAATAATAATAATAATAAAAAAAAGAAAAATTAGCTGGGCATGGTGGCACAAGCCTGTAATCCCAGCTACTCAGGAGGCTGTGGCAAGAGAATCGCTTGAACCCGGGAGGCAGACGTCACAGTAGGCCAAGATCACGCCACTGCACGCCCACCTGGGTGACAGAGCAATACTCCGCCTCAAAAAAATTAAAAAGGTAGTCCAGGCGCGGTGGCTCACGCCTATAACCCAGCAGTTTGGGAGGCTGAGGCGGGCAGATCACCTGACGTCGGGAGTTTGAGACCAGCCTGACCAACATGGAGAAAACCCATCTCTACTAAAAAAAAAAAAAAAAAAATTAGCCAGGCGTGGTGGCACATGCCTGTAATCCCAGCTACTTGGGAGGCCAAGGCAGGAGAATCGCTTGAATGCAAGAGGCAGAGGTTGTGGTGAGCCAAGATCACACAATTGCACTCCAGCCTGGGGAACAAGAGTGAAACTCCATCTCAAAAAAAAAAAAGGTTATTATATTCTTCAGAAAGAGGCATGCCTATTTATGATCTCAAACTAGCAGGAAAAGCTTCAATAAACAAACAAACCAAAAAAAACCCTGTATCAAAATGATTCAACTCAATTGTCAATTGTCCAGGTATTGGAGCATCCAAATAAGTTCAACTACAAGATACTTCTGAAAAACTATTTTTATTGGATTTATGTATAATTATAAATATAACTTATTCTATTATTCAACATTTCTCAACAACAACAACAAAAAAAAGGAAGAAATTAGATCAGCAAAGCTCTTTGTAGAAAAAAAAAAAAAAAACACCTTTTTTTTTTGGAGTGGGGGACGGAGTCTCACTGTGTTGCCCAGGCTGGAGTGCAATGGCATGACCTTGGCTCACCGTGACCTCCGCCTCCCGGGTTCAAGTGATTCTCCTGCCTCAGCCTCCTGAGTATCTGAGATTATAGGCGCCCACCACCCCACCCGGCTAATTTTTGTATTTTCAGTAGAGATGACGTTTCACCATGTTGGCCAGGCTGGTCTTGAACACCTGACCTCAAGTGATCTGCTCGCCTCAGCCTCCCATCGTGCTGGGATTACAGGCATGAGCCACCATGTCCAGCAAAAAATACCAATTTTTTTTTTTTTTTTTTGAGACAGAGTCTTCCTGTCGCCCAGGCTGGAGTGCAGTGTCACAATCTGGCTCACTGCAACCTCCGCTTCCCGGGTTCAAGCAATTCTCCTGCCTCAGCCTCCTGAGTAGCTGGGATTACAGGCACCCTCCACCATGCCCGGCTAATTTTTGTATTTTTAGTAGAGATGGGGCTTCACCATGTTGGCCAGGCTGGTCTTAAACTCCTGACCTCAGGTGATCCGCCCACCTCGGCCACCCAAAGTGCTGGGATTATAGGCACGAGCCACCATGCCTGGCCAAAAACACCTATTCTATTCTTAAAATTATCTCGAACCTCAGTTCCTGTGGAAAAGAAGTTTTTTGGGTTTTTTGTTTTGTTTTTTGAGACAGCATCTCACTTTGTCACCCAGGCTACAGTGCAGTGGCAAGATCATGGCTCACTACAGTCTCGACTTCCTGGGCTCAAGCAATCCTCATACCTCAGCCTCCTGAGTAGCTGAAACTACAGGCACATGCCACTATACTCAGTTAATTCTTAAGATTTTGTAGAGACAGGGTCTGACTATGTTGTCAGGCTGGTTTGGAACTCCTGGACTCAAGCAATCCATCCGATTCAGCCTCCCGAAGTGTTAGGATTACAGGTGTGGGCCACCATACGTGGCCAAGAAGCTTCTTTTAATGCTGACAAATTAAGGTCATTTCCCAACTAAGATACTAAAGTGAAGAGATTCTTTTCTTTCGTGGAGGGGGTACAGAATCTTCCTCTGCCACCCAGGCTGGAGTGCAGTGATACAATCTTGACTCAACTGCAACCTCTGCCTCCTGGGTTAACGTAATTCTGCTGCCTCAGCCTCCCGAGTAGCTAGGATTACACCAGCTACTCAACACCACGCCCAGCTAATTTTTGTATTTTTAGTAGAGACGGGGTTTTACCATGTTGGCCATGCTAGTCTCGAATGCCTGATCTCAAGTGATCCGCCCGCCTCAGCCTCCCAAAGTGCTGGGATTACACGCATGAGCAACCATACCAGGCTGAGATTCTTCTTGTTTGGAGGCTGGGGTACTCTCCAGATATACAATCTTTTTTTTTTTTTTTTTTTTTTTTTTTTTTTTTTTGAGATGGAGTCTTGCTCTGTCTCCTAGGCTGGAGTGCAGTGGCGCGATCTCGGCTCACTGCAAGCTCTGCCTCCCGGGTTCGTGCCATTCTCCTGCCTCAGCCTCCCAAGTAGCTGCGACTACAGGTGCCCACCACCACGCCCGGCTAATATTTTTGTATTTTTAGTAGAGACGGGGTTTCACCATGTTAGCCAGGATGGTCTCGATCTCCTGACCTTGTGATCCACCCGCCTCGGCCTCCCAAAGTGCTGGGATTACAGGTGTGAGCCACCACGCCCAGCCTTTTTTTTTTTTTTTGAGATTGAGTCTCACTTTCGCCCAGGCTGGAATGCTGTGGCACAATGATCTTGGCTCCCTCCCAGGTTCAAGCAATTCTCCTGCCTCAGCCTCCCAACTAGCTTCGGTTACAGGCGTGCACCACCATGCCTAGCTAATATTTGTATTTTTAGTAGAGGTGAAGTTTCAACATTTTGGCCAGACTGTTCTCGAATTCCTGATCTCAGGTGATCTGCCCATCTCGGCCTCCCAAAGTGCTGGGATTACAGGCGTGAGCCACAGTGCCCGGCCAGATATACAATCTTTAAATTAAATGGATGATATATATGTAATACCATAAGCCCCCAAACTAATGCTTTTTCTTACTTAGTGTGTAAAGATGTGTTTTCTTATCAGTAAAATAGGTCTTCAGATCTGCATCTGGCCTCTTAGCATGTTTTTCTTCATAGATACCCGTTTTGGGGTTTTTGTGTCGGAAGATGAAGTGCAGTTTATAGTCCTCTCCACATTTATCTGGACCAAACATAATCGTATAAGGGGTCTTGTCATGGAACTGATCCTTCAAAAACAAAAAAGGATTATTTGAAGTCACTGTACTCAAAGTGTTCAAAAGCAACGTTTCAAAAGTGTATGATAATTCCTCTTATAAAATTCCAAATATATTAGTGACAGTTAAAGGAAAAGCTAACTACAAGTTTGTTTAGTAAAAAGGAATAACCAGCAATCATCAGTAAATTTAAAATAACGTTTAAGTGTCTAAAAAAAAGTAATGCACACATCTAGACAGTTATTGCTTCCTCATAAAACAAAGAAATAAGCTTGCCAAAACTAAAACTTACACAGAAGCAAAACCAGAAATTCAGATAAAAACAGTTGGTAACAACTTTGTAATTTACACTTCAAATAAAAAGCACGTTAGCGTCAAAGTCAATTTTCCCAACTCATCAAAAGAGTTAAACAGCAGGGGAGGAAGCCTTTATTTTCACAATTATTACAAAATTCTCTTTTTTTTTTTTTTGAGATGGAGTCTTGCTCTGTCGCCCAGGCTGGAGTGCAGTGGCGCAATCTCGGCTCACTGCAAGTTCCGCCTCCCAGGTTCATGCCATTCTCCTGCCTCAGCCTCCCAAGTGGCTGGGACTACAGGCGCCTGCCACCACGCCTGGCTAATTTTTTGTATTTTTAGTAGAGATGGGGTTTCACCATGTTAGCCAGATAGTCTCAATCTCCTGACCTCGTGATCCGCCTGCCTTGGCTTCCCAAAGTGCTGGGAGCTAGGATTACAGGCGTGAGCCACCGCACCCGGCCCAATTACAAAATTCTTACAAGGTAATAGTGGGTGTCCAGCCACATTCCAGAAATGGGAATTACATACCAGGTTGAGTTCTGGTGTTTTAGAAAGCAGTTTCACATAGGCACCACCACATTCTATTCCATTTTGGAAATTAACCTCATACCTAATATCAGAGAGAAAAGCAGAAAACTGTATGGCATTTTGAAAGATCGAAACTCTCTTAATGTATTTCCTCTCTCCCTCATCTTAGTCACGTTTTATCATAGGTCAAATGTTTACCCTTACAAAGGATTCCATCTTCTATTGTTTTTGAATAGTTATCAAATGCCACAAAAATAAATAAAATTAAATTGAACATTAATGCAGATTTCCAGTAAATTTGTTCTGCAAAATCTACAAGTTATTTAGAGTCAGGAAAATGAGTAACCAGTTTCTTTCAAAATAATGCATTAGGCAGGAAAAACTATTAATTACTAGTTTTGTAATTAATTAATTACAAAAACTATTAATGCAGATTTCCGGTAAATTTGTTCTGCAAAATCTACAAGTTATTTAGAGTCAGGAAAATAAGTAACCAGTTTCTTTCAAAATAATGCATTAGCCAGGAAAAACTATTAATTACAAGGTGTTTAAATTCACCCAAAAATCCCTACCACCACTTATATAATCTCATAATTTTTTAACATAGAGTAAAAGTTACATAATGTCTTCTAAGATTACCCTTTGCAGAAAGCTTTTATCCAACAAGCATTTCACTTACTGAACAATGAGAGGCTTGGTGTCAAACAGGAAGGGCTTGTTCAGTTTAGCAGAGATGGCATGATGCTTGGCCCGAGACATCAACACAAGTCCTTTATCACCTGGAAGCTTTGACTCCTTCATTTCCTCTACCTCCCACTTTCCTACAAGACAACACAAAAAAGTTCCACTGCTTAACTCTACCTCTGAAGGTCCTTTAAATGCCAAAAAAAACACCTCCTAGTTGCATAAATATATTATACTGGGGCAGCCGTGGTCGCTCACACCTATAATCCCAGCACTTAGGGAGGCTGAGGGCAGGCGGATCACTCGAGGTCAGGAGTTCGAGACCAGCCTGGCCAACATGGTGAAACCCCATCTCTAATAAAAACACAAAAATTAGCCGGGCGTGGTGATGGGCACCTGTAATCCCAACTACTCGGTAGGCTGAGGCAGGAGAATCGCTTGAACCCAAGAAACAGAGGTTGCGGTGAGCCAAGATCACGCCACTCTATTCCAGAAGCCTGGGTGGCAAGAATGAGACTCCGTCTCAAAAAAGTAAATAAATAATAAATAAACACACTTTATTTGGCAAATATTATTCAGATATGGCTTTTTAAAACTGTAGTGTATTATACTACTGTCTAGAAATTTCCAACATTCAGTAGCACAGGTGATTAAACAGATCTAATCCTATTAAATATAAGGCTACACATGCACCCCTGAACCTTAAATAAAATAAAAAAAAAAAAAAAAAATTAGGCAACACACAAAGGTGGCAAAACTTCCATGGAAAAATCTTTTTTTTTTTTTTTTTTTTGAGACGGAGTCTCGCTCTGTCACCCAGGCTGGAGTGCAGTGGCGCGTTCTCGGCTCACTGCAAGCTTGGCCTCCCGGGTTCACACCATTCTCCTGCCTCAGCCTCCCCAGCAGCTGGGACTACAGATGCACGCTGCCACGCCCAGCTAATTTTTTGTATTTTCAGTAGAGACGGGGTTTCACTGTGTTAGCCAGGATGGTCTCGATCTCCTGACCTCGTGATCTGCCCGCCTTGGCTTCCGAAAGTGCTGGGATTACAGGCGTGAGCCACCGCACCTGGCTGGAAAAATCTTAAAGCCTACTATGTCCTTTTAAACTAGTCTTAGGAAATGCCATGGAGACAACATGTCAAACCTCTATCTGCTATTATATCTAAACCAAATGGGATTCTCACCATCATATTTGGCAATTTCATCATCGGTATCGTCTTTCTTGGCTTTGGATAAAATCCACCTGTAAATAACAAATCCCAAAATCAGTCTTAAAATGACAGTTGACTTGTGAGGGAAAATTATGTAAATACTCATTAAAGTAGGACCTATTCTGCTCTTAGCCTATTTAACCACTCTACTTCCAACCTTTAAATCTGTCACACAACTAATGATAATACATTATCTTCAACTCACAAACCTATATGAAAAAGTACCAAACCTATGAGATAATTCCACTGATGTTTTAACATCAAGAGAAAATTTTTTTCCTCAATCAAAGAACAAAATATAGGGTAGAGTGGGGGAGGGAAAGAAGTGGAAGTAAAAACCACAAATTCCAAAAGACTATTTTCCTGCATGGATGTTAACACTGAAGATATTAAAGCTAGAAATTTCAGGCCAGGTGCGGTGGCTCATGCCTGTAATGCCAACAATTTGGGAGGCTAAGGCAAGTGGACCACCTGAGGTCAGGAGTTCAAGACCAGCCTGGCCAACATGTCAAAACCCCATCTCTACTAAAAAAATAACAACACACACACACAAATTGGCCAGCATGGTGGCGCATGCCTATAATCCCAGCTACTTGGGAAGCTGAGGCAGGAGAATCACTTGAACCCAGGAGACGGAGGTGGCAATGAGCCGGTATCACGCCATTGCACTCCAGCCCAGGCAAAAGAGCGAAATTCTGTCTCAAAAAATAAATAAATAAAATAAAATAAAGTTAGACATTTCACTATAAAAGATGCTATCCAAAAAGGAATCTACTATCCCATCTTATTTACATGTCTGCCTCTAACATATATTTCTCTGGAAAACACTTACCCTGACAGAGTTCCTCTGTCAAAAGAATCAGCAAAATATACTTCCCCTGTTGGAACTGGAGCTTTGTAAGTAACCTGTGTTAAATACATAAATGAATTAAAAATTTAAATTTTCAGCAACATGCCTTTTTATCTAGAATCTATTCTCCTGGTTTGCTTTCAACTGTCACAAAAATTTCATAGCTGGCCTTCAAATTCAACCCATATAATTGGCCTCTAGCAAGACAAAGGCTGCCAGAGAGATCAATAAGTATTTTCACGAATTTTGCTTTCCCTTTGAAAACGTTCCAAATTTATCTTCACCATGTTTTTCTTTTATATTTTATTAGAGATGATATCTCCCTGTGTTGCCAAGGCTGGACTCACACTCCTGTCCTAGGCCTCCTGAGTAGTTGAGACTACATTTCCCTGCACCCGGGTATCTTCATAATTTTATCATCTCAAGACGTAAAAGGAATAGATTCAAAGACCATTTCAAACCTTGGGAGATGAAGGAGGAGCAGTGGTATCTGGTTTTGAGTCTTCTACCTCTTCAATGACATCGTCAAGGTCATCCTCAATATCAATCACATCATCATCATGTCCATCATGAGCCTCAACAATAGCAGTTCCAAGCACCAGTAACATACACAGCAACCACTTCCCTTCCATGATCTACACATAAAGAGCAAAATCAGTTAAATGTATTGCCACCTATCAAACTTCATGAAGATCACTAACCACTCTCTCATTTAAAATTAAAGCTTTTAAATCGCAGAGCTAAAAAGAACTTACTATTTCATTTCATAGATAAAGAAAGGCAGCCTAGAGAGATTAAAGGGTTTCCCTAAAATCAGTTAAAAGATTCCATTTCTGGAAAATTTCAAAATAAAACTGAAACATACACAACATCCTCATATAGAGAGGATTGGTTACACAGATGTGGGGCATTCAAATACAATTTCCAACAAACTTTTGCATTTGTAAAGTGCTTTACAACAGACAAAAGCCCTTTCATACACTAATTTACAGGGGGTACCCGTTAAAACATTACAATGAAATAACAGAGATGGCCGGGCGCCGTGGCTCACGCCTGTAATCCCAGCACTTTGGGAGGCCGAGGCAGGTGGCTCACTAGGTCAGGAGTTCACAACCAGCCTGGCCAACATGGCGAAACTCTTCTCTACTAAAAATACAAAAATTAGCTGGGAGCGATAGCGGGCGCCTGTAGTCTCAGCTACTTGGGAGGCTGAGTCAGGAGAACTGCTTGAACCCAGGAGGTGGAGGTTGCAGTGAGCACGCCACTACACTCTAGCCTGCGTGACAGAGCAAGAGTTCGTCTCAAAAAAAAAAATTAACACAGAAGATAATTCCTCTCATATTAAGGCTTAATATGGATACGGTTGCTCAAATATCATCAATAGACATGTTTTCAAATTAGCGTTTTAGAACTCAAAAAGAATATTAAACTAAGAACAAGCTACTTTTTAAAATTTATATATTTTATTTATTTATTTTGTGATGGATTCTCCCTCTGTCGCCCAGGCTGGAGTGCAGTGGCACCATCTCAGCTCACTGCAACCGCCGCCTCCCAGGTTCAAGTAATTCTCCCACCTCAGCCTCTTGAGTAGCTGTGATTACAGGCACCCACCACCATGCCCGGCTAATTTTTGTACTTTTAGTATAGACAGGGTTTCGCCATGTTGGCCAGGCTGGTCTCGAACTCCTGACCTCAGGTGATCCACCTGCCTCAGCCTCCCAAAGTGCTGGGATTACAGGCGTGAGCCACTGCACCTGGCCAAAACAAGCTCCTTTTTTTTTTTTTTCCTGAGATGAGTCTTGCTCTATCGCCAGGCTGGGATGCATTGGCACTATCTTGGCTCACTGCAACCTCCGCCTCCTGGGTTCAAGTGATTCTCCTACCTCAGCCTCCCAAGTAGGTGGGATGACAGGTGTGCAGCACCACATCCAGCTAATTTTTGTTATTTTTAATAGAGACAGGGTTTCACCGTGTTGGCCAGGATAGTCTCAATCTCTTGACGTCGTGATCTGCCCGCCTCGGCCTTCCAAAGTGCTGGGATTACAGGAGTGAGCCACCGCACCCGGCTTATCTCTTCTTTTCTAACCACGTAAGCGCCCTGTGTATTATATTAGATGTGTCTTGGGGTAGTGGCTCTCTTTCCACGGAGGACCACAGATCTAAAGAAATAAGAACTGAGCTACACAGATGCACAAGATGATGTGGTTGGTAGCAGGTAAATTTTCATTTTTGGGCTTGAGAAAGTACAGGTACAAGGTGGGGGAGAAAACAAGTAGAAGATACACAACTAAAAATGTGTGCACACACACACACAAGATGTCCTTTTTTCCTCACATCCTCTGCCCACACAGTCACCCAATCAATCATAGTCTTTCACTCTTCTCCATTACTGACATCAGGATACTTAATGTTACCTTATATTACCAGGGCCTCTAGTTTCCTCCTCCTCTTTCAAGCTATCCTACAAGAAGACTCATCACCCAAAAACTATCATGAGTCCATGTTTGCAAAAATTTCTAAGTCTTTTAGCTAGTAATCAGCACCCTCTCCCTCTATAGCTGCTCTACATGCTATTCCCCCAGGAATCTTCAACTTCCTCTATTAAGACCTTATTTCCCAGCCTGGCCAACATAAACATAGCCTGACCCTGTCTATACAAAAAAAAAAAAAAATTATCCTGTCTCTACAAAAAATCAAAAAAAGAAAAATTTAGCCAGGTATGGTAGCACACACCTGTTGTCCCAGATACTAAGAAGGCTAAGGTAGGAGAAGCCTGAGTCTGACAGGTTGAAGCTAAGTGAGTCGTTGGGCAGGGTGGGGTGGCTCACGCCTGTAATCCTAGCACGTTGGGAGGCTGGTAGACTGCCTGAGCTCAGGAGACCAGCCAGGGAAACATGATGAAACTCGGTTTCTACTAAAATACAAAAAATTAGCCGAGTGTGGTGGCGCACACCTGTAGCCGCAGCTACTCAGGAGGCTGAGGGAGGAGAATCGCTTGAACCTGGGAGGCGGAGGATGCAGTGACCCGAGATGGCGCCACTGCACTCCAGCCTGGGCCACAGAGACTCCACCTCAAAAAAAAAAAAAAGACTCCACCACTCCACCAGGCGCGGTGGCTCACGCCAATAATCCCAGCACATTGGGAGTCCAAGGCAGGCAGATCATCTGAGGTCAGGAATTCGAGACCAGCCTGGCCAACATGGCAAAACCCTGTCTCTACTAAAAATACAAAAATTAGCTGGGCAGGCTGGGCGTGGTGGCTCACACCTGTAATCACAGCACTTTGGGAGGCCGAGGCAGGTGGATCACCTGAGTTCGGGAGTTCAAGACCAGCCTGACCACCACGGAGAAACCCTGTCTCTACTAAAAACACAAAATTAGCTGGGTGTGGTGGCAGATGCCTGTAATCCCAGTTACTCAGGAGGCTGAGGCAGGAGAATAGCTTGAACCCGGGAAGTGGAGTTTGCAGTGTGAGTTGAAATCACGCCACTGCACTGCAGCCTGGCCAACAAGAGTGAGACTGTCTCAAAAAAATAAAAAATAAAGTGAGCTGTAATGGCACCACTGCATTCAAGCCTGGGCAACAGAGTAAGACTGCCTTAAACAAACAAACAAACAAACAGAAAAAGAAGGCAGAGTTTCAGAGATATTTGCAGACCCGTGTTCATAGCAGTACTACTCACAACAGCCAACAGTCAGAAGCAACCCAAGTGTCCATCAATGGATGAATGATTAAACCATATGTGGCATAGGCATACAATGGAATACTATTCAATCTCAAAAAGGAAGGAAATCCCATCACCGGCTATAACATGGATGAACTTTGAAGACAATATGGTAAGTAAAATAAGCAATTCACAAACAGATACCACAAAGTTTTAAAAAAGAAGGAAGGAAGGAAAGGAGGGAGGGAGGGAGGGAAGAAGGGAGAGAAAGAAAGCTGAGCTTAATTTCTGGTCTCCTGGTTGGCATCGTGGCTCGCGCGTGTAATCCCAGAACTCTGGGAGTTGGAGGAAGCAGGATGATCGCTTGAGCTCAGGAGTTCGAGACCAGCCTGGGCAACAAAGCGAAGTATCTATGAAAAATTAGGAAAAAAAAAAAAATTAGCTGAGTGTAGCGTCATCCGCCTGTGGATCCAGCTACTCAGGAGACTGAGGCAGGAAGATCACTTGAACCAATAACAGCAGGAGTTTGAGACTGCAGTGAGCAATAACCACGCCACTGCACTCCAGCCTGATGAAGAGCAAGACCCTGTCTCTAAAAAAATAAGTAAGGCTGAGCGCGGTGGCTCACACCTGTAATCCCAGCACTTTGGGAGGCCGAGGTGGGCGGACTGCCTGAGCTCAGGAGTTCGCAACCAGCCTGGACAACCCGGTGAAACCCCGTCTCTACTAAAATACAAAAAACCGGGCCGGGTGTGGTGGTGGGCACCTGTAGTCCCAGCTACTTGGGAGGCTGAGGCAGGAGAATTGCTTGAACCCAGGAGGCGGAGGTTGCAGTGAGCCAAGATCACACCACTGTACTCCAGCCTGAGAGGGAGACTCCGTCTCAAAAAAAAAAAAAAAAAAAAAAAAAAAAAAAAGTACATCTGTTGGAGTAACAAAGAATTCAACAAGGACTTTCCTGAAAAGTTTTACCAAAAGCTGTATAGGTTTTAACTGTTTAGGTACTTTTATTATTTCCTAGGAGTTATTATAAACGGCGTATTCTATTTGCACAGTTCATTACACTTTTTTTTTTGTTTTTCCTGAGATGGAGTCTCACTCTGTCACCCAGGCTGGAGTGCAATGGAACCATCTCCGCTCACTGCAACCTCCGCCTTCCAGGTTTAGTGATTCTCCTGCCTCAGCCTCCCGAGTAGCTGGAGGTTAATTTTCTGTATTTTTAGTAGAGACAGGGTTTCACCATTTTGGCGAGGCTGGTTACCAACTCCTGGCCTCAAGTAATCCGCCCACCTCAGCCTCCCAAAGTGCTCGAACTACAGGCGTGAGAGCCACCGTGCCCAGCCAATTCATTACACTTTTTAAAGTAGTTTCATGTTCACCATTTTATCTGCCCCTCCCAATTGCCCCCTAAAGGTGAGGCACCCAGGAGACTTCTCATTCCTATTTTGAAGTTACGGAAACCAAAGTGGGACAAAAGCTACCACACTGGGCCGGGCGCAGTGGCTCACGCCTGTAATCCCAGCATTTTGGGAGGCCGAGGTGGGCGGATCACGAGGTCAGGAGATTGAGACCATCCTGGCTAACACGGTGAAACCCCGTCTCTACTAAAAATACAAAAACAAAATTAGCCGGGCGTGGTGGCGGGCACCTGTAGTCCCAGCTACAAGGGAGGCTGAGGCAGGAGAATGGCGTGAACCCGGGAGGCGGAGCTTGCAGTGAGCCGAGATCGCGCCACCGCACTCCAGCCTGAGTGACAGAGCGAGACTCCGTCTAAAAAAAAAAAAAAAAGGTTACCACACTGGGCACACAATTCAAGTTTCATGAGCCTGCAATTCATGCTCACCAACTGCCACTTCATCCCCTTAAGCTGTCTTCCAGGGCAAAGAGAACTCTAACTAAAAGGATGCAATAGTGTGATTGCCAAAACGGCAGCAACGACTTCTGTCAAAACACTTATCCCTTGTGGCCCTGAGAAGATAATGCGCTAAATGAACTGGGGAGTAAGGATAGTAAGGTGTCGGGGAATGCTGACAGCCATTTGCAGATAAGTCAGAAAATTTCTGTTGTGCAACACTGACCCCCACACACAGTTCACTCGAGCATTCTCATGATCCAGTTACCTGGCTTGTGTGTGCACCCTGGCTGATGCACAGGAGAACTCCCACATAGTCCTTTACCTCTGCTCTAAGTATAATTATACCAAATGTACAACAGTTGATCCATATGGCAGTTGCTTCTATTCATGACCCTCAAACAATGTTGGGAAAAGACTGAGATACAGAATGATTTTAAAGATCAATAAAATTCTTCCCCCTTAAAAAAATCTACTTATTAAAAAATTAAGCAAAATCTTCCATTTCCTAAATCAGAGGTAAAAAGACTTAACTATGGTTAATCTTGTCCTCTCAATCTTTTAATATTAAGCTCAGTTTAACTTCCCTCAACCAGCAATCACTTGTGTCATGCCCAGCGGTAATACACAATGCCCGGTTTCTTCTATCACCATAACTGTGACCTCAGGTCCTGCGAAACAGGACTGAACCAGTTCACTAGGATGGCAGTGTATTGGTCCAAAGGCATTCAGATTATAATAACGTACCGCAATGATCATCGAGCAGTTACTAAATGTCGGACTTCCCTGTCTTATTGTATACATATCTTAATTTAATCCTCACAAATCCATCGGGTATTATTATATCCATTACTTGACAAGAACGGGGGCACAAAGGGTAAGAAAACTGCCGAAGTTCACAGAGCAACCAATGACCAATCAAAGACTCGAGCCAGGGCCTTAGCGTTAACCACTGCACGGTCTATCCCTGAACTATAATCCCAGCACCATCAGTACACTAATCGCATGACCTTGGGCCAGTCATTTCATACCTCCAGGCCTCCGGTGTGGAAAGAGATGCACTTAGATGAGCTTTCGGGGGCTTTCCTGCTTTTAACGCCCTGTCCCTCTCCAACTGGATTACTCGCCTCCAGAATAGGTGCTGTAACTGCTAAGTTTCTCAACCACTGCATGTTCTCCTTCTGGTACATTCCCCTTTCTCTTCAGGGAACTAGGGTCCAGTCTCCGCTTTGGATTTTCAAATATTAAACTGTAACGCTAGTTGTAAACATTCCCTCTCGGTCTAATACCACCCTTCCCTACTACTAGGGGTACCTAGTAGGCCCGATTCCACCCTATACTTTTATCCAGTTACTCCAGCCCACCTCGCGGCTGCCCAGGCAGCCGGCAAAGAGGCCTAAGAAAGCCCTAGAAGCAAAGCCATAGGAATAAGTCAGCTTTCCCAGAGGTCAAAGAAGGCTGTCGGGCCACCTGCCACGCCTCCCGACCCCGGCGGCGCGGCCTGGGCCCGCAACCCAACCAAAGACGCCCGGATTCGGGCCTCCTCGCTCACGGCGGGCGCGTCGGCCAGGGCCTGGGCCCTCAAGAGCCAGCCCGACCCCTCAGTCGCCGGCCACGCCCGACCCCTCAGCCGCAGAGGCGCTCCCAGCCCCCCGAGGTCCTCACAGGCCCGAGGACGCGCTCAGGTCTCCCCTCTCACCTCTAGCCTCCCGAGGACCGCGGGGGTGCCCGTGCCCCTTCCCGCCCGCACACCTTGCCCCGCGCCGCAGTAAAGAGAGAGGCGGAGGCGGCCCGACCGTCACGTGCCGCAGAACCAAGAGGCCTCGGCCACCGCTGCCGCGCGAGCGAGCCCCACCGCACGAAGCCCGGCCCTGTGCCCGCCCCTGGCCCCTGAGTAGCCACAGCCGGCGCCAAGTCCCGC
The DNA here is from genome assembly GCF_000001405.40 of Homo sapiens. Classification (NCBI taxonomy): domain Eukaryota; kingdom Metazoa; phylum Chordata; class Mammalia; order Primates; family Hominidae; genus Homo; species Homo sapiens. The sequence continues at coordinate 464,434 of NW_016107298.1, read as the reverse complement.
CCTCCCGCGCAAGCCCCGACATCCGGTTGGCCGGCGTGGGCATCGCTCTACGCACCGTCCCATACGCCCCCTACGGCTATTCTTCGTGGAGTGTGAAGATTGGCCGGGAGTGAGGCAGGAAGTGGCTGTTGGTTGGGCGGGAGGTGAGGGGCGGGCCACGCTGGATCGAGACCGCCGGGCGCGCGCGTCTCGGGGCGGGGCTGGTTTAACAGGCGTTCCCGCGTCGGTTGCTGTGGTGCCTTCGGGGCGTTCCAACCCAACCCCCAGTAGCCCTCACCCGTCTGGTTCCTGGAGCCGAGACTTGGGACGCATCGCGCGCCCTTCGCTGACGGGGCAAACGGCAGCCGGCAAAAGGGGTAGGAGTCCGACGATCGGCCATCAGGAAGGGCCCGTTGCAGCGAACGCGGGCCCCTACGGGCGTGAGCAGAACCCAGCGCGAGCGCCTGGCCGGATTGGCGTGCACTGCTCCGCGCTGTGTGAGCCGGCGCCGCAGTTCCTGCAGAGTCATGGCTCGGCCCAGGAGCCTGCGCAGCCTCGTCGCCCAGCATAACACACAGTCCAGAATAATATAATCCGAGGTTATTTGAACTTTCAATTTATGTTTCCTGAAGTGAGATTAGGTGTCAGGGCAGAGAGATACAGGGATGACAGGACGAGAGAAAGGATGGTGCCATGGAAAGATTTAAGATACGCCACCATTTTAGTAACCCACTCTTAGTACATCTTCAGTTTTCAGTATGCTGAGAACCTCACAAAATGGAAGTGGCCCAGGGTTTTTCTAGACCTTTAGAGATCCTGATCTCTTGTTCTCTATTTGTTTGGACACCCAAAGGCTTGACTACTAGGGTGGAAAACACTAGAATCAGCGAATGTATCACTGATCTGAAAAGCCCTCTTGCCACCGGGAAGGGGAAGAAAGGCAGGGTTTGGTGTTTGCATGAGTTAGTATCATCCAACCCTCAACCCCCAAATTTTTTTTATTTTTATTTTTTTGAGACGAAGTCTTGCTCTGTCGCTCAGGCTGGAGTGTAGTGGTGCGATCTTAGCTCACTACAACCTCCGCCTCCCGGGTTCAAGCGATTCTCCCTCAGCCTCCCGAGTAGCTGGGATTACAGGCGCCCGCCACCACGCCCGGCTAATTTTTGTATTTTAGTAGAGACAGGTTTCACCATGTTGGCCAGGCTGACCTCAGGTGATCGACCTGCCTCGGCCTCCCACAGTGCTGGGATTACAGGCGTGAGCCACGGCGCCCCAACTTCAGCCCCAAAATTTGTGTAGGAGAATTTTGGTTTCCTGTCTACCTGGGGAAGCAGCTATTCAAAGCAGAATAAAATTCTGGATGCTACATGATCCAAATAATGAGCTTAAAATGTAGTTACAGGAAGTACATTTGTGAGCAAAAGAGCTACTCCTGCAAAGGTAAGTGCCAAAAGACTGTGGTACTATGGAGAATTCAATGGGATTCTGAAGGGGAGGGACTGCTTCCATCCAGAATGGACTGGCAAAGAGGTCAGAATTGGCTGGGCGAGGTGGCTCTCCCTGTGATCTGAGCACTTTGGGAAGCTGATGCAGGTGGATCATTTGAGGCCAGGAGTTCAAGACTAGCCTGGGCAACATAGTGAGACCCCTGTCTCTACAAACATAAAAATAAAAAAATTAGCCTGGCATGGTGCACACCCGTAGACCCAGATACTAGGAAGACTGAGGCAGGAGTATCCTTGACTCCTGATTGAGGAGGCTGCAGTGAGCTAAGATCAGGCCACTGCATTTCATCCAGCCTGGGCAACAGAGTGAGAACCCGTCTCTAAATAAATAAATAATAAAAACAAACAGATGTTTTACATGGGCATCGTTTGTGCAGTCCAAAGCAATTACAATAGTAACATCAACCTGGATCACCATGACAGATATAATAATGAAAACATTATACGAATTCCCAAAATGTGACAGAGACCAGAAGTGAGTACGTGCTGTTGGAAAAATGGTGCTTATAGACTTACTTGATGCAGGGTTGCCACATTCAATTTGTAAAAACACAGCATCTGTGAAAACCAATAAAAGGAAGTGCAGTAACAAGAGGTTTACAGCCTGTTTACATTCTGACATGGAGCAACAGTCAAGATTTAGTGTCATGTGAAAAAGCACAGAGAAAGGTGTGTTTCCTTTCATACTGAAAAGGGAGATGTATTCTCATACATGTAAGCTTGGCCAAACAAGCTTACTAGAAAGAAACACGAGAAACTGCTAGGAAAGGTTAATGCTGGAGAGGGGGCCTGAAACTCTAGAAGCAGAAATACTTTCTTGGCCAGGCACAGTGGCTCACGCCTGTAATGCCAGCACTTTGGGAGGCTGAGGCGGGCGGATTACCTGAGGTCAGGAGTTCAAGACCAGTATGGCCAACATGGTGAAACCCTATCTCTACTAAAAATACAAAAATTAGCCGGGCATACTGGTGCACACCTATAGTCCCAGATACTCGGGTGGCTGAGGCAGGACAATCGCTTGAACCCGGGAGGCAGAGGTTGCAGTGAGCCAAGATTGTGCCACTGCACTCTAGCTTGGGTGACAGAGCCAGACTCTGTCTCCAAAAAAAAAAAAAAAAAAAAAAAAGAAATGACACTTTCTTTAAACATGCATATGATTTTTTCAACAAAGAATCAGGCCGGGTGAGGTAGCTCATGCCTGTAATTCAGCACTTTGGGAGGCGAAGGTGGGTGGATCACTTGAACCCAGGATTCAAGACCAGCCTGGGCAACATGACAAGACCCCATCTCTACAAAATATACAAAAATTAGCTTGGCATAGTGGCTTGAGCCTGTAGTCTCAGCTACTCAGGAGGCCGAGGTGGGAGGATTGTCTAAGGCCAAGAGGTCAAGGCTGCAGTGAGCCAAGATTGGGCCACTGTACCAGAGTAACACCCTGTCTAAAAAAATAAAAATAGGCCAGGCACAGTGGCTCACGCCTGTAATCCCAGCACTTTGGGAGGCCGAGGCGGGTGGATCATGAGGTCAGGAGATCGAGACCACGGTGAAACCCCATCTCTACTAAAAATACAAAAAATTAGCCGGGCGCAGTGGCGGGCGCCTGTAGTCCCAGCTACTCGGAAGGCTGAGGCAGGAGAATGGTGTGAACCCGGAAGGCGGAGCTTGCAGTGAGCGGAGATTGCGCCACAGCACTCCAGCCTGGGCGACAAAACGAGACTCCGTCTCAAAAAAAATAAAAATAAAAATAAATAAATAAATAAAAATAGGCCAGGCACAGTGGCTCACGCCTGTAATCCCAGCACTTTGGGAGGCCAAGGCGGGTGGATCACCTGAGGTCGGGAGTTCGAGACCAACCTGACCAACATGGAGAAGCCCTGTCTCTACTAAAAATACAAAATTAGCCGGGCATGGTGGCTAATGCCTGTGATCCCAGCTACTCGGGAGGCTGAGGCAAGAGAATCGCTTGAACCCAGGAAGCAGAGGTTGCGGTGAGCTGAGATTGCGCCATTGCACTCCAGCCTGGGCAACAAGAGTGAAACTCCGCCTCAAACTCACGCCTGTAATCCTAGCACTTTGGGAAGCCGAGGCGGGTGGATCACGAGGTCAAGAGATCGAGACCATCCTGGCTAACACGGTGAAACCCCGTCTCTACTAAAAAAAACCACACACACAAAAAAATTAGCCGGGTGTGGGGCGGGTGCCTGTAGTCCCAGCTGCTGGGGAGGCTGGGGCAGGAGAATGGCGTGAACCCGGGAGGCGGAGCTTGCAGTGAGCTGAGATCGCGCCACTGCACTCCAGCCTGGGAGAGCAAGATTCCGTCTCAAAAATAAATAAATAAATGAAAGAAATAAAAACTTAAAAAAGGAATAAATTTTAGCTTTAGCTTTTGTACTTTTTTCAAAATAGGCAGTATGTTTAAAAGAGTAAACAAAATTGTTGATCCATTTATCCTTCGTATCCAGCTTCTTCTCATAGCTTGTCTCTCCATCCTTCCCTCAAAGCCACCCTCATCCTTGCTCATGCCTACCTTTTGCTTGAAGGAGAAAGTGGGCACACAGAGAGAGGGAGCACTCACATTTTTATCCATTTACTTTTTTTTTTTTTGACAGATAAACACTTTGTTTATTCATCCTCCTCCTCATCTCCTCCTCGTCTTCATCTTCCTCTTCCACCTTTTTCCAGGCAACTTTAGCAGGACGCTTTGAGCCATCAAACTTCCCTTTCGACTTAGAATCAGCAACATCCTTCTCGTACTTCTCCTTCAGCTTTGCCGTCTTAGTGATGTAAGGCTGCTTTTCACTGTCATTTAAGTTATTCCACATCTCACCCAGCTTTTTTGCCACATCTCCAATAGAGATGCCAGGGTTTGTGGATTTGATCTTGGGGCGGATTTCCGAAGAGAACAGGAAGAATCCAGATGGTGGCCTTTTGGGGGCACTAGGATCCTTCTTCTTCTTGCCTCCCTTAGCTGGTCCCTTCATTTCCCGATCACAGTGCACTTTATCCGTCTTTGCCATTTCATCAAATTTAGACTTCTCTTTCCCGGACATTGTCTTCCACCTTTCAGAGCACTTCTTGGAAAATTCTGCAAAATTGACAGGGTTTTTCTTTTTACATTCTTCTCTGCACGTCTGCACAAAGAAGACATAAGCAGACATCTTGCCCTTTGGTTTCTTGGGGTCACCTTTAGCCATCCTGGCTGTATTGTTCGCTCTCATTCCTTTTTTTTTTTTTTTTTTTGAGACGGAGTTTCTCTCTTGTTGCCCAGGCTGGAGTGCAATGGCAGGATCTCAGCTCACAGCAACCTCGGCCTCCCGGGTTCCAGCGCTTCTCCTGCCTCAGCCTCCTGAGTAGCTGGGATTACAGGCATAAGCCACCACGCCCGGCCCATTACTTTCTTAATAGTTAGGCTGGTAATGGTCATTTCTCTAAAGTTTCTCTATACTCATGCTAATCTGGCATTGTCAAAATGATGGACAAAGAAAAAGATATGTAACTATGTTAATTGAAGTTTATTTTATTACAGTGAAATTAAACTTTTTTTTTTTTTAAGACAAGTTACCGGCCAGGCTAGAGTACAGTGGCACAATCATGGCTCACTGCAGCCTCAAACTTCTGGGCTCAAGGGATCCTCTTGCCTCAGCCTCCCAAGTGGCTAAGACTATAGGCATGCACCACCATGCGTGGCTAGTTTTTATTTTTATTTTATTTTTTTGAGACAGATTCTCACTGTTGCCCAGGCTAGAGTACAGTGTACAATCTCGGCTCACTGCAACCTCTACCTCCCAGTTTAAGCGATTCTCCTGCCTCAGCCTCCAGAGTAGCTGGGACTACAGGCATGTGCCACCTCACCCGGCTAATTTCTCTATTTTTAGTAGAGATCGGGTTTCGCCATGTTGGCCAGGCTGGTCTCAAACTCCTGGGCTCAAGTGATCTCCCTGCCTCAGCCTTCCAAAGTGCTGATATTACAGGTGTGAACCACAGCACCTGGCCAACATTTTTCATGTTCATTAACCATATATATTTTTTTTCCTTTGTGAATTCTCTATTCATGTCGTTTGTCCATTTTTCCACTATAGGGTTTGTCTTTTTTTTTTTTTTTTTTTTGAGACGGAGTTTCACTTTGTTGCCCAGGCTGGAGTGCAGTGGCACGATCTCGGCTCACTGCAACCACCACCCTCCGAGTTCACATGATTCTCCTTCCTCAGCCTCCTGAGTAGCAGGGACTACAGGCGCCTGCCACTGTGCCCGGCTAATTTTTTGTATTTTTAGTAGAGATGGGGTTTCACCTTCTTGGCCAGGCTGGTCTTGAACTCCTGACCTCGTGATCCACCCGCCTTGGCCTCCCAAAGTGCTGGGATTACAGGCGTGAGCCACCACGCCCAGCCTAGGGTTTGTCTTTTTCATACTGGTTTGTAAGGAATCATTATGTACTATGTGCTCATGCGATGGCTCTTGCCAGTAATGCCAGCAATTTGGGAGGCCGAGGCAGGCAGATCACTTGAGCCCAGGAGTTTGAGACCAGCCTGGGCAACATGGCAAAACCCTATCTGTACAGAAAATAAAAAATTAGTGGCATATGCCTGAGTGCCAGCTACTCAGGAGGCTGAGGTAGGTGGATAGATTCAGCCCAGGAGGTTGAGGCTGCAGTGAGCCATGATCATGCCACTGCACTCCACTAGCCTGGGCAACAGAGCAAGACCCTGTCTCTAAAAAATAAAATAATTAGACAGGGGCTCTTTGTTGCTCAGGGGCTGCTCCAAGTGATCATCCTCCATTGGCCTCTGAAAGTGCTGGGATTACAGATGTGAACCACTGCTCCCAGACCTTTAAGAGCTTTTAAACCGGGGGCTCTTTTTGGTTATAAGGAACACAGATGGCCAGGCATAGCGGCTCATGCCTGTAATCCCAGCACTTTGGGAGACCGAGATGGGCAGATCATTTGAGGTCAGGAGTTCAAGACCAGCCTGGCCAACATGGTGAAACCCTGTCTCTACTAAAAATACAAAAATTAGCCGGGCATGGTGGTGCGTACCTGTAGTCCCAGCTACTTGGGAGGCTGAGGCAGGAGAATCACTTGAACCCAGGAGGCGGAGGTTGCAGTGAGCCGAGATCGCACCACTGCACTCCAGCCTGGGCAACAGAGCGAGACTTTGTCTCAAAAAAAAAAATAGGCCGGGCACGGTGGCTCACGCCTGTTATCCCAGCACTTTGGGAGGCTGAGGTGGGTGGATCATGAGGTCAGGAGATCGAGACTGTCCTGGCTAACATGGTGAAATCCCGTCTCTACTAAAAAATACAAAAAAAATTAGCCGGGCGTGGTGGCGGGTGCCTGTAGTCCCAGCTACTCGGGAGGCTGAGGCAGGAGAATGGCGTGAACCCGGGAGGCAGAGCTTGCAGTGAGCTGAGTTCGTGCCACTGCACTCCAGCCTGGGCGACAGAGCGAGACTCCGTCTCAAAAAATAAATAAATTAATTAAATAAAATAAATAATAAAGAAGAGAGATATAGTGAAACTACCTCAAGGAAAGTATATAGGGATGTCAAAGAGCCCAAGGAGAGGAAGAGAGTACTGCCTCGCCTCATGCTATCCCGAGCTGGGATTGCAGTGTAGTGGCTCTTCCTGTCTTCCAGAGCCAAATGACATCTGCTTCATTCTCCCTTTCATGATCAGGCAATTTGACTCATTTTTTTTTCTTTTTTTTCTTTGCAGAGATGGGATCTCCCTGTGTTGCCCAAGCTGGTCTCAAACTCCTGGGCTTAAAGGGATCCTCCCACCCTGACCTCACAAAATGCTGGGATTACAGGCATGAAGCACTGTGCCCGGCCCACTCACTTTTTTACTCAGCTTGGTCTGCCTGAAAAAACAATACACTGGCTAACATTTCAAAATATTAACCAGCCACACAGTGTTGTTTAAATGTATATAGGCCAGGCACGATGGCTCACACCTGTAATCCCAGCACTTTGGGAGGCTGAGGTGGGTGGATCACTCGAGGCCAGGAGTTCGAGACCAGCCTGGCCAACGAGGCGAAACCCCATCTCTACCAAAAATACAAAAATTAGCTGGGCATGGTGGTAGGCCCTGTAATCCCAGCTACTCGGGAGGCTGAGGCAGGAGAATTGCTTGAACCTGGGAGGCAGAAGTTGCCATGAGCCAAGATCATGCTGCTGCACTCCAGCCTGGGCAACAGAGTGAGCACAGTCTCAAAAAAATGAAGTAAAAAAATAATATATCAATGTCTATAAACATAAACCCACTATAAATTTATAGCTCATATCAATATAAAACCATGTTTATAATTTTACCTATAATACAAACCAAAAAGTCAAATTAACATTTATGTTACTTATTATTTTTTTTTTTGAGAGAGTCTCACTCTGTCGCCCAGGCTGGAATGCAGTGGCATGATCACGGCTCACTGCAAGCTCTGCCTCCTGGATTCAAGTGACTATCATGTCTCAGCCTCCCAAGTAGCTGGGATTACAGGCGCATGCCACCGCGCCCGGCTAATTTTTGTATTTTTAGTAGAGACGGCTTCCACCATGTAAGTCAGGCTGGTCTCCAACTCCTGACCTCGTGATCCACCTGCCTGAGCCTCCCAAAGTGCTGGGATTACAGGCGTGAGCCACTGGGCCCAGCCTTTTTTCAGATTTTTTTTTTTTTTTTTTTTTTGAGATGAAGTCTCACTCTTGTCCCCCAGGCTGGAGTGCAGTGGCGCGATCTTGGCTCACTGCAACCTCCGCCTCCCAGGTTCAAGTGATTCTCCTGCCTCAGCCTCCCAAGTAGCTGGGATTACAGGTGCGTACCACCACACCTGGCTAATTTTTGTATTTTAAGTACAGACGGGGTTTCACCATGTTGGCCAGGCTGGTCTTGAACTCCTGACCTCAGGTGATCCACCCGCCTCGGCCTCCCAAAGTGCTGGGATTACAGGCGTGAGCCACTGCGCCTGGCCAACTTCTTTTTTAAAACTATATTAGCACAGAGAACACCATGTTGTTTCAGGGAAGGGCAAATGTCACTAACAGACTATCACAGAAGCCAGACTGAAATTTCCATGGGGAAAAACAAGATTTAGCTTCCTTGGTTTGGGGAATATTCCTCTTGGTTGCCAGAAGAGACCCACTGACATTCACACCCAGTGTGATTCACAGCCAGTGTGGTAGAAATGCTGGTGATGTGGAAAACTCTGAAAAATCTTCAGATGCTCTTCTCCTTTCCTTTCTGCCATCAGAATAAACCTTATGTCCTTCAATTCAGACCTGTTGGGACCCGGTAGCACACCCTTCCCTTCCTCACGGGCTCCAAACCTCATCTTTTCAGTGACATTGAGATGGGGATCCTCAAAGGAACCAGGAGCCATTTTTTAAATTGTGAATCTTTAAATTCTGAAGTCTTCATTAAATGTCCTCAAAATCAAGGTCTTCTTGTGAAAGGAGTTAACATCCATTTTAAGTGGGAATTATCCATCATCTCTCCTAACATTTCCTGTTCAAATAATCAAATAAAGACTTCCAGGAGTAGGCAAGAACTTAAAAAAGAAGAAGAAGAAAAAAAGAGGCCGGGTGTGGTGGCTCACGCCTGTAATCCCAACACTTTGGGAGGCCGAGGCGGGCGGATCAGCTGAAGTCAGGAGTTTGAGACCAGCCTGGCCAACACGGTGAAACCCTGTCTCTATTAAAAATACCAAAAAATTAGCCAAGCATTGTGGCGGACGCCTATAATCCCAGCTACTCAGGAGGCTGAGACAGGAGAATCGCTTGAACCCAGGAAGCAGAAGTTGCAGTGAGCCAAGATTGCGCCATTACACTCCCACCTGGGCAACAAGAGCAAAACTCTGTCTCAAAAAAAAAAAAAAAAAAAAAAAAAAAAAAAACTTGTTGGGTTTTGTAGCTTTCTCTTTTTGGTAGGCCATGAAATAAGGGAAGTTGTGTACCATTCCTAGTGGTCATCTATGATCGGTCTGACGTATGTTTTCGTTGGTTTTTTGTTATTGTTGTTCTTGCTGTTGTTTTTGAGACAGCTCTGTCACCCAGACTGGACTGCTGTGGCACGATCTCTGCTCACTGCAACCTCTGCCTCCTGGGTTTAAGCGATTCTCAGCTTCCCAATTAGCTGGGATTATAGGCGCACACCACCATGCCCAGCTAATTTTTTATTTTTATTTTTAGTAGGGAGGGGGTTTCACCATGTTGGCTGGGCTGGTCTTGAACTCCTGACCTCAAGTGATCCACCCGCCTTGGCCTCCCAAAGTGCTGAGATTACAGGCATGAGCCACCACACCCGGCCTCTTTCTGTTGTTTTTTTGAGATAGTGTCTCACTCTGTTGTCCAGGCTGGAGTGCAGTGGTACGATCATGGCTCACTGCACCATCAAACTCCTGGCCTCAAGTTATCCTTTTGCCTCAGCCCCTGGAGCACTCTGGCTAATTTTCGTATTTTTAGTAGGGGTTTCACCATGTTGGCCAGCCTAGTTTCGATCTCCTGAGGTCAAGAGATCCACCTGCCTCAGCCTCCCAAAGTGCTGGGATTACAGGCATGAGCCATCATGTCTGGCCAAATATCATGATTGCTAATGAAAATTGACCTTAGGCGGCCGGGCGCAGTGGCTCACGCCTGTTATCCCAGCACTTTGGGAGGCTGAGGCAGGTGGATCACAAGGTCAGGAGATCGAGACCATCCTGGCTAACACGGTGAGACCCCGTCTCTACTAAAAATACAAAAAATGAGCTGCGCGTGGTGGTGGGCACCTATATTCCCAGCTAGTTGGCAGGCTAAGGCAGAAGAATGGCGTGAACCCGGGAGGCAGAGCTTGCAGTGAACCGAGATTGTGCCACTGCGCTCCAGCCTGGGCGACAGAGTGAGACTCCGTCTCAAAAAAAAAAAAAAAAAAAATTGACCTTAGGCCAGGCACCGTCGCTCACGCTCGTAATCCCAGCACTTTGGGAGGCTAAGCCAGGCGGATCCTGAGGTCAAGAGATCAAGACCATCCTGGCCAACATGGTGAAACCCTGTCTCTAAAAATACAAAAATTAGCTGGGTGTGGTGGCGCTAACCTGTAGTCCCAGCTACTCGGGAGGCTGAGGGAAGAGAATCGCTTGAACCCAGGAGGTGGAGGTTGCAGTGAGCCGAGATCGTGCCACTGCACTCCAGCCTGGCAACAGAGCGACACTCCATCTTAAAAAAAAAAAAAAAGAATACTGACTTTATTTATTTATTTTTGAGAGGGAGTCTTGCACCATTGCCCAAGCTGGAGTGCAGTGGCACTATCTTGGCTCACTGCAACGTCCACCTCCTGGGTTTAAGTGACTCTTCTGCTTCAGCCTCCCAAGTAGCTGGGACCACAGGTGTGCGCCACCACACCCAGCTAATTTTTTGTATTTTTAGTAGAGACAGGGTTTCACCATGTTGGCCAGGCTCATCTCAAACTCCTGCCCTCAAGTGATCTGCCTGCCTCAGTCTCCCAAATTGCTGAGATTACAGGCATGAGCCACCGTGCGTGGCTGAAAATTGACTTTAATAACATAGACATACTGTGGAGGGAGAAAGAATGAATATGAATCACTGGCTTGGTTAAAATATTCCTGGGCTCTGATTCCATGTCCATCAGACAACCTTCTGGGGGTTGATTTAAGCTCTTGAGTGTCTTCATGACAAGAAGAGAAAGCTTTCAACAGTGAGCATGAGGGTTTATTTGTGAACACTGACAATCAAATTCTAAAATTTATATGGAAATACAAAGGACCTAGAAAGCCAAAGCAATCTTAAAGAATATTATTGGAAGATTTACATTACTAGGTATCAACAGTATTGGTGCAACGATAAACAGACCAAGCACAAGAACACAGAGCACAGGCCGGGCGCGGTGGCTCACGCCTGTCATCCCAGCACTTTGGGAGGCCGAGGCGGGTGGATCACGAGGCCAGGAGATCGAGACCATCCTGACTAACACGGTGAAACCCCGTCTCTACTGCAAATACAAAAAAATTAGCCGGGCGTGTTGGCGCATGCCTGTAGTCCCAGCTATTTGGGAGGCTGGGGCAGGAGAATGGCCTGAACCCGGGAGGTGGAGGTCGCAGTGAGCCAAAATCATGCCACTGCACTCCAGCCTGGGTGACAGAGCGGTAGCCGGGCATGGTGGCATGTCTCAAAAAACAAACAAACAAACAAAAAAACTGCAGGCCGGGTGCAGTGGCTCATGCCTGTATTCCCAGACCTTTGGGAGGCCAAGGCAGACGGATTACCTGAGGTCAGGAGTTCAAGACCAGCCTGACCAATATGGCAAAACCCTGTCTCTACTAAAAATACAAAATTAGCCAGGCATGGTGGCAGGCACCTGTAGTCCCAGCTACTCAGGAGGCTGAGGCAGGAGAATTGCTTGAACCCTGGAGCCGGAAGTTGCAGTGGGCCGAGACTGTGCATTGCACCCCAACCTGGGCAACAAGAGCAAAGCTCTGTCTCAAAGAAACAAACAAACAAAAACTGCAATTTGAGCAGGCATGGTAGCTCACGCCTGTAATCCCAGTACTTTGGGAGGCTGAGGCAGGCACAACGCTTGAGCCCAGGAGTTCAAGCCCAGGAGTTTTGCAACATGGCAAAAGCCCATCTCCACTAAAAAATACAAAAGTTAGCAGGGTGTAGTGGTGCCTCCCTGCAGTCCCAGCTACATGGGAGGATCACCGGAGCCTGGGGAGGTCAAGGCTGTGGTGAGCCATGATCACACCACCAATAGACTCCAGCCTGGGCAACAGTGAGACCGTGTCTCAAAATAACAACAAGAAAAACTGCAATCATTAAGACAAACAGTCCAATTTTTAAAATAGGCAAAAAGACTTGAACCACTAAAAAAAAAAAAAGATGGCCGGGCTTGGTGGCTCACACCTGTAATCCCAGCACTTTGGGAGGCCGAGGCAGGCAGATCACTTGAAGTCAGGAGTTCAAGACCAGCCTGGCCAACATGGTGAAACCTCATCTCTACTAAAAATACAGAAATTGGCTGGGTGTGGTGGCGCGTGCCTGTAATCCCAGCTACGCAGGAGGCTGAGGCAGGAGAATTGCTTGAACTCGGGAGGTGGAGGTTGCAGTGAGCCAAGATTGAGCCATTGCACTCCAGCCTGGTGACAGAGCGAGACTCCGTCTCAAAAAAAAAAAAAAGACTTGAACAACCACTTCATCAAAATAGATAACAAATACCCACATGGAAAGATGCTTAATAGCATTGGCTGTTAGAGAAATGCAAATTAAAACCTCAATTTATTAAGGATGAGGCTGGGCACGATGACTCACGCCTGTAATCCCAGCATTCTGGGAGGTCGAGGCAGACAGATAACCTGAGGTCAGGAGTTTGAGACTAGCCTGGCAAACATGGTGAAACCCTGTCTCTACTAAAAATACAAACATTAGGCAGGGCGTGGTGGCTCACACCTATAATTCCAACACTTTGGGAGGCCAGGGCAGGTGGATCACCTGAAGTCTGGAGTTTGAGACCAGCCTTGCCAACATGGTGAAACCCCACCTCTACTAAAAATACAAAAATTAGCTGGGCGTGGTGGCAGCTGCCTGTAATCCCAGCTACTTGGGAGGCTGAGGCAGGAGTATCTCTTGAACCCAGCAGGCAGAGGTTTCAGTGAGCCGAGATCACGCCACTGCACTCCAGCCTGGGCAACAAGAGCGAAACTCCATCTCAAAAAAAAAAAAAAAAAAAAAAAAAGCTGGGCGCGGTGGCTCACGCCTGTAATCCCAGCACTTTGGGAGGCCGAGGTGGGCAGATCACCTGAGGTCAGGAGTTCAAGACCAGCCTGACCAACATAGAGAAACACCGTCTCTACTAAAAATACAAAATTAGCCAGGCATGGTGGCACATGCTTGTAATCCCAGCTACACGGGAGGCTGAGGTGGAGGTTGCAGTGAGCCAAGATTGCACCACTGCACTTCAGCCTGGGCAACAAGAGTGAAACTCCATCTCAAAAAAAACACAAATAAACAAAAAAATTAGCCAGATGTGGTGGCGTGTGCCTGTAATCCCAAGTACTCAGGAGGCTGAGGCAGAAGAATCGCTTGAACCCAGGAGGCGGAGGTTGCAGTGACCCGAGGTTGCGCCACTGCGCTCCAGCCTGGGTGACAGGGCGAGACTCTGCCTCCAAAAATTAAATAAGTAAATAAATAGATAGATTTATTAAGGCCGGGCACAGTGGCTCAAGCCTGTAATCCCAGCACTTTGGGAGGTAGAGGCAGATGGATCACTTGAGGTCGGGAGTTCAAGACCGGCAGGGCCAACATGGTGAAAACCCTGTCTCTAGTAAAAAAAAAAAAAAAAAAAAAAAAAAAAATACAAAATTAGCCAGGTGTGGTGGCACACGCCTGTAATCCCACTTAGGAGGCTGAGGCAGGAGAATTGCTTGAACCCAGGAGGTGAAGGTTGCAGTGAGCTGAGATCATGCTATTGCACTCCAGCCTGGGCAACAAAAGTGAAACTCCATCTCAAAAAATAAATAAATAAGTAAAATAAATTTATTAAGGATGAGCTTGCTGTTAAAAATTTAAAACAACAACAAAACAACAGCAAAAACCCCACAATTTAGACACGCTACCACTATGGCTAAAATTAAAAAGGCTTGGCCGGGCACGGTGGCTCAAGCCTGTAATCTCAGCACTTTGGGAGGCCGAGGTGGGTGGATCATGGGGTCAGGAGATCAAGACCATCCTGGCTAACACAGTGAAACCCCGTCTCTACTAAAAATACAAAAAAATTAGCCGGGCGTGGTGGCGGGCACCTGTAGTCCCAGCTACTCAGGAGGCTAAGGAAGGAGAATGGTGTGAACCCGGGAGGTGGAGCTTGCAGTGAGCTGAAAAAAAAAAAAAAAAAGGCTTACTAGCTGGGCCCTGTGGCTCCTGCCTGTAATCCTAGCACTTTGGGAGGCTCAGGTGGGAGGATCCCTTGAGCCCAGGAGTCTGAGACCAGCCTAGGCACCACGGTAAGACCCCGTCTCAAAAACGCCACCACCACCTTTAATTAAGCGAATTTTTTAAAAATGAAGGTTTACCAAACCAAGTGTTGGCCAGGATACAGAGAAACAGAAACTTTCACTCACTGTTAGTGGCTTAATAAAAAGGTAAACATGCACCTGCCATATGACACAGTCATTCTATTCCTAGGTGTTTACTTAAGAGAAATGAAAGCATATGTCCACACAAAGATGAGCAAAAATGTTCAGAGCAGTTTTATTTGCAATAGCCCCCAAACTGGAAACAACCCAAATGTGCATCAACAGCTGAATGGAAAAACAAATTGTGTGGTGTTTCCATACAATGAAATACTACTCAGCAATAAAAAGCAATGAACTGTTAATAAATGCAACAACATGGATAAATCTTAAAATAATTATGCGGCGAGAAGCCAATGCCAAAAAAAATCTATACTGAGGCTGGGCGCGGTGGCTCACACCTGTAATTCCAGCAGTTTGGGAGGCCGAGGCAGATGGATCACTTGAGGCCAGGAGTTTGAAACCAGCCTGGTGAATATGGTGAAACCCCATCTCTACTAAAAATACAAAAATTAGCTGGGTGTGGTGGCAGGCACCTGTAATCCCAGCTACTTGGGAGGCTGAGACAGGAGAATCACTTGAACCCAGGAGGCAGAGGTTGCAGTGAGCTAAGATCATACCACTGCACTCCAGTCTGGGCAACAAAGTGAGACTCCTCTCAAAAAAAGAAAAAAAGGTAATGGATACCTCCAGATGGATACATTATCTTGATTTTGGGAATGATTTCACATAACAAATTATCGAAATACTTCACATTATACATTATAAATATATGTAGTTGGCCGGGCGCGGTGGCTCACACCTGTAATCCCAGCACTTTGGGAGGCTGAGGTGGGCGGATCACAAGGTCAGGAGATCGAGACCATCCTGGCCAACACGGTGAAACCCCATCTCTACTAAAAAAAAAAATACAAAAAATTAGCCAGGCATGGTGGCGGGTGCCTGTAGTCCCAGCTACTTGAGAGGCTGAGGCAGGAGAATGGTGTGAACCTCGAAGTGGAGGTCGCAGTGAGCTGAGGTAGCGCCACTGCACTCCAGCCTGTGCGACAGAGCGAGACTCCGTCTCAAAAATAAATAAATAAATAAATGTAGTTGATTTTGTCACTTATACCTCAATAAAACTATTACAGAAGTTTCCTAGGAGGTGGCACCACCACCGGGCTCTGCCCCAGCTTGTGAGCTCCTGTGGATCTGGGTCTGTCCCTTGCAGTCAGGTGGGTGGGCTTAGTAGGTAGGACTGACGTCATTTCCTTCCACTGTCCGCACACGTGGCACGTGTCCTTCAAACATGCCCAGCCACTTCCCTCCTCTACCCCCAGGTCTTCAAGGGATTGGGGTCTCCTTATTGTTCAGGTTTTAGCAAGAATGTCAAGGGCCTTCACCGAGCACCACATCTAAATTACTTCCTACTCCTCACCCTGTCCCAAAATCACTTTCTGTATTTCCCTGGTTTGTTTTCTTCACTGTACGTATCAGAATTAGGGTTTTTTTTTTTTTTTTTTTTGAGACAGAGTCTCGCTCTGTCACCCAGGCTGGAGTACAGTGGTGTGATCTCGGCTAACTGCAACCTCTGCCTCCTGGGTTCAAGCGATTCTCCTGCCTCAGCCTCCCAAGTAGCTAGGATTACAGGCATACACCACCATGCCCGGCTAATTTTGTATTTTGAGAAGAGATGGTGTTTCTCCATGTTGGTCACGCTGGTCTCAAACTCCCAACCTCAGGTGATTTGCCTGCCTCGGCCTCCCAAGGTGCTGGGATTACAGGCGTGAGCCACTGCACCCGGCCAATTTTTTGTATTTTTATTAGAGACAGGGTTTCACCATGTTAGCCAGGATGATCTCGATCTCCTGACCTCATGATCCGCCTGCCTCAGCCTTCCAAAGTGCTGGGATTACAGGCGTGAGCCACCGTGCCCGGCCTGGATATTCTTATTAATTTAATCATTCCTTTTTTTTTTTTTTGAGATGGAGTTTCGCTCTTGTTGCCCAGGTTGGAGTGCAGTGGCACAATCTTCGCTCATTGCAACCTCTGCCTCCCAGGTTCAAGCAATTCTCCTGCCTCAGACTCCTGAGTAGCTGAGATTACAGGCACCCGCCACCACACCCGGCTAATTTTTTCTATTTTTAGTAGACACGGAGTTTCACCATGTTGGTCAGGCAGTTCTCGAGCTTCTGACTTCAGGTGATCCACCCACCTTCCCCTCCCAAAGTGCTGGGATTTACAGGCATGAAACATCGCGCCTGGCCCTCTTTTTTTTTTTTTTTTTTTTAAACACAGGGTCTCTATCGCCCATGCTGGAGTGCAGTGGCACAATCACTGCTCACTGCAGCTTTCACCTCTTGGGCTCAGGTGATCCTCCCACCTCAGCCTCTTGAGTAGCTGGGACTACAGTCGCATGCCACCACGCCCAGCTAATTTGTTTTTGTAGAGATGGGGTCTTGCCATGTTGGCTAGTCTGCCCTTTCATTTTCATCATCTATCCTATTATCTTCCTCCCTCCTCAGCTGGCGCCCTACTGAGATCCCTATCACTGGTGGTGCACCCATCCCATAGGTGCTGTAGGAGCTGGCTGGTAACTCTCAGCTGCCCTGGCCAATAACTGACATGTAGAAGGAGGGTACAAAAGACGGGCTCCCTTGCTTTAAGGAGGCCTAACTGTGGTGCCATTTGTGCTCAGAGTTCCCCATGAGAGCAAGCGGAAGCTAGTCTCCACGTGAGACCACACTCTGGCTCAGCCTTAGCCTTTTTCTCGCCCTGTCTTGCTTCCCTCACCCCCTTCTCCTGAGAGCATTTCCCCAATAATTCACTTGAACAAGAATGCTCAGCTTAGGCTCTGCTTCTAGGGAACCTGACCCATGACACGCTCTGTTAGCTTCCTGAGAGACTATCTTGTTAGTTCCCCTAGAACAAATTCCTGTCTTGGACTCTGCTTATGATCACTCCCTTCATTCCCCTGCCAAGAATGACAGCTCAGTGAGGGAATATGTTCTTCACTTCCCTAGAACTGTTCCTAGAACACAGTAGGTGCTCAATGATGCACTGAATGCATGCAGGGGAGAGCCCAGAGTCTATCTGACAGCTCAGCGGTCAGCACCCCTTCTTGTCCTGGGGTGGCCTGGCCTGGAGGCATTGTGAGTCATAGCAGGTGGACAAGAGCTGAGTGGGTCAGAGATGGGACTAGCCCTGGGACAGCAGCTCAGCAACTCCACCCCATCTTCCAGGTGAGGCACAACATACAGTGAGGACTAACGGGGAAACATCCTCCGAGAAGATACAATCTCAAGGGTGGGCCTGGATGTGGGCTTCCAGAGACCATCTCCCTGAACCAGATCTTGGGGATGGTATGTACCATCCAGCCTCTGTCCACCTATATGTGAGGGATAAGTGTATTATGAATTAACGAAGGCATAACAGAGGGAACCCTGCTCTAGTTCTTTCTCTTCTCACTGCCCATGGGCAGAAGAGGAATTAGAAACAACACATAGCTCCCTTTTTCACATAATAGAATCAGCACTTACTGGGCAGGGGTGGGGGGTGCAGAGAGAAGTGAGCAAAATGGGACTTGTCTGTTATCTGGACTTTGGACTTCCTGAGGGCACAGTTTGTTTGGAATAAAAGTCATGTTTAGTGTGCACAATCCCTGATACTTTGAGCCCTATGCATAGGTCTAGCCCATGGCACACACCCCAGGATGTCAGTGAACACACTGGACTGTGGTCTATACACGCATCTGTCTTCCAAGCTGGATTAGGAGCACCTTGAGGGCAGGCAGAGGCTGTTTCAGGTCCCCTTCCCAAGACCAGAGTCTGGCACAGAGCAGATGCTAGTTCAAGTCTATCAAATGACTGAATGATGAGGGCAATAATGCTGTTGGCTATGCTAGATATCCTCCCAGATTGCTTTCAGAATCCAGATCTAACCCCGGCTTTCTAATCCTTCAGCAGTTCCCTCTTACCCACAAAAGGAAGTCTAAGCTTCCGAGCCTGCCTGTAGGGCACCTTCACATAGTGCACTGGTCCACCTTCCCAGCTTCCTCTTCTGCTCTTCCCAGCACCAATCCTATCCAAGCTCGTGTTCACATCTGAAATATGAAAGTCCTGCCCTGCCGGGTACAGTGGCTCACACCTGTAATCCCAGCACTTTGGCGCTGAGGCGGGCAGATCACCTGAGGTCCGGAGTTCGAGACCAGCCTGGCCAATAAGGTGAAACCCCATTTCTACTAAAAATACAAAAAAAAAAAAAAAAAAAAAAAAAAAGGCCAGGCGCAGTGACTCATGCCTGTAATCCGGGCACTTTGGGAGGCCGAGTTGGGTGGATCACCTGAGGTCAGGAGTTCGAGACCAGCCTGGCCAACATGGTGAAACCCCGTCTTCACTAAAAATACAAAAATCAGGTGGGGGTGATGGCAGGCGCCTGTAATCTCAGCTACTCAAGAGGCTGAGGCAGGAGAACTGCTGGAACCCGGGAGGTGGAGGTTGCAGTGAGCCAAGATCGCGCAATTGCACTCCAGCTCGGGCAACGACAGCGAGACTCAGTCTCAAAAAAAAAGAAAAAGAAAGCCCTGCTCGGCTCTTCCCTCTGCCTAGAAGTTCTCCATTTTCCATCCTCAACCCACCTGGCAAAGTCCTACTCCTCCTTTAAGTACCTACTTACTTGTCTTGCTACCATTCCCTACCCCTCACCCTTCCAGCTGCAACTCAGAACAAGGCCCTCCTCCCGTCCTTCATCTGCATATGTATCCCAGGGCCTGATCCTCAGTGGTCTTTGGGGAAGATGGTTTAGGTGAGACTGCTGCCTGTGCAGCGTGGAACGACGGGCTCCTCGGTGGCCAGCAGCTGGTGAGACACAGCCGCAGCCGTAGCTGCAGGGCTAAGACATGTCCGCCGGCCTCGCGGTTTGAGAGGCGGCCTGTACCAAGCACGCTGCTCACCCGGACTCTTGTCTCCCAGCAGCGCCCCCTGGCTCGCCTTCATCATTCTGGACATCCGGGCTCCCGAGACAAGAGCGCAGCACGAGTCGCCAGCGCTCCCGAGGCTCCCCTTCGAGCACCTGCGTGCCCTACAAGGTCCACGCCCTGGCAACCTTCGAGTGCTCGGCTACGAGCCATGCCAGCCGCCTGTGGCAGACGCTGCAGCAGTTTTGGGCCGATCACATCTCGCGGCCCTTCTCGCCACGGCGGCCGCCACTGCGCCGCATGCCCTCCCTGTCCACCTTCTACCTGCTGGACCACAACACGCGCCAGGCCGAGCTGGGCCTCGCCTACGGCGCGCCGTGCATGCGCCTCAGCAACCAGGCCTTCGTGTTCCGCGGCGGGCGGTGGACCACTGAGAGCCAGCTGGCGAGGACGCGGTCGCCGCTGCTCTCGCGGACCGCCTGGGGCTGGAAGGCGCAGGTGCAGCGGTCCAAAAGCCAAGTGTTGCTGGAGGAGAACAACTACCTGAAGCTGCAGCAGGAACTGCTCATAGACATGCTGACTGAGACCATGGCGCGCATGCACTTGCTGGAGAAGCAGCGCAACCCCGAGGTGATCCCGACGGCTGCGGCGCGCGCCGGGCAGAGGAAGATGCGCAAGCGCGCAGGCGCCAGCGCGGGCGTGCTCATGATCCAGCCGTGCGCTCTGGACTCGCAGTGACGCAATAAAGGCCGCGCTACGCATGCGCGCCTCACGCCTCGGGTCTGCCAGTGCCCCAGCGCGGGACTGGCTCCCGCGGTTCCCCGGGTCGGTCTGTGCGTGTGGGTTGGGGAGGTCTGCGTGGCCTCGGGGACTGCCCCTCGGTGCTGGGTGTCGGCAGGGGACGCAAGCCTAAGCTGCCTGTCTTGGGAGGGTGTGATGGGGCCGTGGAGGAGGGTCTGCGCGTGGCTCTCCGGGAGTGCGGAGTGGAAGCCAAGCTTGCAGCCGACATGGCCCAGATAGGGTGGAGTGGCGGGTAATGGCCTTGCAGGCCATCCAGGTAACGGAGGGCGAAGTCCCGGAGACGGAGGAACCGCGGTGCTCAGGGAATGAAGGGTGTGGTGCGGAGGGAGCGGAGGACGGTGTATGGGGTCGGGGACTTTGCACTTGGTCCGTCTTCAGGGCCTCTAGGCTCAGGAGGTTTAGAAACTAGAAGTCCCAGGGTAAGTGTTATTTTACATTCCCAAGAGAAGCTTTCTGGAAACCATGGGCTGTGCGGCCCCCACTTGCCTGTGTGGCATTTTGGAGAGTCGCGTCTCTGTTACAGGCCTTTTTTTTTTTTTTTTTTTTTTTTTTTTTTTACTTATTTTTAAACACGGGGTCTCGCCCTTGTCACCCAGGCTGGAGTGCAGTGGCGCGATGATGGCTCACTGCAACCTCGAGCTTCCGGGCTCAAGCAGTCCTCCCACCTCAGCCTCCCAAACGTGGGATTACAGGCGTGAGCCACCGCGCCGGGCTCAGGCCTCCTTTTCTTTTCTTTTCTTTTCTTTTTGAGACGGAGTTTCGCTCTTATTGCCCAGGCTGGAGTGCAATGGCGCGATCTCGGCTCACCTCAACCTCCGCCTCCTGGGTTCAAGCGACTCTCCTGCCTCAGCCTCCCAAGTAGCTGGATTACAGGCATGCGCCACCACGCCCGGCTAATTTTTTGTTTGTTTGTTTTTGAGACAGTCGCGCTCTGCCGCCCAGGCTGCCGTGCAGGGGCACGATCTCGGCTCACTGCAACCTCCACCTCGCGGGTTCAAACGATTCTTCTGCCTCAGCCTCCCGAGTAGCTGGGACTACAGGCGCTGCCACCACGCCCGGCTAATTTTTATATTTTTAGTAGAGATGGGGTTTCACCATGTTGGCCAGGCTGGTCTCAAACTCCTAATCTCGTGATCTGCCCGCCTCGGCCTCCCAAAGTGCTGGGATTACAGGCGTGAGCCACCGAGCCCGGCCTCAGGCCTCCTTTTCTACCTCCATAGAATGCAGTCTGCCTGGCCCACAGTCTTCTAAAAATTGCATTAGTTGCCAAAGTTTCAGAATTTGGAGATACCACATTAAAAATCCAGATTTCCTGGGGCCAGGCCTGGTGGCTCACGCTTGTAATCCCAGCACTTTGAGAGGTCGAGGCGGGCCTATCACGAGGTCAGGAGTTAAAAGGCCATCCTGACCAACAAGGTGAAACCATGTCTCTACTAAAAATACCAAAAATTGGCCAGATGCGGTGTCGGGTGCCTGTAAGCCTAGCACTTTGGGAGGCTGAGGTGGGCAGATTGCCTGAGCTCAGGAGTTCGAGACCAACCTGGGCAACATGGTGAAACTCCATCCCTACCAAAATACAAAAAAATTAGCCGGGTGTGGTGGCGCATGCCTGTAGTCTCAGCTACTCCTGGAGGCTGAGGTGGGAGAATCACCTGAACCTGGGAGGTGGAGGTTACAGTGAGCCGAGATCACACTACTGCACACCAATCTGGGCGACAGAGTGAGACTCTGTCTCAAAGGAAAAAAAAAAAAAATTAGCTGGGCTTGGTGGCATGCGCCCTACAGTCCGAGTTACTCCTGAGACTGGGACAGGAGAATCGCATGAACCTGGGAGGCAGAGGATGCAGTGAGCCAGCATCACACCACAGCACTCCAGAGCCAGACTCTGTCTCAAAAAAAAAATAAAGAAAATTTTAAAATCCAGCCGGGCACAGTGGCTCACACCTGTAATCCCAGCACTTTGGGAGGCCAAGGCAGGTGGGTCACCTGAGGTCAGGAGTTCGACACCAACCTGGCCGCCAACATGGTGAAACCCTATTTCTACTAAAAATACAAAAATTAGCCAAGCATGATGGCAGACGCCTGTAATCCCAGCTACTTGGGAGGCTGAAGCAGGAAAATCACTTGAACCGGAGAGGTGGAGGTTGCAGTGAGCCAAGATCGCGCCACTGCACTCCAGCCTGGATGACAAAGTGAGACTCTGTCTCAAAACAAAAACAAAAACAAAAAACAGATTAGGTTACCAAGGGATGGGAGGACACAGTTTGTGTGTGTGTGTGTGTAAACACAAGGGGGCTTCCTTTTGGGCTGATGAGAAATTGGCACTATAGTGGTGATAGTTTTGCAACATTGTAATAAAAGTCACTGAATGGTACACTTCAAAACGGTCAATTTTATATGAGTTTTATCACAATAAAAGAAGTAAAAGGAGGAAGATGCTTTACATAAAAACATTAAGCAAAACTTACATGTAGCATGCCAAAATAGCAAAACTCATAAAGGGATCCAAGAATGCCTAAAGTTTAGGGAATATTGCTTTGGCCAGACTACTTGAAAACAAATACAGTCCTAGGGTGGAGAAAGGTATCTGCCCCACCAAACCTGCAGAAGGCAGGGAGTCCCACAGCCCAGTGCGGGCCCTGTTTAGAAAGGTTCATCTACAGGTCAGATGCGGTGGCTCACGTCTGTAATCCCAGCACTTTGGGAGGCTGAGGTGGGTGGATCACCTGAGGTCAGGAGTTCGAGACCAGCCTGGCCAACATGGCAAAACCCCATCTCTACTAAAAAAAATACAAAAAGTTAGCTGGGTGTGGTAGCAGGCGCCTGTAATCCCAGCTACTTGGGAGGCTGAGGCAGGAGAATTGCTTGAACCTGGGAGGTGGAGGTTGCAGGGAGCTGAGATCGCACCATTGCAGCCTGGGCGACAGAGCGAGACTGTCAAAAATAAAAAATAAATAAAAAAAGAAAGGGGCATCCAAGTGGATCAAGGGCCTGAAATAAAAGGAGCAGGATGATATTTTGAAATATCTAACTTTGTTCTTTCTGCTCTAGAATTTCACACCCTGGTCCTGAGCCCTGCCAAAGGGCAGCCCAACTCATTGCCCCAGGAGATGAAAGCCACAGAGCATAAAGTCGGAACAAAGAAAGCAGGAACAAAGGACCCTGGCTTTCACCTCCTACAGCTCAGAATCCTCTGGGGAATAGAGCTTTGCAAAAATATTTCTGGGTTTGAGGAGGCAGGTCAAAAAGGCTGTGTAGGTTTGTCAAGCAAGAGGAGAGATGAGGGCCAGGTGTGGTGGCTCACACCTGTAATCCCAGCACTTTGGGAGGCCAAGGCAGGCGGATCATCTGAGGTCAGGAGTTCGAGACCTGCCTGGCCAACATGGTGAAACCCCGTCTCTACTAAAAATACAAAAATTAGCCAGGTGTTGTGGCACAAGCCTGTAATCCCAGTTACTCGGGAGGCTGAGGTGGGAGAATTTCTTGAACCTGGGAAGCAGACGTTGCAGTGAGCTGAGATTGTGCCACGCATTGCAGATTGGGCAACAGAGCGAGACTCCGTCTCAAAAAAAAAAAAGGAGAGATGAAGAGAAGCGTAAGTGAGGATCTCACTTGGTCTTCTATCTTGGAAAAAAATCTTTTCTTGCTGGGCACGGTGGTTCATGCCTGTAATCCCAGCAGTTTGGGAGGCTAAGGTGGGAGGATTGCTTGAGCCCAGGAGTGTCAGACCAGCCTGAACAACATGGTGAAACCCCATCTTTCCAAAAAGTAAAAAATTAGCTGGGTGTGGTGGCGCACGCCTGTATTTCCAGCTACTCTGGAGGCTGAGGTGGAAGGATCACAAACCTGGGGAGGTCAAGGCTGCAGTGAGCCGTGATAGTGCCACTGCACTCCAGCCTTGCTGACATAATAATACCCTGTCTCAAAAAAAAAAAAAAAAAAAAAAAGCCAGGCGTGGTGGCTCACGCCTGTAATCCCAACACTTTGGGAGGCTGAGGCAGGTGGATCACTTGAGGTCAGGAGTTTGAGACCAGCCTGGCCAACGTGGTGAAACCCCATATCTACTAAAAATACAAAAGTTAGCTGGGCATGGTGGCAGGCGCCTGTAATCCCAGCTACTCAGGAGGCTGAGACAGGAGAATCACTTGAACCTGGGAGGCTGAGGTTGCAGTGAGCCAGGATCATGCCATTGCACTCCAGCCTGGGCAACAACAGCAAAACTCTATCTCAAAAAAATAAAAAAGGCCGGGCACAGTAGCTCATGCTTGTAATCCCAGCACTTTGGGAAGCCAAGGCGGGCAGATCATCTGAGGTCAGGAGTTCAAGACCAGTCTGACCAACATGGTGAAACCTCATCTCTACTAGAAGTAGAAAAATTAGGCATGGTGGTGTGCATCTGTAGTTCCAGCGACTCAGGACTCTGAGGCGGGAGAATTGCTTGAACCCTGGAGGCGGAGGTTGCAGTGAGCCATGATCATGCCATTGTACTCCAGCCTGGGCAACAGAGTGAGACAAAATAGTCTTTTCTTGGTGCCACATTCCCCTTCCAGCTACTGTGTCATTTCTTTGCTTCCCTTTATAACTAAATTCCAAAAAGTTGCTTATATTCACATCCCCAATTCCTCCCTTCCCTGTTTGCTCTTAACCCCCTTCAACTTCTTTTTCTTTTTTAGAGATGGGGTCTGGCTGTGTCACCCAGGCTGGAGCGCAGTGGTGTGATCATGGCTCACTGAGTCTCAAACTCCTGGGCTCAAGTGATTCTCCCACCTCAGCCTCCCAAGTAGCTGGGACTAGAGGCATGTACCACCACGCCTGCCTAATTTTTTGTATTTTTAGTAGAGATGGGGTTTCACCATATTGGCCAGGCTGATCTTGAACTCCTGTCCTCGGGTGATCTGCCTGCCTTGGCCTCCCAAAGTGCTGGGATTACAGGTGTGAATCGCCGTGCCCAGCCTAGTTTTTTGTTTTTTGTAGACCTGGGGGTCTTGGGCCAAGCGTGGTGGCTCACGCCTATAATCCTGGCACTTTGGGAGGCCAAGGCAGGAAGATCGCTTGATGCCAGGAATTTGAGAACAGCCTGGGCAACAAAGTGAATTCTTGTCTCTACAAAAAAAAAAGGCCAGGCACAGTGGCTCACGCCTGTAATCCCAGCATTTTGGGAGGCTGAGGTGGGAGGATCACGAGGTCAGGAGTTCAAGACCAGCCTGAACATGGTGAAACCCCGTCTTCACTAAAAATACAAAAATTAGCTGGGTGTGGTGGCACACGCCTGTAATCCCAGCTACCCAGGAGGCTGAGGCAGGAGAATTGCTTGAACCCTGGAGGCAGAGGTTGCAGTGAGCCGAGATCGCACCACTGCGCTCCAGCCTGGGCGACAGTGAGACTCCATCTCAAAAAAAAAAAAAAAGAAGAAGAAAGGAAAAAAAAGTCCAGGCGTGGTGGATCATGCCTGTAATCCCAACACTTTGGGAGGCCAAGGCGGGCAGATCACTTGAGGTCAGGAGTTTCAGAGCCACCTGGCCAATACGGTAAAACCCCGTCTCTACTGAAAATACAAAAATTAGCCAGGCATCGCCGGGCATGGTGGCTCACACCTGTAATCCCAGCACTTTGGGAGGCTGAGGCAGACAGATCATGAGGTCAGGAGTTCAAGACCAGCCTGAGCAATATGGTGAAACCCCATCTCTACTAAAAATACAAAAATTAGCTGGGTGTGGTGGCACCCGCCTCTAGTCCCAGCTACTCAGGAGGCTGAGGCAGGAGAATCGCCTGAACCTGGGAGGCAGAGGTTGCAGTGAGCCGAGATTGCACGAGATTGCGCTACTGCACTCCAGTCTGGGTGACAGAGCCAGACTCTGTCTCAAAAAAAAAAAAAAAAAAAAAAAAAAATTAGCCAGGCATGGTGGTGTGTGCCTGTAGTCCAAGCTACTCGGGAGGCTGAGGCGAGAGAATCGCTTGAACCTGGGAGGCAGAGGTTGCAGTGAGCTGAGATCATGCCACTGCATTCCAGCCTGGGTGACAGAGTGAGACTGCATCTCAAAAAAAAAAAAAAAAAAAGGCCAGGCATGGTGGCTCACGCCTGTAATCCCAACACTTTGGGAGGCTGAGGTGGGCGGATCACGAGATCAGGAGATGGAGACCATCCTGGCTAACACTGTGAAACCCCGTCTACTAAAAATACAAAAATTAGCCGGGTGTGGTAGCACGCGCCTGTAGAAGCTACTTGGGAGTTTAAGGCAGGAGAATCGCTTGAACCTGGGAGGCGGAGGTTGCAGTGAGCCGAGATCGCACCACTGCACTCCAGCCTAGGCGACAGAGCGAGACTCCGTCTAAAGAAAAAAAAAAAAAAAAAGGAAGAAGAGATGAGGGGGTCTCACTACGTTATGTTGCCCAGGCTGGTCTCGAACTCCTGGGCTCAAGTGATCCTCTCACCTTGGCCTTCTAAAGTAGTGGGATTACAGGCATGAGCCACTGCACCTGGTCTACCTTGAACTTCAGATTTCTCACGTCCCACTGTCCCCCGCCTGCCCTTGTCAAGGATGCTGTGCCCTCCCTGTGGTTAAGGCTTCTGCCTAGTTTTCTATCCTCATCGCAGTGCATCAGCAGCGTCTCGTGAGTTGACCCCTCCTCCTTGAAACCCTGGCTTCACTTGGTTTCTAGGGCACCATGCTCTTCTCATTTCCCTCTGATTTACCTCACAGGTGTGCCCTCCCAGTGTCTTGCCAGTTTCATTCACTCTCATTTCTTTGAGGTATGTGCACAATGTATCCTCCCTTCCCACTTCATGTTTTCTTTTGTTTTTTTTTTTTTTTTTGAGACGGAGTCTCGCTCTGTCGCCCAGGCTGGAGTGCAGTGGTGTGATCTCGGCTCACTGCAAGCTCCACCTCCGGGTTCACGCCATTCTCCTGCTTCAGCCTCCTGAGTAGCTAGGACTACAGGCGCCCGCCACCACGTCCAGCTAATTTTTTTTTTGTATTTTTAGTAGAGACGGGTTTCACTGTGTTAGCCAGGATGGTCTCCATCTCCTGATCTCGTGACCCGCCTGCCTCAGCCTCCCGAAGTGTTGGGATTACAGGTGTGAGCCACCACGCCTGGCCCTTTTTTTTTTTTTTTTTTTTGAGATGCAGTCTCACTCTGTCACCCAGGCTGGAATGCAGTGGCATGATCTCAGCTCACTGCAACTTCTGCCTCCTGGATTGCAGCAATTCTCCTGCCTCAGCCTCCTGACTAGCTGGGATTACAGGTGTCCGCCACCATGCCCAGCTGATTTTTGTATTTTTGGTAGAGATGGGGTTTCACCATGTTGGCCAGGCTGGTTTTGAACCCCTTATCTCAGGTGATCCACCCACCTCGACCTCCCAGAGTACTGGGATTACAGGTGTGAGCCACCGTGCCTGGCCCCCACTTCTTGTTTCTAGCACCCATTAACACTTGACCTACTACATATTTTATTTATTCTTAGTCTCCTCCAACTAAAACATAAGCTCTATGGGGTTTGTTGTTCTGTTCCCGCCTGTATCTCAGTGTGGAGAAGTGCTCCCCACTTATTTGGCCCTCTCCAAATAGTTGTATTGCTATTTTTATTTTTATTTTTTTATTTATTTTGAGATGGAGTCTCACTTTGTCGCCCAGGCTGGAGTGCAGTGGCACAATTTCAGCTCACTCCAACCTTCGCCTCCCAGGTTCAAGCTATTCTCCTGCCTCAGCCTCCCAAGTATCTGGGACTGCAGGCACACACTACCATGCTGGACTAATTTTTGTATTTTTAGTAGAGACGGGGTTTCACCATATTGGTCAGGCTGGTCTCGAACTCCTGACCTCATAATCCACCCGTCTCAGCCTCCCAAAGTGCTGGGATTACCGGCGTGAGCCACCGCGCCCAGCCTATTTTTTCTTTGAGACGTAGTCTCACTCTGTTGCCCAAGCTGGAGTGCAGTGGCGCAATCTCGGCTTACTGCAACCTCTGCCTCCCGAGTTCAAGTGATTCTCCTACCTCAGCCTCCCAAGTAGCTAGGATTACAGGTCTGCACGACCACGATTGGCTAATTTTTGTGTTTTTAGCAGAGGTGGGGTTTTGCCATGTTGACCGGGCTGGTCTCAAACTCCTGACCTCAACTGATCCGCCCACCTTGGCCACCAAAGTGCTGGGATTACAGGCGTGAGGCACGATGCTTGGACCTCTCCAAGTACTTCTAGAATGAACAAAGCTCCACAAGAGATAGGCACCTGAATCCAGAGGAGCAGATACTGCTTAGCCATTGTCACAGATTTCTGCACCCTTAGGAGGCAGGAGAGGTGTCCAGGATGCTGTTGGGACTTCTGGTTATATCTGGTCAGCCCTGCTCTGACTGAAGCTGCAGCTGTGGCTCATGGTTCTGTACCCTGGGTCACTCTTCCCAATCTCTCTCCCCATGTTGACCAGGCTGGTCTCAAACTCCTGGCCTCAACTGATTCACCCACCTTGGCCCCCAGAGTGCTGGGATTATAGGCATGGAATTACATGGATTACAGTTTCCTGGAATGTCCCAAGTTAACTATGCCGAAGTTCCAGGATCAAGCTCTGTTTTTGTGAGGATTCAAGCTAAGGCAATGAGTAATAGAGGTAGCACTAGAAGACAGACCTAGCGATAGGAATCTAAAAGTAGATCACTTACCATTCGGAAGGCAACAAAGACACACACACACACACACACACAGTTGGTGATAACCTTGTGTCCTGAAGCATGAGACTCTTACCTGTGGTAGATAAGGAGATAGAAGTTGAAGAGAAAGCTTGGCTTATGCAGTAGCTTTGTCACTTGAAAGATGTGGAAGCAGCTGCTGTTGCAAGGATTATGGAGGTGGCTAGCTTTTCTAAATCACCTTAGCAGCTTTGAAGCAAGAGAATGAAAGATGCAGTTCAGCCTGCTATCTACTCAGAGTATGCTGTGAAAGGCAGGAACTCTCCCAAGACAACATGTAAAGAAAACCTTGCTTCCGTGGCCAGGAGGCAGAGCATGCTGAAAATGAGAACCAATATTTCATCACAAGAGCAGCAGAGCTGCAAAAGACACTTGTGCATCCTCAGCAGGTCTCCTGTACTAAAGTGGGGGCTTCTATTATTTTTATTTTTGTAGAGACGGGGATCTTGCTATGTTCCTCAGGCTGGTTTCGAACTCCTGGCCTCAACTGATCCACCTGCCATGGCCTCACAAACTTCTGGGATTACAGACATGAGCCACAGTAACCGGCCCATTGGGTGCTTTTAAAGGAATAAATGGGACTCTAGGCCTGACGTGGGATGTTTGGGTGGATGTACCAAAGAACCTTGAGCCCCCAGAGTCCCCTGAAGCATCCTGGCCAGCAGAAACTGCCTTCTTCCCATTGACAGAGGAGGACAGCTTCATCTAGCCTGGAGACAGTGCAGAGATCTCCCCGTTACAGGTGAGTACCCTGTAAGATAACACTAATCCTCCTCAAGATCCACCTCCTCTCATTGCCTCCAGACCAACAAGCAGGATCACATCTCAGCATAGCCCAAGCAGTGAAATATTTCCTACCCTAGGAGGAAATCACTCAGTCACCCAAAAAGTTGCAGGACCTGGGAGAACACTTGCGGGAGCGATCATGAGGGTACCAGATCCAGGTGGGGTACCAGATCCAGGCGGGGAGGGGGCAATAGAAGACCGGTGGGGCATTGATTGACAAGGGTGCATGCCCCAAGACTCAGGATTTAAAGTCCTGTCAAAGGACAGCTGGAGCTTGTCTTCACGCCAGACGGCTCCCGGAAGCTTGGACACCATAGTGGCCTACCATTAATGAGGTAGAGATGAAGGCTCAGGGAAGTGGGAATGTTAGAACGGATTTATTACATGAGACCAGAAGGTGTTTCATGGAGCTGCCCAGAGGAGGCGCTCTTCACTAAGGCAATGCAGAATGTGGACGTGAGGGGGCACTGGTGTCATAGAAAGCTGGTGGTGGCTGTGCTCTGTGGCTAGGAGATGCTGCCATGGAACTTGGCTCCTTAGTGTCTTGGGGATGACACGATTCTGGAATGGCATTTAACCATTCTGGATGGCAACATTTAACCCTCAGAAGCCAAGAGGGCTCTTATACTGTGTAGCAAGATTGGAATGGCAACTGTGGGAGGGGGAGTGCTTCTCAGGGATCTATGGCAATGATGATAATAGGTCATTGATGGGCAGCCAACCAAAGAAAGGGAGGCAGACAGTGACTGACAGAAAAGGTTGGGAACAAGGATGAGGGTCATGCTGCAGAGATCTGACAGTCTTCCGCTGACAGTGCCATACCCCTGTGGGAAAGACAGGAAAACCTCCAAATTAACTGAAATTCAGTTTCTACCACTACATTAGAGTGGCAGGTTTGACCTACAGATTGAATTACAGAAAGATATTTTAGGCCAGGTGCAGTGGCTCACGCCTGTAATCCCAGCCCTTTGGGAGGTTAAGGCAGGAAGATCGCTTGAAGCAAGAAGTTCAAGACCAGCCTGGGCAATATAATGAGACTCCCATCTCTACAAAAAGAAAATCAAAGAAAAAGAAATTTTGTTTTGTTTTTGAGAGAGTCTCGCTCTGTCACCCAGGCTGAAGTGCAGTGCTGTGATCTCAGCTCACTGCAACCTCCGCCTCCCAGATTCAAGTGATTCTCCTGCCTCAGCCTCCCAAGTAGCTGAGATTACAGGCACCCGCCACCACGCCTGGCTAATTTTTTGTATTTTTAGTAGAGACGGCATTTCACTGTGTTGGCCAGGATGGTCTCGATCTCCTGATCTCATGATCCACCTGCCTCGGCCTCCCAAAGTGCTGGGATCACAGATGTGAGCCACTGCGCCCAGCCAAAAGAAAAACATTTTAAAACCGTTTGAGAATGTGGAGTGAGCTATACCAGCCACAGGGACGAAGGAGGAGGCCAAGCAGTAAGA
Organism: Homo sapiens; assembly: GCF_000001405.40. Taxonomy (NCBI): domain Eukaryota; kingdom Metazoa; phylum Chordata; class Mammalia; order Primates; family Hominidae; genus Homo; species Homo sapiens. Next base: position 433,289 of record NW_016107298.1, on the reverse strand, counting down.
GATGCTAAGGAATGGCCTGTGGGGAAGTAAATGTGACGTATGCATCGGAAGCAGACTCAGCAAGCAGCAGTGACGAGACCAGGACCTCAACCTGCAGCTAGGCACTCTGAAGCCCCTAACACAGGTGACAGGTGGCGTCTGGGACTGTAACAAGTACCAGTAAAAATTGTCAGTGGCGGCCAGGAGTGGCAGCTCATGCCTGTAATCCCAGCACTTTGGGAGACGGAGGCGGGTGGATCACTTGAGGTCAGGAGTTCAAGACTAGCCTGGGCAACTTGGTGAAGCCCCATCTCTACTAAAAATACAAAAACTAGCTGGGCGAGGTGGCGCACACCTGTAGCCCCAGCAACTCGGGAGGCTGAGGCAGGAGAATCGCTTGAACCCGGGAGGCAGAGGTTGTAGTAAGACGAGATTACACCACTGCACCCCAGTCTGGGCAACAGAATGAGACTCGGTCTCAAAAAAAAAAAAATTGTCAGTGGCGATTGTGCAGGGATGGTTGTCCAAAATAGAATATTAGCCAGAAAAGCACAAGAAGCACAAATCTTTAGAGGAAAAACTGACCCTGCAAAGCCCAGAAGTCCTTGAGGCCGGGCGCAGTGGCTCATGTCTGTAATCCCAGCACTTTGGTAGGCTGAGGCGGGCAGATCGCCTGAGGTCAGGAGTTCAAGACCAGCCTGGCCAACATGATGAAACTCCATCTCTACTAAAAATACAAAAGTTAGCCGGGTGTTATGGCATCCACCTGTAGTCCCAGCTACTTGGGTGGCTGAGGCAGGAGAATCACTTGAACCCGGGAGGTGGAGGTTGCAGTGAGCCGAGATTGTGTCACTGCACTCCAGCCTGGGCGACAGTGCAAGACTCCATCTCAAAAAAACAAAAACAAACAACAACAACAAAAAAAAACAGCCTGAGCAACATGGCCAGACTCCATCTTTACAAAAAAATTTTTTTAATTAGCCAGAGGTAGTGGCATGCACCTGTGGTCCCAGCTACTCTGGAGGCTGAGGCAGGAAAATCGCTTGAACCTGGGAGGTTGAGGCTGCAGTGAGCTATGATCACACCACTGCACTCCAGCCTGGGCAAAAGAGCAGGACTCTGTCTCAAAAAAATAAAAATAAAAGGTGCTTGAGAGAACGTGTGCAGGGTAAAAAGGATGAAAAACATATGCGACTGTGCCACAGCCACAGGTCCCATGGAGGATCCATGCATTGGCCTTGTGTTGGCCAGGATGGAGCTGTGCCCTCCTTTCCGTAGGGGCCCCAGGGTGTCTGATTACAGCTGGCAGGGTGTTCTCCAGAAAGTTACCTGCCTGTCCCATGTCTGGCCAGGAGTACAGTGTTCACAACCACAGTCCCCACTTCTCTACTTTTCCTGCCTGCATCTTGCTTAGCTCCGAATGGCTTCCCACTATACACTTTAATCTTGCTCCTGCCAGACATGGTGGCACATAGCTGTGGTCCCAGCTACTTGGGAGCCTCAGATGGGAGGATGGCTCGAGCCCAAGAGTTCGAGCCTGCAGTGAGCCATGATTGTGCCCCTGTACTCCAGCCTGGGCAACCGAGCGAGACCCCATCTCTAATAAAAAAAAAAAAAGACCTAGCAATGTCCACACATCTAGCCGGTTCATCCTGTGACTGCAGGGTATTTCCCAGCGGGGGAGTGCCATGCTTTTCCTCTCTGCCTGATGGAAGGGGACAGTCAGGCTGGTCCCACTTTGGGGCCCTTTCATCACCCAGGCTCTGGTTCAAGGCATAGCCTAGCCCTCTCTCCTGGAGCTCCAGCTGGAGCAGCCACTGCTTCACTGGGCAGGAGGATGAGGGACATGAGAGGGTGGCCCCAAATCAGGGCTGATGATGGAGGTGGCCCCGGCAGGTCTCTGCTCTGACCTGGGGGCCTCATTTCTGCTCCTCAGCCCAGGTGGTGGCTCGATGAGCAGCATTACCACAGGTCTGGGGCCTGGATCTGGATCTCAGCCCGTCAGAAGTGTGAAAGCCACACAAGGAGCTCCTTGACCCTGCCATGGCGGTTGCCACAGCAATGCCTCCCTGGTCCCCTTTGCAGCTATGCAGAGAGATGGGGACATCAGTACCCTGCAGACAGAGGGGAAATGGCCTATGCAAACCCAGTACAAAGCATATTTTTAAACCTATGGTAATAATTAACACTCGCCCGGCACAGTGGTGCCCACCTGTAGTCCTAGTCACTCTGAAGGCTGAGTCGGGAGGACCACTTGATCCCAGCAGTTTGAGGCTGCGGTAAGCTATGATTGCTATGAGCTACAAGCAAGACCCCATCTTAAAAACCCCAAAAAACCTTGCTCCTGCCTCAACCATCATCTCCAACACTTGTGTGTTGGTCTCAACTCTCCTATGACACTCTCGAGACAGTCCCACCCTTAATGATGCCCCTGGCCTGGGCAGTCTGGAAGCACCCCTTCTCTGCACGGCCTTGCTTGCTGCCTATGCTCACACATGTCAAAAAGAGGGTCCAGGCCAGGGGTGGTGGCTCATGCCTGTAATCCAAACATTTTGGGAGGCTGAGGTGGGCGGATCACTTGAGATCAGGAGTTCGAGACCATCCTGGCCAACATGGTGAAACCCCATCGCTATTAAAAATACAAAAATTAGCTGGGTGTGTTGGTGTGCACCTGTAATCCCAGCTACTTGGAAGGCTGAGGCAGAGAATCACTTGAACCCAGGAGGCAGAGGTTGCAGTGAGCTGAGATCGTACCACTTGCACTCCAGCCTGGGCGACACAGTGAGACTGTGTCTCAAAAAAAAAAAAAAAAAAAAAAAAAGGAAGGTCTAGATAACTTAGAAGCCTGGCCCAGTTCTTTCCCACGTGCACATGGGAAATGATGGCTGCAGAAGCCTGGTGGCCACTGGAGTGGACTGTGTAGGGACCAAAGGCCCATGACAGCCTGCTGGGTCTCCAGGAACAGTGGAAAGAAGGAAGCCTATGCTGAGACGGGATGGGCCTCGTGTGGGGCTGGGGAGCATGAGTGGCCCCAGGCTGGGCCTGCACAGGCTGCCCCTGGAGCCACAGAGCAAGGGCTTTGGCCCCTGCCACACTGGAAGCCATCGTCAGTGGTGTGTCTGCTGCTTTCTGTTCCCTCCTAAGATACCGCACATATAAAAACCTAACAATACTGTAATATCAAATACTTAGTCTATTTTCTCCCAGTCCTGTGTATGTCCTGAGAAGGGAAAGGCAGGTGGCAGGGGCAGTGGGAGCTGGGACTCGCAAACCTCAAGCCGACCTGTGGGGAGACAGAGATCAACCAGTCACAATGCGAGGTCTTCATTTGCCTCTTGATTCAAACAAACCTAACAAAACAGAACAACATATACCACCAACAAAGGCAACACATAAGACAACTGGAGAAGAGTGAAAATGGACCAAATATTTTTTTTTCTTTTTTTTGAGACAGAGTCTCATTCTGTCACCCAGGCTGGAGTGCAGTGGCGCAGTCTCGGTTCACTGCAACCTCCGCCTCCTGGGCTCAAGCTATTCTCCTGCCTCAGCCTCCCAAGTAGCCAGGAGTACAGGCGCACGCCACCACGCCCAGCTAATTTTTGTATTTTTTAGTAGAGATGGGGTTTCACTATATTGGCCAGGCTGGTCTCAAACTCCCGACCTCATGATCAGCTTGCCTCGGCCTCCAAAAGTGCTGGGATTACAGACATGAGCCACCGTCCCCAACTGGATCAAATATTTTCTATTGCAGTATTCTTAGATTTCTACTGCGGTATTGTTAGATGCATGCATGACATGTATAGATTAGGATTATAGGTTTTTTTTATCCTTATCTTTTGAAGATATTACTAGAGTGTTTACAGATAAAGGGATATGATGTCTGCCATTTGTTTCCAAGTAGTCTGGGAAGTCAGTAGAGAAAATGGGTGGGTCTATATAGGAAAAAAGTTTGGTCATCAATTATTATAGAAACTGGATGATGAGCACCTGTAATCCCAGCACTTTGGGAGGCCGAGGCAGGCGGATCACGAGGTCAGGAGATCGAGACCATCCTAGTCAACATGGTGAAGCCCCGTCTCTACTAAAAATACAAAAAAATGAGCTGGACGTGGTGGCAGGTGCCTGTAGTCCCAGCTACTCGGGAGGCTGAGGCAGGAGAATCGCTTGAATCCGGGAGATGGAGGTTGCAGTGAGCCCAGATAGCACCACTGCACTGTGGCGACAGAGCGAGACTCCATCTAAAAAAAAAACAAAAAGGAACTGGGTGATGAGTACATGAGGGTTTATAATACTGTTCTCACTAATTTTGTTTATGGTTGGATATTTTCTATGATAAAATTTTTTTCAGGCTGGGGGCAGTGGCTCACACCTGTAATCCCAAAACCTTCGGAGGCCGAGGCAGGCGGATCACCTGAGGTCGGGAGTTCGAGACCAGCCTGACCAGCATGGAGAAACCCCGTCTCTACTAAAAATACAAAATTAGCCAGGCATGGTGGCACATACCTGTAATCCCAGCTACTCAGGAGGCTGAGGTAGGAGAATCACTTGAACCCAGGAGGCGGAGGTTGTGGTGAGCTGAGATCGTGCCATTGCATTCCAGCCTGGACAACAGTGGGCAACAAGAGCGAAATTCTGTCTCAAAGAAAAAGAAAAAAAAATTTTTTTTTCATTGGCTGGGCGTGGTGGCTCACTTCTGTAATCCAAGCACTTTGGGAGGCTGAGGCAGGCAGATCACCTGAGGTCAGGAGTTCAAGACTAGCCTGACCAACATGGTGAAACCCCGTCTCTACTAAAAATACAAAACTTAGCTGGGCATGGTGGTGCGTGCCTGCAGTCCCAGCTGCTCAGGAGGCTGAGGCAGGAGAATCACTTGAACCTAGGAGGCAGAGGTTGCAGTGAGCTGAGATCGCGCCATTGCAGTCCAGCCTGGGTGACGGAGCGAGACTCTGTCTCAAAAAAAAAAAAAAGAAAAGAAAAGAAAATCACCCTCAGTTCCCTCAGAAAGATAGAAGCAATTTAATTTGAAGTCAGCAACAAGAAAGCCAAATGCAAAAAACTCTACAAATTATTAGCAAACCAAATTCAACAATGTATTGAAGTGGCAATTTGTCATGAGCAAGCTGAGTTTATCCTAGGACTACAAAGGTGACCAATGTTAGGAAAAAATCTATAAATATAATATATACATAAACAGATTAAAAGAGAAAAAGCAGGCTGGGCGCAGAGGCTCACACCTGTAATCCCAGCATTTTGGGAGGATGAGGTCGGCAGATCACTTGAGTCCAGGAGTTTGAGACCAGCCTGGACAACATGGCGAAACCCCATCTCTACAAAAAAATTAGCTGGGCATGGTGGCATGTGCCTCCCATCTACTTGGGAGGCTGACGTGGAAGAATCACTTGAGCACAGGAGGTCAAGGCTGCAGTGAGCTATGATTGAACCACTGCACTTCAGCCTGGGCAACAACACAAGACCCTCTCTTAAAAAAAAAAAAAAGGAAACAAAAGGAAAACAAGAGAAAAGCCATACGATCTCAATAGATACAGAAAAATCATTTGAGGCCAGGTGCGGTGGCTCATGCCTGTAATCCCAGCACTGTGGGAGGCCAAGGTGGGTGAATCACTTGAGGTCAGGAGTTTGAGACCAGCCTGGGTAACATGGTGAGACCCTGACTCTACTAACAACACAAAAATTAGCCAGGCATGATGGCACAAGACTGTACTCCCAGCTATTCGGGAGGCTGAGGTGGGAGGATCGCTTGAGTCCAGAAGGTCAAGGCTGCAATGAGCTGTGATCCTGCCAGTATGCTCCAACCTGGGCGACAGAGTGAGACCCTGTCTCAAACAACAACAACAACAAAAGGCTGGGCACAGTGGCTCACGCCTGTAACCCCAGCACTTTGGGAGGCCAAGGCCAGTGGATCACGTGAGGCCAGGAGTTTGAGACCAGCCTGGGCAACTTGGTGAAAACCCATCTCTAGTAAAAATACAAAAATTAGACAGGTGTGATGGCACACACTACTTTGGAGGCTGGGGCATGAGTTGCTTGAACCCAGGAGGCGGAGGTTGCAGTGAGCCAAGATCGTGCCACTGCGCTCCAGCCTGAGCAACAGAGGAAGACTCCGTCTCAGATAATAATAAATTAATAAATACTACAATTTGTTTATTCATTCACCCGTTGATGGAAATTATTTATGTTGTTCCCAGGTTTGGCTATTATAAATAAAGCTGCGTCATGCCTGTAATCGCAGCACTTTGAGAGCCTGAGGCAGGAGAATCATTTGAACCCAGGAATTTGAGACCAGCCTGGGCAACAAATTGAGACTCTGTCTCTATTAAAAAAAAAAAAAATTAAATTTAGCCAGATGCATGGGCGCAGTGGTTCACACCTGTAATCCTAGCATTTTGGGAGGCTGAGGCAGGCAGATTACTGAGGTTGGGAGTTCAAGACCAGTCTGGCCAACATTGTGAAACCCTGTCTCCACTAAAAATGTAAAAAATTAGCCATGTGCAGTGGCGTGCACCTGTAGTCCCAGCTACTTAGGAGGCTGAGGCAGAAGAATCACTTGAACCCGAGAAAGTGGAGGCTGCGGTAAGCTGAGATCGCACCACTGCACTCCAGCCTGCGCTACAGAGCAAGACTTCTTCTCAAAAAAAAAAAAAAAAATGGCTGGGCGCAGTGGTTCACGCCTGTAATCCCAGCACTTTGGGAGTCCAAGGCGGGCAGATCACGAGGTCAGGAGACCGAGACCATCCTGGCTAACATGGTAAAACTCCGTCTCTACTAAAAACACAAAAACTTAGCCAAGTGGGAGTGGTGGTGGGTGCCTGTAGTTCCAGCTACTAGGGAGGCTGAGGCAGGAGGATCCCTGGAACCCGGGAAGCGGAGCCTGCAGTGAGCCGAGATTGCATCACTGCACTCCAACCTGGGCAACAGAGCGAGCTTCTGTCTCTAAATAAATAAATAAATAAATAAATAAAATAATTAGCCAGATGCAGTGGTATATGTCTATAGTCCTAGCTACTGGGGAGGCTGAGGCAGGAGGATGGCTTGAGTCCAGGAGTTCGAGGCTGCAGTGAGCCATGATCGTACTACCGCACTCCAGTCTAGGTGACAGAGTGAGACCCTGTCTCAAAAAAAAAAAAAAAGATACATAAATAAATGAAGAACTGCTTTGAGTTCTTTTGGGTATATACACAGAAGCAGAATTACTACATATAGTTCTGTGTTAAATATTTTGAGGAGCCTCCATACCATTTTCCACAGCAGCTGTATCTTTTTCCATTCCCACCAACAGTGCACAAGGGTTCCAGTTTCTCCACATCCTTACAACACTTATTTTCTTTTTCTTTTTTTATTTTTTTGAGACAGAGTTTCGCTCTTGTCACCGAGGCTGGAGTGGAATGGCACGATCTTGGCTCACTGCAACCTCTGCCTCCCGGGTTCAAGTGATTCACCTGCTTCAGCCTCCTGAGTAGTGGGGATTACAGGTGCCCGCCACCACACCTAGCTAATTTTTGTATTTTTTTTAGTAGAGACGGTGGGGGGTTTCACCATGTTAGCCAGGCTGGTCTTGAATTCCTGACCTCAGGTGATCTGCCCGCCTTGGCCACCCAAAGTGCTGGGATTACAGGCGTGAACCACCGCGCCCAGCCAACACTTGTTATTTTCTGTTGCTTTAATACTAGCCATCCTGATGGGTGTGAGGTGGTACCCCACTGTGGTTTTGTGTTTCCTGTCTTTCGTTAATACAATTAATACTGCAATGAGGCCGGGTGCGGTGGCTTGCATGGTGGCTCACTTTGGGGGGCCGAGGCCGGCAGATCACCTGAAGTCAGATCACCTGAGGTCGCGAGTTCGAGACCAGCCTGACCAACATGAAGAAACCCCATCTCTACTAAAAATACATTAGCCAGGCATGGTGGCGCATGCCTGTAATCCCAGCTACTCGGGAGCCTGAGGCATGAGAATCGCTTGAGCTAGGGAGGCTGAGGTTGTGGTGAGCCGAGATGGCGCCATTGCTCTCCAGCCTGGGCAACAAGAGTGAAACCCTGGCCAAAAAAAAAAAAAAAAAAAAACCGCAATGAAAAGCCTTGAGTATAAGGTAGGGTGCTCAATCTTCCTCCTAATCACAGAAATGTAAAATAAAAATTAAAAATAAACTAAGAGCCATCCTGGCCAACATGGTGAAACCCCATCTCTACTAAAAATACAAAAATTAAGGCCAGGCACGGTGGCTCATGCCCGTAATCCCAGCACTTTGGGAGGCCGAGGCCGGTGGATCACGAGGTCAAGAGATCGAGGCTATCCTGGCCAACATGGTGAAACCCTGTCTCTACTAAAAATACAAAAAATTATCTGGGCGTGGACCTGTAGTCCCAACTACTCGGGAGGCTGAGGCAGGAGAATCACTTGAACCCGGGAGGCAGAGGTTGCAGTGAGCCGAGATTGCGCCACTGCACTCCTGCCTGGGCGACAGAGCAAGACCCTGTCTCAAAAACAAACAAAGAGGCCGGGGGCGATGGCTCATGTCTGTAATCCCAGCACTTTGGGAGGCCGAGGCAGGTGGATCACAAGGTCAGGAGTTCAAGACCAGCCTGGCCAACATGGTGAAATCCCGTCTCTACTAAAAATACAAAAATTGGCCAGTTGTGGTGGTGCATGCCTGTAATACCCAGCTTCTTGGGAGGCTGAGACAGGAGAATCGCTTGAACCCGGGAGGCAGAGGTTGCAGTGAGCACCGCACTTCAGCCTGGGAGATGAGAATCCGCCTCAAAAAAAAAAAAAAAAAAAAAAAAAAAGGAGATCTCTGCTCTCTTGACGGATTAGCAAAAACCCAAGAGTTTGCAACATCCACTGCCAGCAAGGCTGGGGGAGGGCACTCACATAAATGCTGAAGAAAATGCACGATGGAGCAATTCCTACGGGGAGCAAAACTGCGTGTGCCTTCACCCTCTGATCAGGCAATTCCACTTCACGGAATGTATCTCAAACACGCACCGATTTCCCTCTGTCATAAATAGCCCTGACATAAGGCGCTTGGTAGTCACTGTGGTGCTTTCCTCAGGGTCCCCTCCCACAGGCGGCTACTGAGGTCATTTTATCAGGCCCCCTGGGCTCACCTTTTGTTCCATCCCGCACAGGTGAGCCGTCTGGGCAGGCTTTGGCCAGCTTCGCGCAGGTGCCACTGCACAGACTCTCCCTTCAGAGCAGCGCTGGAGGACGGGGTCAGGAGTCAGTGCACAAATCCCTCCTGTCCTTGGGGCCGGGCAGCCACCGCGGCGGGGAGACCCCTCGCTAAGGAGGAGTGTTGGTGTTGCCTCTACTCGCCGGGTCGCCCAGGGCCCTTCACTTCCGAATCAACTCCCCACAGCCGCTGCTTTCAGGGGAAGCCAAGCCAAGTCACATACGGCACGCGCACTGGATCAAAATAATACACGCCTCGACATGCGCCAGACGGTATGTCTAGTATTTAAAGAGCAGGGCTGAAAATGAAAGGTCCTTACCCGGCTTCCTTGCGATTTTCCCACTGCTTCCCCGCGCCAGGGCCGCCTCCTCCGCGGTGCGCGGGAGTTCGGGGAGCGCGCGCCCCCTGCCGGCCGGCCGGAGCGCGGGGCGGGTTTCGCGCCCTCCGTGACCTGGTAGAGCTTGGAATTGCTTCGCTTGTTCTCGCCCGAGGCTACTTTGAGGTTCTAAGTGACTCCCCGTTCCCCGGGTGCCTCGCCGTCGAGAAGCCCAAAGCTTCTCCATCTCCAGCGCTGGATGAGGCTCCCCTAGTTTTCCTTCTGCCCAGATACCCTGTGCTCTCACACAGGTCGTGCTGATGGCGGGGAACCGGGACTGCCGTTGTACGTGGCCTGGAGCTCACTTCCGCTCTCCCCCTCGCTGGACCTCTGACCGCAGGTCTCTGAGTCTGTTTCTTGGAGATTTGGGATAGCTGGGAGGCCCCATGAGAGCGAGACGGTGAAGCTACCAGCAATGGGGTCTGGTTCTGATGTAGCCATTGACCCCAGCTTGCACAGCTGAGCTTGCACATTCCTCCTCTCCTCCCCAGCCCCTGCCCCCGCTCCCAGCTGTGGCTGCCCCATGTCCTCTCCAGACCACCCCGCACAGCTGTGGCTGCCCCATGTCCTCTCCAGACCACCCCGCACAGCTGTGGCTGCCCTCCCAGCCTCCCTCTCACACCGCTCTGTGTGACTTTGTCCTGTGCTTGCTCCTGACACATGGACTTCGCTTTATCTTTCTTTTTTTTTTTTTAATTTTAATTAAAAAAAAAATTTTTTTTTTTGAGACAGAGTTTCTCTTTTGTTGCCCAGGCTGGAGTGCAATGGCGCACTTTCGGCTCACAGCAACCTCTTCCTCCTGGGTTCAAGCGATTCTCCTGCCTCAGCCTCCCGAGTAGCTGGGATTACAGGCATGTACCACATGCCCGGCTAATTTTGTATTTTTAGTAGAGACAGGGGTTCTCCATGTTGATCAGGCTGGTCTCGAACTCCTGACCTCAGGTGAACCGCCCACCTCAGCCTCCCAAACTGCTGGGATTGCAGGCATGAGCCACCGCGCCCGGCCTCAATTTATCTTTTATACTTGCCCAGGGCCAAAGGGAAGTCTTACATTAGTCAAACTCACCAGATTCAGTAAAAACTCAACCCTAAAATAATTATTTGAGACCGTGCAGTGGCTCACGCCTATAAGCCCAACAATTTGGAAGGCTCAGAGGTAGGCTTACTTGAGCCCAGGACCTCAAGACCAGCCCAGGGGGCCAGGCGCCGTGGCTCACGCCTGTAATCCCAGCACTCTGGGAGGCCCAGGTGGGTGGATCATGTGGTCAAGAGATCGAGACCATCCTGGCCGACATGGGGAAACCCCGTCTTTACTAAAAATACAAAAATTAGTGTGATGGCGCCCGCCTATAGTCCCAGCTACTTGGGAGGCTGAGGCAGGAGAATTGCCTGAACCCGGGAGGTGGAGGTTGCAGTGAGCCGAAATCGTGCCACTGACTCCAGCCTGGCGACAGAGTGAAACTCTTGTCAAAAAAAGAAGAAGAAGAAAAAAAAAGAAACCCAGAAAACAAAACGAGTCTTCGTCTCTACAAAAAATTAAAAAATACTTAAAAAATAATTACTTGGGTGTGGTGGCACCTGCCTGTGGTCCCAGCCAGCTGGGAAGTTGAGATGGGAGGATAGCTTGGGCCCAGGAGTTGGAGGCTCCAGTGAACTGTGATTGTGCCACTGGACTCCAGCCTGCGTGACACAGCAAGATTCCACTTCTAAAAAATAATTATAATCTGTCAAATTTCGGGACAGATAATCTTGGCCTCCCAGCCCAAGATTTGATTTGATTTCATTTTATTTTAGAGACGGAGTCTCGCTTTGTCGCCCAGGCTGGAGTACAATGGCACAGTCTCAGCTTACTGTAAACTCCACCTCACGCGTTCAAGCTATTCTTCTGCCTCAGCCTCTTGAGTAGCTGGGATTACAGGCGCGTGCCACCATACTCAGCTAATTTTTGTATTTTTAATAGAGATGGGGTTTCACCATGTTGGTCAGGCTGGTCTCGAACTCTTGACCTCGTGATCCGCCCACCTAGGCCTCCCAAAGTGCTGGGATTACAGGGGTGAACCATCCCGCCTGGCCAAGTTTTTATTTTAACAACTACTGTGTGTGAGAGAAGGGGGTGGGCTAGAGTAGGGTAATATGTACACGCTATGGCTGAAACAGAAAAATGGTAACTTTATTTTCTACTTCCCAGCATGCCCTGCTCTGAGCCCTCATTCCTAGTGAAGGTGGAAACAGAGCAAACTTGCTCTTGTATGGATTTAATTTAGTCTTTTTTTGTAATTACTCAGCCTTTCAGGTTGCTTTCTTCTCCGCTGCTCATTCTGTAGCAGACACTGGGTTGCCTACATAATCCCTTTTCCCCATTCTTTGCCAAGACCTCTGACTTTCTTTGGGATCCACCCTTGGAGAAGGTGCCTCTTGTCCTGGTTCAGGGACATATCCTGACGTGTCTAAGCCAATCACTGTAATGCCATTTCTCTCACCTCGGTTGGCTGGGGTGTGCATGAGACCAATTTCTGACCATGAAAACTCATGGATGTCTGCCATGGGGTCCATTCTTGAAAAGAAACACAAGTGGCCGGGCGCAGTGGCTCACGCCTGTAATCCCAGCACTTTGGGAGGCCGAGGCAGGCGCATCACGAGTTCAGGAGATCGAGACCATCCTGGCTAACACGGTGAAACCCCGTCTCTACTAAAAATCCAAAAAAAAATTAGCCAGGCGTGGTGGCGGGCGTCTGTAGTCCCAGCTACTCAAGAGGCTGAGTTGGGAGAATGGCGTCAACCCGGGAGGCGGAGCTTGCAGTGAGCCAAGATCGGGCCACTGCACTCCAGCCTGGGCAACAGACAGAGCGAGACTCCGTCTCAAAAAAAAAAAAGAAACACAAGTAAGGAAACTGAATTTGTTATCCATACTTTCCGAAAAGAAAAACCCAGGCCTGGATGATTTAACCGCTTAGTATTTTGTTTTATTTTATTTTATTTATTTATTTTAGAGACGGAGTCTTGCTCTGTCACCCAGGCTGAAGCATGGAGTGCAGTGGCCCGATCTCGGCTCACTGCAACCTCCGCCTGCCGGGTTCAAGCAATTCTCCTGCCTCAGCCTCCCGAGTAGCTGGGAATACAGGTGCATGCCGCTGCCACGCCTGGCTAATTTTTGTGTTTTAGTAGGGACAGGGTTTCACCGTGTTGCCCAGGCTTGTCTCAAACTCCTGAGCTTAGGCAATGTGCCCGCCTCGGCCTCCCCAACTGCTAATATTGCAGGCCTGAGCCACCGTGCCTGGCTTTTTATTTTATCTTTTGGAGAGGTAGGGTCTTGCTATGTTGCCAGGGCTTGGCTCAAACTCTTGGCCTCAAGCAATCCTCCTGCCTCGGCCTCCCAAAGTGCTTGAATTACAGGCAAAAGCCGTCACACTCAGCTGACTGGTCAATTTTTTTTTATTATATTAATCATTTGTTTTGAATCAAATATTCAGTGAAGACATCAACACCAGTCTCATACAAACGCTTTGAGAAAATAGAGGAAGTGTTCAGTTCCTTATGTGAGGCCAGCTTAACCTAAGACAAAAACCTGACAAAAGCATTACAAAAAGAAAATTCCAGGCCGGGCACGGTGGCTCACGCCTGTAATTCCAGCACTTTGGGAGGCTGAGGTAGGTGGATTACGAGGTCAGGAGTTCAAGATCAAGCTGGCCAAGACAGTGAAACACTGTCTCTACTAAAAATACAAAAAAAAAAAAAAATAGCCAGGCATGGTGGCGGGCGCCTGTAATCTCAGCTACTCAGGAGGCTGAGGCAGAGATTTGCTTGAACCCGCGAGGCAGAGTTTGCAGTGAGCCGAGATCTCGCCACTGCACTCCAGACTGGGCGACAGAGCGAAACTCCGTCTCAAAAACAAAAAACAAAAATTTTTTAAAGATAAAAATAATTAACCAGGTGTGGTGGTGCGTGTCTGTAGTCCCAGCTACAGTCTCCAGCTGAGCCAGTAGAATTGCTTGAGCCTAGGAGTTTGAATTGCAGTGAGCTATGATCGTGCTACTGCACTCAGCCTGGGCAACAGAATGAGACCCCATCCTTAAAATAAAATTTAAAAAAAAGGATATGAATTGGATTGTGTCACTTGAGGCTTCAGTGTTTGCTCTCCAAGTAGAATCGGCTCCCTCCCTGTCCAGCTTGGGGGCTGCCGCTCCAGGCCCTTGGCCTCTTAGCCTCAAAGCCTGCTTCCCTCTGCCTGACCAGGCCACGCATCACTTTCTCAGCAACTCTCCCCAACTCCCAAATAGCTCCCAATTAGGGGCTCTCATTATAGTGCATAGCACTTGCTGAAACTTGTAGCTGTGGACTGGATTGTAAAGTTACTCATTTTTCTTCATCTCCCTGCTAGATTCTAAGCTTCTCCAGGAAAGGGATCTTTTCTCCTCCGGTCATCCTAGGGCAAGGCAAATGGAATGTACTTGAACATTCACTGACTGGATGGACAAATGCATGAAATGAAGACACAAATGCAGAGCTAGTAAGCAATGGGCCAAGCATCCTTCCAAATGGAGAATGAAATTATGAAGACTTGGGCCAGGCGTGGTGGCTCACACCTGTAATCCCAGCACTTTGGGAGGCCAAGGTGGGCAGATCACGAGGTCAGGAGTTCGAAACCAGCCTGGCCAACATGGTGGAACCCTGTCTCTACTAAAAATACAAAAATTAGCCGGGCGTGGTGGGGCAGTAATCCCAGTTACTCGGGAAGCTGAGGTGGGAGAATCACTTGAACCTGAGAGGCGGAGGCTGCAGTGAGCCAAGATGGCGCCACTGCACTCCAACCTGGGTGACACAGCAAGACTCTGTCTCAAAAAAAAAAAAAAAAAAGGCCTGGTGCGGTGGCTCATGCCTGTAACCAGGCCGAGGCAGGGAGATCACCTGAGGTCAGGAGTTGGAGACCAGCCTGACTAACATGGAGAAACCTTGTCTCTACTGAAAAATACAAAATTAACAGGGCGTGGTGGCAGCGCCTGCTCATAATCCTTGGCATGCTGAGGCAGGAGAATCGCGTGAACCAAAGAGGTGGAGGTTCCGGTGAGCCAAGATCACGCCATTGCACTCCAGCCTGGGCAACAAGAGGAAAACTCCATCAAAAAAAAAAAAAGAAAGAAAGAAAGGAAGGAAGATTGATTATGAAGGCTCAAAAATGTAAGGAGCGGCCGGGCATGGTGGCTCACGCCTGTGTTCCCAGCACTCTGGGAGGCCGAGGTGGATGGATCATGAGGTCAGGAGATCAAGACCATCCTGGCTAACCCGGTGAAACCCCGTCTCTACTAAAAATTCAAAAAAAAATTTAGCCAGGCGTGGTGGCGGGCGCCTATAGTCCCAGCTACTCGAGAGGCTGAATTGGGAGAATGGCGTCAACCCGGGAGGCAGAGGTTGCAGTGAGCAGAGCTCCTGCCACTGTATTCCAGCCTGTGTGACAGAGTGAGACTCTGTCTCAAAAAAAAAAAAAAAAAAAAAAAAATGTAAGGAGCAACCCACAGCATGAGGGAAAATATTTGCCAACAACAAATCAAACAACTCAATTCAAAAATGCATGAAGGGGACTGGTGCAGTGACGCATGCCTGTAATCCCAGCACTTTGGGAGTCTGAGGTGGGTGGATCACGAGGTCAGGAGTTTGAGACCAGCCTAGGCAGTGGTGGCCAGCACCTATAATCCCAGTTACCCGGGAACCTGAGGCAGGAGAATCGCTTGAACCTGGGAGGTGGAGGTTGCAGTGAGCCAACATCGCGCCACTGTACTCCAGCTTGGGCAATAAAGTGAGACTCTGTCTCAAACAAACAAACAAAAAGGCCGAGCGGGGTGGCTCACACCTGTAATCCCAGCACTTTGGGAGGCTGAGGCGGGCGGATCACGAGGTCAAGAGATGGAGACCATCCTGGTCAACATGGTGAAACCTTGTCTCTACTAAAAATACAAAAATTAGCCAGGCGTGGTGGCGGGCGCCTGTAGTCCCAGCTGCTCAGGAGGCTGAGGCAGGAGAATGGCTTGAATCCAGGAGGTGGAGATTGCAGTGAGTTGCGATCTCGCCACTGCACTCCAGTTTGGGTAACAGAGCAAGACTCCGTCTCAAAAAAATAAAACAAAACAAAACAAAACTGAGTAGTTCAACAGCTTAAGCCATGTTGGCTGAACATTAAGACTTTGTCAAATCCTAAGGAACAAAATAATATTAAAATTAGGAAGAATTATTTTGCCATAGGATAAAATAGAAATACTGCCATACATTTGACTTACTTGTTTAAAAACCAGACCTCACAAACCTGACCCAAGTTATGTGCAAAATAATGTGCCAGTTGCACAGCCCCTGGAGGCCAGTGTGAGCCCACATGCCTCTGCTGGTTTATTTCTAGAATCCACTCGCTGTGGGTCTTGATCGTGTTTCCAAAACAAGGAAGTCACCCATCTCTAGTTCAGGCCTTGTTACCAATGAAATTTTAAAATATGACATTGATACCATTTGACTGGACAATAACTAAAATTGGACAAAGAAGATATTTTCCTCTCATTGGAGGTTGCAGCATTTTATTCAGGTTTACAATTTATGATTCATCCAGCCGTGGTGGCTCAAGCCTATAATCCCAGCACTTTGAGAGGCTGAGGTGGGCAGATATCTCAAGGTCAGGAGTTCAAGACAAGCCTGGCTAACATGGTGACACCTTCTCTCGACTAAAATTACAAAAATTAGCTGGGTGCGGTGGCACAAGCCTGTAATCCCAGTTACTCGGGAGGCTGAGGCAGGAGAATGGCTTGAATCCGGGAGGCGGAGGTTGTGGTGAGCCAAGATGGTGCCACTGCACTCCAGCCTGAGCAACAGAGTGAGACTCCATCTAAAAAAAAAAAAAAAAAATTGTGATTGTGTAAACTGTGACTCAGGGAACTGCAGAGAACAGAAGTTTGCAGGTCTACACGTGGAATCTGCAGTTCTGTTAGGAGAGACTGGCATTGCAAAAGAGCAGCAATTCCTGAGCATCTTCCCCAGCAGAGAGCCCATTCTGGGGGCAATGTTGACAATGACCCAGAGTCTCTGGGTTCTCCAGTGGGGTGCACAGCTGATGTTATCCCTCCTGTGCTGGCAGTTTTCTAAGTGAGTTCAGATCCTCTAGGAAGGAAGATCTGTGTGTGCAGCGCTCTGGAAGAGGTCTCTGTGGGCGCCAAGCCTCCCAAGGAGATTTACGGGCTCCAGGGACTGGAGGTTTGGACCCCATCTCCGTCTCTCCCAATCCATTAGAACATGCATTTCCAGCATCTGTGGGGTGCCCAGATGAGGGGACGCACCTCCAAGTTGTCCTCAGGAGATTCCCAATTGTTCGTGGATGTCGGATATTCGGTGTCCATGGGAGTGTCTGGGATTTTGGTGTCTTATGCGTCCAGCAGCGTTGGCACATCCAGGCTGAGGAAAGCGGGACCCCTGCCTCCACCTGCCTGCATGTGGGGTCTCCCTAGAAGGAAGCCTTTGGTAGGTGGGTGGGAAGATTAGGGTGCTTGAATGGGAACTGTGAGGAGGTGCAGTGGCACCAGGCTCTAGCAGCCTCCTGCCTCCAGGAGAGGCCCAGGTTGGGATCACTGCAGCGACCAACGCCTCGGATCACTCGAGGGCTAGAAGGCACCCACCAGGTGTGTGGACAGGAGCGCTCAGGGGCCTTGCACATTGGGCATATTATGGTGTCAGTTTCGGAATCAGCCTGCATGGAGTCGGACCAGGACACCCAGCCAGGATTCCGTCGTCGGGGAAGGGAACGCCCACGTGGCTTGTGTGAAGGGTGCTTCAGGGGACGCAAAGGCTCTGGTGGCTGGGAGGAGCTCAGGGATGACAGATACCCCAAGGATTCTGTGGAGCTGGTCGGGTTTGGTGATAGGGTGCTCGCAGGTGGCTGGTGTGAAGGGTGCTTCAGGGGACACAGAGGCTCTCGTGGCTTGGAGGAGCTCAGGGATGATGGAGACCCCAAGGACTCTACGGAGGTCTTCGGGACTGATGACGGCATGGAGGCCAGAGGAGCCAGGGGAGCCCGTGGGGACACATGGAAGCTGGTGGGAGAAGCTTTCCCACGCCCCCCACGTGGCCGGTGGTTCCTAGCAGGTGCTGGTTTGTACACTGGCCCTGGGCGGACTTGGCGTGGAAGGTGATGGGAGCTGCCCTCCCTAGAGAGCTTCTTCAGGCACCTGCAGGAGACAGGAGGCACAGGCTGCAGCCGGGAGCACTGGGCACCTGTGGACCTCCAGGGCCCCCCTGCTGACTTCACAAAGCTCTGCCTACCCCTGCCCAGGGCTTTAGTGACATCATGGCTGTGATCTCCCCTCCCAGATCAGCCCCAGGCCCTGGGGTGGCATCCTAGGCCCTGGTAGGAAGAAGGACATGGGAGGGAAGGGGAAGAGCCTCACTTTTTCGACAGGAAAGTGTAGATCTCAAGGTTCTCCAGTTCTTTCAAGAGAATTCTGTAATCTGGAAAGCAGGAGATGGGTTATGGTGGCGAGGGAGGGAACTGGGACTTACAGGAGGCCGATTGCGTGTGCCCTTAGGGGAGACCCCGGGATTGGGGATTAGACCCTGGAGCCCCAGCATCCCTGTCCAAGGCCACAGGGCCCCAGGAGTGATAGCCAGGTGCCCGGTGGGCAGCACTTTGTCGTCTCCAAAGTGCTTCCCGACACGCTCCATCATGGGGGTCACGACAACCTCCTGGGGAGAGAGGACAGAGGCAGTCTCAAAGAGGACTCAGCCATGTTAAACAGCTGCCCACATGGACCTGCATCCCCTCCTGCACGTCCAGGTGGTCACTGGTCCCCTCCTGGGCAACACCCGCTCCCTGGACCCCATGGCTTCAACTCAGCAGGGAATCGGAGATGGATCCCGGGTTCCAATTGCCCTACCAGGAGCTTCCCCATCAGGCCTCTGCAGATGACTTCCTAGGAGACTTGGTGCTTGTTCCTAGGGACAGGTGAAGCTGTCATCTCTGGGGCTTCTGGGACCCTCAGAGCCTTACCTTTCAAAGTGATATATTTATTTCCGATCCTGAGCCATTCCCCCACTTCAGCTTGATCCTGAGAGACAAGAAAGAGGGTGCAGGCCGGGTCTCAGTCTCCTGTCCCCACAGCTGCAGACCCAGTGCTCGTGAATGACACACTTTCTCCGCCCAGCTCATGGAGCCTGTGTGCTTCTCTTTCACTGGTTTCTAAAGTGCGTAATAACCTTTTTCTGGTTTCCTTCTCTGGAAAGCATGGAGGGGTTTTCTATGTGAGGCCTGCCCTGGGCATCCTCAGTCCCTGTTCCGCTGCTTGGGAAACACACACTCTTGGGTCTGCAGGTGCCTCTGAGCTGGCAGGGAGGATTCTGCTTCCGAGGAGGCCAGGGGCGACTCCAGTCTCAGGTGGGAGGCTCTCAGGGGCTCAGCACAGCCCCCAGAGCACCTCACACAGAGGCTGGGCCCCGAGGCACCTGCCCGGGAAGGCGGCTGATGAGCCCGGGCTCAGGGCCTGTCCTTCCACAGAGACCTCACCCCTCTCATGACCGGGTCCTCGCCGCTGAGTCCTGGGGTTTGGTTTTGCTCTGACGCCTCCCGTGCACCTCCACAGATGGTCTGGGAGCTTGGGTTGGAAATCCTATGCCCACTCCAACCCCTGCCTGCCCTGCTGTCCCTAGAGGGATGATGAGAGTTCCCATCACAGGAGCGCCTCTGGTTGATGTGGAAAAGTGGAAAAGAGAGCAGGAAAAATAGAAGCATTCTCTGCTGGGTGTGGGCTGAGGGCTCCTTACATTCTCGCTGTCCTCCTCTCTGGGAGGCACTGAGGATGGCTCCCTGGGAATGTAGAGGCGTAAGATAATCAGGATCACCAGGCTGAACACAACAAAGAGGACGAAATGGATGATCTGGGGAATGGGGCTGGGGCACAGCTCTGTACCGATAACACTGTCCAGAGGAAAGAGAATATCCATGTCAACTGCACTGCTGTCCTCAGGCAACTGAGCCCTGGGCATCCCCTCTGGGACAAGTTATTGGGGCCCAGGTCCACATCACAGAGCTGGGGCCTCCCCCTCACAAAGGGCTCCTAAGGGTGGGGTGGGCAGTGGGAGGAGGAGGCTAAAGCCCAGCCCCGCCCACCACCACCCACCCCTGCAGTTCCCTCCACCCTCCTGGCCTTCCGGATCCCTCCTTCCCACTCCACCTGCTCAACCTGTCAGAAACAGACCTGGTCCGTTTTCCGTCCTCTTGCCCTGGCACACAGATGGTACCTGGTTCATTGGAGATCTCTGCTCAGACTCCCTCAGTTTCACAGTTTTTGAGGATCTGGATTTGTCCCTGAAATTCCTGTTATTTCCAGGGATTATTGCTCCAGGGTCTCCTCTGCCTGCTCACTGCAACCTCCGCCTCTCGGGTTCAAGCAATTCTTTGCCTCAGCCTCCTGAGTAGCTGGGATTACAGGTGCCTGCCACGACGCCTGGCTTATTTTTTTAATTTTTAGTAGAGACAGGGTTTCACTATCTTGGCCAGGCTGATCTCAAACTCCTGACCTCGTGATCGGTCCGTCTCGGCCTCCCAAAGTGCTGGGATTACAGGCGTGAACCACCGCACACAGCCTCAAAAAAGTTTTTTTAGGGCTTTGGCTAAGTACATGAAGATAAGTGATGCCCAATTCAGGTTTTGCCAAATAACACAACTCTTTTCAGAAACTACAAATTCCACTGGCTCTGGCAGAATGAATATCAACCTAGGTCAATTCTCCATAACAAGAACCCATAAATTTGCCGGCCGGGCGCGGTGGCTCACGAGGTCAGGAGATCAAGACCATCCTAGCTAACACGGTGAAACCCCCTCTCTACTAAAAATACAAAAAATTAGCGTGGTGGCGGGTGCCTGAAGTCGGAGCTACTCGGGAGGCTGAGGCAGGAGAATGGCATGAACCCGGGAGGCAGAGGTTGCAGTGAGCTGAGATCACGCCACCGCACTCCAGCCTGGGCGACAGAGTGAGACTCCATCTTGAAAAAAAAAACAGAACCCACAAATTTGCCAGCCCACTTCACGTCTCGACTATTAGATAACAGCAGGCAAGATGCATGTTCCTGATGGGCACCAGTTGCTTACATGGTGATTCTTGCAAGATGCATGTTCCTGATGGGCACCAGTTGCTTACATGGGGATTCTTGCAAGATGCATGTTCCTGATGGGCACCAGTTGCTTACATGGGGATTCTTGCAAGATGCATGTTCCTGATGGGCACCAGTTGCTTACATGGTGATTCTTGCAAGATGCATGTTCCTGATGGGCACCAGTTGCTTACATGGTGATTCTTGCAAGATGCATGTTCCTGATGGGCACCAGTTGCTTACATGGTGATTCTTGCAAGATGCATGTTCCTGATGGGCACCAGTTGCTTACATGGTGATTCTTGCAAGATGCATGTTCCTGATGGGCACCAGTTGCTTACATGGTGATTCTTGCAAGATGCATGTTCCTGATGGGCACCAGTTGCTTACATGGTGATTCTTGCAAGATGCATGTTCCTGATGGGCACCAGTTGCTTACATGGTGATTCTTGCAAGATGCATGTTCCTGATGGGCACCAGTTGCTTACATGGTGATTCTTGCAAGATGCATGTTCCTGATGGGCACCAGTTGCTTACATGGTGATTCTTGCAAGATGCATGTTCCTGATGGGCACCAGTTGCTTACATGGTGATTCTTGCAAGATGCATGTTCCTGATGGGCACCAGTTGCTTACATGGTGATTCTTCTTTGAGTTATTGGTGTTTTCTCCCTTTCTTCCCTCCCTCCCTCCGTCTCTTTCCTCCTCTCCCCTCCACCTAATAGAGGGTCCACGTCTCCACAGGGTCACCTCTGTCTCCAGCATTAGAAAAGGAAGTCAGAGCTGGTCACGGTGACTCACACCTGTAATCCCAGCACTTCGGGAGGCTAAGGTGGGAGGATCACGAGGTCAGGAGATTGAGACCATCCTGGCTAACACAGTGAAACCCCGTCTCTACTAAAAATACAAAAAATTAGCCGGGTGTGGTGGCGGGCGCCTGTAGTCCCAGCTACTCGGGAGGCTGAGGTGGGAGAATGGGGTGAATCCGGGAGGCGGAGCTTACAGTGAGCCGAGATCACACCACTGCACTCCAGCCTGGGCGACAGAGCAAGACTCCGTCTCAAAATAAATAAATAAATAAATAAAAAATAAAAGGAAGTCAGAAAGCTAAGCAAGGCCTGGATCAGGAGACCTATTTATTCTAATGATGAGAAAGCACCGCAGGGCTCTGGGAAGGGAAGTGGCATGGTCTGATTTACCTATTTTAAAAAATCCATGTAAAGATTATGTGGGGGAGTGGGGGCAAGAGTAGAAGCAGAGATGCCCTGTAGGAAGCAGGTACAAGAATCCAGACAGGAAGGTTGCGGGTTGCTTGGACTAGGGTGGAAATACTGCAGACAGGTTCGGGGTCTATTTTGAAGATAAAGCCAGCTGGTCTTGCTCATGTGGGCACTGAGAGAACCTGGGGCCAGGGAACTAGGTAAATTGCGGGGTGGGTGGGGAAGGGAGGGAAGGATGCTACTTTGACTGAGATGGAAAACACTGGGGGAGCAGTTGGGTTTGAGTTGTGTGGGGGCTTCAGAAATCTTTTGACCTTAAACGTAAGATGGTGTCAGACATACCAGTGGCACTAGAAGCTGTGGAAGCACAGGAACAATCTAGAAATTGGCCGAGAGCTTTGGCTGGATATTTTAAATGTGGGAATCATCAGTTTATAGGTGTCACTGGTGTAAAACCATGGACCAAGGGCCGGGCGTGGTGGCTCAGGCCTGTAATCCCAGCACTTTGGGAGGCTAAGGCGGGCAGATCACTTGAAGTCAGGAGTTTGAGACCAGCCTGGCCAACGTGGTGAAACCCCGTCTCTTCTAAAAATGCAAAAGTTAGCCGAGTGTGGTGGCACACATCTATAGTCCCAGCTACTCAGGAGGCTGAGGCAGGAGAATCACTTGAACCCGGGAGGCGGAGGTTGCAGGGCACCGAGATCATACCCTACATGATCCCAGCACTTTGGGAGGCCGAGGCGGCTGGATCACGAGGTCAGGAGATCGAGACCATCCTGGCTAACACGGTGAAACCCCATCTCTACTAAAAATACAAAAAATTAGCCGGGCATGGTGGCGGGTGCCTGTAGTCCCAGCGCCTGGGCAACAGAGACTCCATCTCAAAAAAAAAAAAAGTGACTAGAAACTCAAAAAGTGTGGAGAGCGGGAGCAGGGGAAGGGCTGAAAAACTGCCTGTTGGGCACTGTCTTCACTATCTGAGTGACAGGTTCACTAGAAGCCCAAACCTCAGCACCACACGGTTTATCCATGTAACAAACCTGCGCATGCACCCACTGAATCTCAAATGTTTTAAAAAGCGATAAGCCATGTTAATAGCAGGTACCCTTGGTGTGATGTGATGTGATGAGAATGACATTTCCCCCACGGGCTTCCTCCCCATGACACAGGGGCCACCCCAGCCATGTTTACAGCCCTGGCCCCAGACAGTATTGAGCCCCTGAGCCCCCACCACTTGTGTGTACAGCTCCGGTTCCCCTGCCCCACCTCATCCAGCCGGCTCTACCTTATTTTGACGTCATAGCTGAGCACGTGCTGGGAGATGGCCGTGGTACAGCCTGTAAGTAGGGCTGTAAATAGTCACAATGGGCCTGTAAATAGTCCAGCCCCATTACCACGTTCTGGTCCAGACAGCGGGCTGCAGGTGAGTTGTTTCTAGAACCAGAGCTTATATGAAGAGAAAAATAGAAGGGACAGAACAGTGTGTTCCCAGATCACACCTGCAGCTCCTACAGGCTGGGGTGGGGGTCTGGGGCCCGGCTCTGCTGGCTCAGTCACTTTGCTTCTCAAGTTCCCTCTGTGGAACTGGGCGCCGTTTCCACCAAACCGTCTGCTCTCCAGTCCCACAGGGGCTGCTGTCAGTCACCCTACGGCCTCTCTGCCTAGGCTTTGAAACTGATTCATTGTTCTTTTGCTGTATTTTTCTTTGTAGGTTTCAGAATTCTCTGTTTATTTATGATAATTTGGGAAGGATCCTGGGAGAGTGAAAATAAATGAAGTGCGCAATCTGCCAAGTTTCACTGGAGGCTCCACTGATCCTTCCACCATGCTCAAATGCCTGCAGGAAATCTGGGGAATCATCTTTCCTACCCTAAGACCCTGGGACTGAGCACTGGCCCTGAGGCCCCTGACAGGCATAAACTAATCAGCAAATGTGCAGGAAAAATGCGGAGCTGCAAGACCAAAGTCAGATTCCCACTCTCCCTAAAGGCCTGGATTCCCCTGGAAACCCACATCCCCACTTCCTGGAAGGAGCTATGAGGACCCAGGGGAGTGGCTCTGGGCATCAACTGGTCCAGGCAGGAGGTGGTTCCCCATGTCCCATCTTTCCAGCGCCCAAGGGAGCCTCTCAGGGGAGTCTCATCACCCCCCGCCCCACCATCACAGAGCAGCCTGCTCCTGGCCTGTATCCAAACACCCCTGGGGGCGGCTGCCCTGGGCGTGCTCCCCTTTCCCTGATGGCCGCTAGAACTCCGTGAGGAGAGGCTCGCCAGGGTCACCCAGACAGTCCCTGATCCCACATTGTCCCGACACATGAGGCTTCACCCCGGAGGAAATAGGAAAAGGGAGTGAATCCTGTGGGCTCCCCTCACAAAAGGAAAGCTACGTGCTGTCACTTGGGCGCAAGGCGGGCTATGAGGCTGGAGAAAAGCTCCCAGGGACGACGCCTCCGGGAGCTTTTTTCTTTTTCTTTTTTTTTTTTTAATTGATCATTCTTGGGTGTTTCTGGCAGAGGGGGATTTGGCAGGGTCATAGGACAATAGTGGAGGGAAGGTCAGCAGATAAACATGTGAACAAGCGTCTCTGGTTTTCCTAGGCAGAGGACCCTGCGGCCTTCCGCAGTGTTTGTGTCCCTGGGTACTTGAGATTAGGGAGTGGTGATGACTCTTAAGGAGCATGCTGCCTTCAAGCATCTGTTTAACAAAGCACATCTTGCACCGCCCTTAATCCATTTAACCCTGAGTGGACACAGCACATGTTTCAGAGAGCACAGGGTTGGGGGTAAGGTCATAGATCAACAGGATCCCAAGGCAGAAGAATTTTTCTTAGTACAGAACAAAATGAAGTCTCCCATGTCTACTTCTTTCCACACAGACACAGCAACAATCCGATCGCTCTATCTTTTCCCCACCTTTCCCCCCTTTCTATTCCACAAAACCGCCATCGTCATCATGGCCCGTTCTCAATGAGCTGTTGGGTACACCTCCCAGATGGGGTGGTGGCCGGGCAGAGGGGCTCCTCACCTCCCAGACGGGGCTGCCGGGCAGAGGCGCCCCCCACCTCCCTCCTGGACGGGGCGGCTGCCGGGCGGAGGCTGACCCCCCACCTCCCTCCCGGACGGGGTGGCTGCCGGCCGGAGGGGCTCCTCACTTCCCAGACGATAGGCGGCCAGGCAGAGACGCTCCTCACTTCCCAGACGGGGTGGCGGCCGGGCAGAGGCTGCAATCTCGGCACTTTGGGAGGCCAAGGCAGGCGGCTGGGAGGTGGAGGTTGTAGCTAGCCGAGATCACGCCACTGCACTCCAGCCTGGGCAAGATTGAGCACTGAGTGAGCGAGACTCCGTCTGCAATCCCGGCACCTCGGGAGGCCCTCTTTTTTTTTTTTGAGATGGAGTCGCTCTGTTGCCCAGGCTGGAGTGCAGTGGCGCAATCTCAGCTCACTGCAACCTCCACCTCCCGGGTTCAAGCAATTCTCCTGCATCAGCCTCTGGAGTAGCTGGGAATATAAGTGCCCGCCACCACGCCCGGCTAATTTTTTGTATTTTTAGTAGAGATGGGGTTTCACAATGTTGGCCAGGCTGCCTTTAAATTCCTGACCTCAGATGATCCGCCTGCCCTGGCCTCCCAAAGTGCTGGAATTACAGGCATAAGCCACCACATCTGGCCGCCTCCTGAAGTCTTTGCTGCACAGGGCTCCATCCTTTTGTGGGGCCAGGAGGGTGGGATTCTGCCCTCATCTGCTGGCCAGTGCTCCCACCTCATTTTACCAGGGGACAGCCCGGCCAGGAGAGGTTGGCGTGGGATGCACCCACCACTCGGGGGCCTGTGGGAGGTAGTCACCCCCTCCTGGCCAGACTGAGCGTCTTTGCTTTGCAGTCCACTTATTCAAGTGTTAATCCCTCCCTCACCACCATAACCCATCTCCTGCTTTCCAGCTTGCAGAAGTCTCTTGAAAGAACTAGAGAACACTAAGGACCACACTCTCCTGCTGGAAAAGTGAGGCTCTTTCCTCTTCCCTCCCGTGTCCTCCTTCTTACCAGGACCTAGGATGCCACCCCAGGGCCTAGGGCTGATCTGGGAGGGGAGATCACAGCCGTGATGTCACTAAAGCCCTGGGCAGGGGTAGGCAGAGCTTTGTGAAGTCAGCAGGGGGGCCCTGGAGGTCCACAGGTGCCCAGTGCTCCCGGCTGCAGCCTGTGCCTCCTGTCTCCTGCAGGCGCCTGAAGAAGCTCTCTAGGGAGGGCAGCTCCCATCACCTTCCACGCCAAGTCCGCCCAGGGCCAGTGTACAAACCAGCACCTGCTAGGAACCACCGGCCACGTGGGGGGCGTGGGAAAGCTTCTCCCACCAGCTTCCATGTGTCCCCACGGGCTCCCCTGGCTCCTCTGGCCTCCATGCCGTCATCAGTCCCGAAGACCTCCATAGAGTCCCTTGGGTCTCCATCATCCCTGAGCTCCTCCCAGGCATCAGAGCCTCTGTGTCCCCTGAAGCACCCTTCACACCGGCCACCTGCGAGCACCCTATCACCAAACCTGACCAGCTCCACAGAATCCTTGGGGTATCTGTCATCCCTCAGCTCCTCCCAGCCACCAGAGCCTTTGCGTCCCCTGGAATGTCCTTCACACAAGCCATGTGGGCGTTCCCTTCCCCGACGACGGAATCCTGGCTGGGTGTCCTGGTCCGACTCCATGCAGGCTGATTCCGAAACTGACGCCATAATATGCCCAATGTGCAAGGCCCCTGAGCGCTCCTGTCCACACACCTGGTGGGTGCCTTCTAGCCCTCGAGTGATCCGAGGCGTTGGTCGCTGCAGTGATCCCAACCTGGGCCTCTCCTGGAGGCAGGAGGCTGCTAGAGCCTGGTGCCACTGCACCTCCTCACAGTACCCATTCAAGCACCCTAATCTTCCCACCCACCTACCAAAGGCTTCTTTCTAGGGAGACCCCACATGCAGGCAGGCGGAGGCAGGGGTCCCGCTTTCCTCAGCCTGGATGTGCCAACGCTGCTGGACGCACAAGACACCAAAATCCCAGACACTCCCATGGACACCGAATATCCGACATCCACGAACAATTGGGAATCTCCTGAGGACAACTTGGAGGCGCGTCCCCTCATCTGGGCACCCCACAGATGCTGGAAATGCGTGTTCTAATGGATTGGGAGAGAAGGAGATGGGGTCCAAACCTCCAGTCCCTGGAGCCCGTAAATCTCCTTGGGAGGCTTGGCGCCCACAGAGACCTCTTCCACAGCGCTGCACACACAGATCTTCCTTCCTAGAGGATCTGAACTCACTTAGAAAACTGCCAGCACAGGAGGGATAACATCAGCTGTGCACCCCACTGGAGAACCCAGAGACTCTGGGTCATTGTCAACATTGCCCCCAGAATGGGCTCTCTGCTGGGGAAGATGCTCAGGAATTGCTGCTCTTTTGCAATGCCAGTCTCTCCTAACAGAACTGCAGATTCCACGTGTAGACCTGCAAACTTCTGTTCTCTGCAGTTCCCTGAGTCACAGTTTACACAATCACAATTTTTTTTTTTTTTTTTAGATGGAGTCTCACTCTGTTGCTCAGGCTGGAGTGCAGTGGCACCATCTTGGCTCACCACAACCTCCGCCTCCCGGATTCAAGCCATTCTCCTGCCTCAGCCTCCCGAGTAACTGGGATTACAGGCTTGTGCCACCGCACCCAGCTAATTTTTGTAATTTTAGTCGAGAGAAGGTGTCACCATGTTGGCCAGGCTTGTCTTGAACTCCTGACCTTGAGATATCTGCCCACCTCAGCCTCTCAAAGTGCTGGGATTATAGGCTTGAGCCACCACGGCTGGATGAATCATAAATTGTAAACCTGAATAAAATGCTGCAACCTCCAATGAGAGGAAAATATCTTCTTTGTTCAATTTTAGTTATTGTCTAGTCAAATGGTATCAATGTCATAGTTTAAAATTTCATTGGCAACAAGGCCTGAAATAGAGATGGGTGACTTCCCTATTTTGGAAACATGATCAAGACCCACAGCGAGTGGACTCTAGAAATAAACCAGCAGAGGCATGTGGGCTCACACTGGCCTCCAGGGGCTGTGCAACTGGCACATTATTTTGCACATAACTTGGGTCAGGTTTGTGAGGTCTGGTTTTTAAATGAAGCAACAACCATATAAAGATTTTCAAACAAATGAGTCAAATGTATGGCAGTATTTCTATTTTATCCTATGGCAAAATAATTCTTCCTAATTTTAATATTATTTTGTTCCTTAGGATTTGACAGTCTTAATGTTCAGCCAACATGGCTTAAGCTGATAAACTACTTAGAAGGATTCTTTTTTTTTGAGATGGGCTCTTGCTCTGTCACCCAAACTGGAGTGCAGTGGCGCGATCTCGACTCACTGCAACCTCCGCCTCCCGGGTTCAAGTGATTCTTCTGCCTCAGTCTCCCAAGTAACTGGGACTACAGGTGTGTGCCACCACGCCCGACTAATTTTTGTATTTTTAGTAGAGACAAGGTTTCACCATGTTGACCAGGATAGTCTCAATCTCTTGACCTCGTGATCTGCCTGCATCCGCCTCCCAAAGTGCTGGGTTTACAGGTGTGAGCCACCACACCTGGTGTTTTTGTTTTTTTTTTTTTGTTTTTTTTGAGACGGCGGAGTCTCACTCTGTTGCCCAGGCTGGAGTGCAGTGGTGTGATCTCGGCTCACTGCAAGCTCCGCCTCCTGGGTTCACGCCATTCTCCTGCCTCAGCCTCCAGAGTAGCTGGGACTATAGGCGCCCGCCACCACGTCCTGCTAATTTTTTTTTTTTTTTTAGTAGTGATGGGGTTTCATCATGTTAGCCAGGATGGTCTCGATCTCCTGACCTCGTGATCCGCCCGCCTCGGCCTCTCAAAGTGTTGGGATAACAGGCGTTGAGCCACCCCGCCCAGCCTTTTCATTTGTTTGTTTGTTTGTCTGAGACAGAGTCTCACTTTATTGCCCAAGCTAGAGTGCGGTGGTGCGATCTTGGCTCACTGCAACCTCCACCTCCCAGGTTCAAGTGATTCTCCTGCCTCAGGTTCCCGGGTAACTGGGATTACAGGCGCTCGCCACCACTGCCTAGGCTGGTCCCGAACTCCTGGCCTCAAGTGATCTGCTGGCCTTGGCCTCCCAAAGTGCTGGGATTACAGGCATGAACCACCAGCTATTTTTTTTTTTTTTTTTTTTTTTTTTTTTGCCTCTCAGGCTCAAGCAGTCCTTCTGCCTCAACCTCCCCAGTAGCTGGGACCACAGACACACACCACCATGCCTGACGAATTTTTGTATTTTCTGTAGAGATGGGGTTTGCTGTGTTGCCCAGGCTGGTCTTGAACTATTGGCCTCAAGTGATCCACCTGTCTCAGCCACCGGGTCCGGCCCCTTCATGCTTTTTTGTTCGTTTATTTATTTATTCATTCATTTTAGACGGAGTCTCCCTCTGTCACGCAGGCTGCAGTGCAATGGCGCGATCTCGGCTCACTGCAACTTCTGCCTCCCGGGTTCAAGCGATTCTCCTGCCTCAGCCTCCTGAGTAGCTGGGATTACAGGCGCACTCCACCATGCCCAGCTAATTTCTGCATTTTTAGTAAAGACGGAGTTTCACAATGTTGGTCAGGCTAGTCCCAAACTCCTGACCTCGTGATCCACCCACCTCAGACTCCCAAAGTGCTGGGATTACAGGCATGCGTCACTGCACCAGGCCCCCTTCATGCATTTTTGAATTGAGTTGTTCCATTAGTTGTTGGCAAATATTTTCCCTCATTCTGTGGGTGGCTCCTTACTTTTTTTTTTCTTTTTTCCTTTTTTTTTTTTTGTCTTTTGAGATGGAGTCTTGCTCCGTGTGTTCCCCAGGCTGGAGTGCAGTGGCAGGATCTGTGCTCACTGCAAGCTCCGCCTCCCGGGTTGACGCCATTCTCCCAACTCAGCCTCTCGAGTAGCTGGGACTACAGACGCCCGCCACCACGCCTGGCTAATTTTTTTTTGGATTTTTAGTAGAGACGGGGTTTCACCGTGTTAGCCAGGATGGTCTCGATCTCCTGAAGTCGTGATGCGCCTGCCTCGGCCTCCCAAAGTGCTGGGATTACAGGCGTGAGCCACTGCGCCCGGCCACTTGTGTTTCTTTTCAAGAATGGACCCCATGGCAGACATCCATGAGTTTTCATGGTCAGAAATTGGTCTCATGCACACCCCAGCCAACCGAGGTGAGAGAAATGGCATTACAGTGATTGGCTTAGACACGTCAGGATATGTCCCTGAACCAGGACAAGAGGCACCTTCTCCAAGGGTGGATCCCAAAGAAAGTCAGAGGTCTTGGCAAAGAATGGGGAAAAGGGATTATGTAGGCAACCCAGTGTCTGCTACAGAATGAGCAGCGGAGAAGAAAGCAACCTGAAAGGCTGAGTAATTACAAAAAAAGACTAAATTAAATCCATACAAGAGCAAGTTTGCTCTGTTTCCACCTTCACTAGGAATGAGGGCTCAGAGCAGGGCATGCTGGGAAGTAGAAAATAAAGTTACCATTTTTCTGTTTCAGCCATAGCGTGTACATATTACCCTACTCTAGCCCACCCCCTTCTCTCACACACAGTAGTTGTTAAAATAAAAACTTGGCCAGGCGGGATGGTTCACCCCTGTAATCCCAGCACTTTGGGAGGCCTAGGTGGGCGGATCACGAGGTCAAGAGTTTGAGACCAGCCTGACCAACATGGTGAAACCCCATCTCTATTAAAAATACAAAAATTAGCTGAGTATGGTGGCACGCGCCTGTAATCCCAGCTACTCAAGAGGCTGAGGCAGAAGAATAGCTTGAACGCGTGAGGTGGAGTTTACAGTAAGCTGAGACTGTGCCATTGTACTCCAGCCTGGGCGACAAAGCGAGACTCCGTCTCTAAAATAAAGTGAAATCAAATCAAATCTTGGGCTGGGAGGCCAAGATTATCTGTCCCGAAATTTGACAGATTATAATTATTTTTTAGAAGTGGAATCTTGCTGTGTCACGCAGGCTGGAGTCCAGTGGCACAATCACAGTTCACTGGAGCCTCCAACTCCTGGGCCCAAGCTATCCTCCCATCTCAACTTCCCAGCTGGCTGGGACCACAGGCAGGTGCCACCACACCCAAGTAATTATTTTTTAAGTATTTTTTAATTTTTTGTAGAGACGAAGACTCGTTTTGTTTTCTGGGTTTCTTTTTTTTTTCTTCTTCTTTTTTTGACAAGAGTTTCACTCTGTCGCCAGGCTGGAGTCAGTGGCACGATTTCGGCTCACTGCAACCTCCACCTCCCGGGTTCAGGCAATTCTCCTGCCTCAGCCTCCCAAGTAGCTGGGACTATAGGCGGGCGCCATCACACTAATTTTTGTATTTTTAGTAAAGACGGGGTTTCCCCATGTCGGCCAGGATGGTCTCGATCTCTTGACCACATGATCCACCCACCTGGGCCTCCCAGAGTGCTGGGATTACAGGCGTGAGCCACGGCGCCTGGCCCCCTGGGCTGGTCTTGAGGTCCTGGGCTCAAGTAAGCCTACCTCTGAGCCTTCCAAATTGTTGGGCTTATAGGCGTGAGCCACTGCACGGTCTCAAATAATTATTTTAGGGTTGAGTTTTTACTGAATCTGGTGAGTTTGACTAATGTAAGACTTCCCTTTGGCCCTGGGCAAGTATAAAAGATAAATTGAGGCCGGGCGCGGTGGCTCATGCCTGCAATCCCAGCAGTTTGGGAGGCTGAGGTGGGCGGTTCACCTGAGGTCAGGAGTTCGAGACCAGCCTGATCAACATGGAGAACCCCTGTCTCTACTAAAAATACAAAATTAGCCGGGCATGTGGTACATGCCTGTAATCCCAGCTACTCGGGAGGCTGAGGCAGGAGAATCGCTTGAACCCAGGAGGAAGAGGTTGCTGTGAGCCGAAAGTGCGCCATTGCACTCCAGCCTGGGCAACAAAAGAGAAACTCTGTCTCAAAAAAAAAAATTTTTTTTTTAATTAAAATTAAAAAAAAAAAAGAAAGATAAAGCGAAGTCCATGTGTCAGGAGCAAGCACAGGACAAAGTCACACAGAGCGGTGTGAGAGGGAGGCTGGGAGGGCAGCCACAGCTGTGCGGGGTGGTCTGGAGAGGACATGGGGCAGCCACAGCTGTGCGGGGTGGTCTGGAGAGGACATGGGGCAGCCACAGCTGGGAGCGGGGGCAGGGGCTGGGGAGGAGAGGAGGAATGTGCAAGCTCAGCTGTGCAAGCTGGGGTCAATGGCTACATCAGAACCAGACCCCATTGCTGGTAGCTTCACCGTCTCGCTCTCATGGGGCCTCCCAGCTATCCCAAATCTCCAAGAAACAGACTCAGAGACCTGCGGTCAGAGGTCCAGCGAGGGGGAGAGCGGAAGTGAGCTCCAGGCCACGTACAACGGCAGTCCCGGTTCCCCGCCATCAGCACGACCTGTGTGAGAGCACAGGGTATCTGGGCAGAAGGAAAACTAGGGGAGCCTCATCGCTGGAGATGGAGAAGCTTTGGGCTTCTCGACGGCGAGGCACCCGGGGAACGGGGAGTCACTTAGAACCTCAAAGTAGCCTCGGGCGAGAACAAGCGAAGCAATTCCAAGCTCTACCAGGTCACGGAGGGCGCGAAACCCGCCCCGCGCTCCGGCCGGCCGGCAGGGGGCGCGCGCTCCCCGAACTCCCGCGCACCGCGGAGGAGGCGGCCCTGGCGCGGGGAAGCAGTGGGAAAATCGCAAGGAAGCCGGGTAAGGACCTTTCATTTTCAGCCCTGCTCTTTAAATACTAGACATACCGTCTGGCGCATGTCGAGGCGTGTATTATTTTGATCCAGTGCGCGTGCCGTATGTGACTTGGCTTGGCTTCCCCTGAAAGCAGCGGCTGTGGGGAGTTGATTCGGAAGTGAAGGGCCCTGGGCGACCCGGCGAGTAGAGGCAACACCAACACTCCTCCTTAGCGAGGGGTCTCCCCGCCGCGGTGGCTGCCCGGCCCCAAGGACAGGAGGGATTTGTGCACTGACTCCTGACCCCGTCCTCCAGCGCTGCTCTGAAGGGAGAGTCTGTGCAGTGGCACCTGCGCGAAGCTGGCCAAAGCCTGCCCAGACGGCTCACCTGTGCGGGATGGAACAAAAGGTGAGCCCAGGGGGCCTGATAAAATGACCTCAGTAGCCGCCTGTGGGAGGGGACCCTGAGGAAAGCACCATAGTGACTACCAAGCCTGGATGGTTTTACTGCTTACTTTGTTATTTTATTTTATTTTATTTTATTTTATTTTATTTATTTTAGAGACGGAGTCTCGCTCTATCACCCAGGCTGGAGTGTGGAGTGCAGTGGCCCGAACTCGGCTCACTGCAACCTCTGCCTCCCCGGTTCAAACAATTCTGCCTCAGTCTCCCGAGTAGCTGGGAATACAGGTGCACTCTGCGACGCCTGGCTAATTTTTGTGTTTTAGTAGGGACAGGGTTTCACCGTGTTGCCCAGGCTGGTCTCAAACTACTGAGCTTAGGCAATCTGCCCACCTCGGCCTCCCAAAGTGCTAATATTGCAGGCATGAGCCACTGCGCCTGGCTTTTTATTTTATTTTTTGGACAGGCAGGGCACGGTGGCTCACGCCCGTAATCCCAGCACTTTGGGAGGCCAAGGCAGGTGGATCACGAGGTCAGGAGATGGATACCATCCCGGCTGACACGGTGAAACCCCGTCTCTACTAAAAATACAAAAAAAAAAAAAAAAAAAAAAATTAGCCGGGTGTGGGGCGGGTGCCTGTAGTCCCAGCTACTCGGGAGGCTGAGGCAGGAGAATGGCGTGAACCCGGGAGGCGGAGCTTGCAGTGAGCCGAGATTGTGCCACTGCACTCCAGCCTGGGCGATAAAGTGAGACTGTCTCAAACAAACAAACAAACAAACAAACAAACAGGCCGGGCGTGGTGGCTCACACCTGTAATCCCAACACTTCGGGAGGCTGAGGCGGCGGATTACCTGATCTCTGGAGTTCAACACCAGCATGACCAACATGGTGAAACCCCATCTCTACTGAAAATACAAAAATTAACTGGGCATGGTGGCTCACGCCTGTAATCCCAGCACTTTGGGAGGCTGAGGCAGGTGGATCACGAGGTCAAGAGATTGAGATCATCTTGATCAACATGGTGAAACCCCGTCTCTACTAAAAATACAAAAAATTAGCTGGGCGTGGTGGTGGGCGCCTGTATTCCCAGCTAGTGGGGAGAATGAGGCTGGAGAATCGCTTGAATACAGGAGCTGGATGTTGCAGTGAGCCGAGATCGCGCCACTGCACTCCAGCCTGGCGACAGAGCAGGACTCCGTCTCAAAAAAAAAAAAAAAAAAAAAAAATTCGCCGGGCTTGGTGGGGCTGTAATCCCACCTACTCGGGAAGCTGAGCCTGGGCAACAAGAGCGAGACTCCGTCTCAAAAAAAAAAAAAAAAAAAAAGATATTTGATTTGGCTTTAGACAGTGAGTGACCTGGCTGAAGCCTTGGGAGGTTCGCACCCGGAAAGTTCAAAACCGGCCGCCTGCGTTGTCCGCCTGGAGGAGGCGCGCAGCGTGAACCGGAGAGGGCGTGCTCGGTCCCTCCTCAGGTGGCCGTCGGGCAGACCCTTCTCCTCAGCGGACGGCTGGACACTGTGGGGACGCCTTTGTTTCCGCCGCTCATGGTGTCTGAATCCACAATTCGTTTACGTGGTTGTGGAGCCGGACTCGGCGTCGGAAGGACGGTCTCCTTCAACACAACAGTGGGGCTCCAGCGAAGGCGGAGAGACGCGGGGATCCCAGCCGCAAGGGCGGACCGTGCTGCCTGGCCGCGGCGGGGGAGGGGGTGCTACCCCATACCCGGGCTCTAACCGAGACGCCCTTTTCTTTTTTCTTTTTTTTTTTTTTGAGACGGAGTCTCGCTCTGTCACTCAGGCTGGAGTGCGGTGGCGGGATCTTGGCTCACTGCAAGCTCCGCCTCCCGGGTTCACGCCATTCTCCTGCCTCAGCCTCCCAAGTAGCTGGGACTACAGGCGCCTGCCACCACGCCCGGATAATTTTTTTTGTATTTTTAGTAGAGACGGGGTTTCACCGTGTTAGCCGGGATGGTCTCGATCTCCTGACCTCGTGATCCGGCCTCCCAAAGTGCTGGGATTACAGGCGTGAGCCGCCGCGCCCGGCCGAGACGCCCTTTTCTTAAGTCTCCGCAGCTTGCAGTGTACCACCCGAGCAGGTCCCGGAGGCGGCCGATGCTGTTTATCACTCAGAAATTTAAAGTTTGTTTGTTTTGAGAGAGGGTCTCCCCACTTTGCCTAGGTTGGAGTTAAGGGGCGCGATCTCAGCTCACTGCATCCTCCACCTCCTGGGCTCAAGCGATCCTCCCACCTCAACCTCCTGAGTAGCTGGAACTACAGGCATGTGCCACCAGGCCTGGCTAATATTTAAAAAAAAAATTTTTTTTTTTGAGGTCTTGCTCTTGTTGCCCAGGCTGGAGTACAGTGGCGCGATCTCAGCTCATCGCAACGTCCAATTCTTGGGTTCAAACAATTCTCCTGCCTCAGCCCCCTGAGTAGCTGGGATTACAGGCCTACGCCACTGCACCTGGCTAATTTTTTGTATTTTTAATAGAGGCGGGGTTTCACCATGTTGGCCAGGCTGGTCTTGAACTCCCGACCTCAGGTAATTTGCCTGCCTCGGCCTCCCAAAGTGCTAGGATTACAGGTGTGAGCCACCGCGCCCAGCATGTTTTTAACTTTTTGTAGAGATGGGGCCTCAATATGTTGCCCAGGCTGGTCTTGAACTCCTGACCTCAGGTGATGTGCCTGCCTTGGCCTCCCAAAGTACTGAGATTATAGGCATGAGCCACCACACGGAACCTAGATCATTTTTTCTCAACTTTTTTTTTCATGATCGCCATCTTAAAGATCCTTTCTAGATCTTTTTTCCTAGTTTCCCACCACATGATATTTTAATAACATAGATATACCGTAACGTATATCTTTTCATGTCCTGTGGCCCTTTGGAAGGCAACAAACCATTATGTTACCTAAGATTTATTTCCTTCCCCCTCACAGCCTCCCCATCCCACTACCCCCATGCATTCATACCAGAATTTATTCCATACTTCATTAGACATTAAATTGTTTTCTAAAGCTTCCCTATTTCATGCTGCCATGAACAATCTTGTAATTAAATCAGTGCAAAAGTAGGAATGGAATGTATGCTTTAATGAAATGTATGTTTTTTGATTTTTGTTTTTGTTTTTTTTTTGAGCTGTTTTTGTTTCTTTTTTGAGATTTTTTTTTTTTTGAGATGTCGCCCAGGCTGGAGTGCAGTGGCACGATCTCGGCTCACTGCAAGCTCTGCCTCCCGGGTTCACGCCATTCTCCTGCCTCAGCCTCCTGAGTAGCTGGGACTACAGGCGCCCGTCACCACACCCAGCTGATTTTTTGTACTTTTAGTAGAGACGGGGTTTCACCATGTTGACCAGGATGATCTCAATCTCTTGACCTTGTGATCCGCCCACCTCGGCCCTCCAAAGTGCTGGGATTACAGGCGTGAGCCCCCGCGTCAGGCCGAAATGTATGCATTTATAGTGCAAATAGCCCTGAGCGAGAGGGTGTACCAATTTACACTCCAAGCACAATGTACCTTGATGGCATCTCCCTGCATCCTTTCCAGCTCTCTTAATTACTCTTTTAAATGATCATTAATTTGAAAATTAGTTGCAAAGGCTTTGCGTTATTTTATTTATTTTGCATTTCTTTGGTTACCACTCAAAGGGACACTTCTCAAGCCTATGGATCATCTGCATATTTTCTTTTCTTTTTCTTTTTCTTTTATTTATTTATTTTTTTGAGACAGAATTTCACTGTTGTTGCCCAGGCTGGAGTGCAATGGCAAGATTTCAGCTCACCACGACCGCCGCCTCCCACATTCAAGCGATTCTCCTGCCTCAGCCTCCCAAGTAGCTGGGATTACAGGCATCTGCCAGCACGCCTGACTAATTTTTGTATTTTTAGTAGAGACAGGGTTTCTCTATGTTGGTCAGGCTGGTCTTGAACTCCCGACCTCAGGTAATCCACCCACCTTGGCCTCCCAAAGTGCTGGGATTACAGGCATGAGCCCGGTCATCTGCATATTTTCTTTTGCAAATCTCAGGGTTCTGTTTTTTTGTTTTATTTTGAGACAGAGTCGTTCTGTCACCGAGGCTCGAGTGTAGTGGCGTGATCTAGTCTCACTGCAACCTCCGCCTCCCAGGTTCAAGTGATTCTCCTGCCTCAGCCTCCAAGTAGCTGAGATTACAGGCAAGTGCCACCATGCCTGGCTAATTTTTGTATTTTTTTAGTAGAGACGGGGTTTCACCATGTTGGCCAGGCTGGTCTCCAACTCTTGATGTCAAGTGATCCACCTGCCTTGGCCTCCCAAAGTGCTGGGATTACAGGCGTAAGCCACTGCACCCAGTCTACTTCATATTATTAAGAAATCCATGAAAATATAATTATAATGGCTATAACATGTCTTCACATAAAATAATTGGAGTATAACAGTTTCCATCAAATCTAAAATATCATCAATTTTAAGTCCCACCATTATTTTCTGTACTACTACGAACAAATTCTGGCCTGGCATGGTGGCTCATGCCTGTAATCCCAGCACTTTGGGAGGCCGAGGCAGTCAGATCACTTGAGTTCAGGAGTTCCAGACCTGTGCCTATAGTCCCAGCTACTTGTTGGGAGGCTGAGGCAGGAGGATCACCTGAGCCTGGGTGGGGGAGGTTGCAGTGAGCCAAGATCATGCCACTGCACTCCAGCCTGGGCGACATATCATCATTATTATTACTTTTTTTTTTTTTGAGACGGAGTCTCGCTCTGTCACCCAGGCTGGAGTGCAATGGCGCGATCTCGGCTCACTGCAAGCTCCGCCTCCCGGGTTCGAGCCATTCTCCTGCCTCAGCCTCCCGTGTAGCTGGGACTACAGGCGCCCGCCACCACGCCCGGCTAATTTTTTGTATTTTTAGTAGAGACGGGGTTTCACTGTGTTATCCAGGATGGTCTCCATCTCCTGACCTTGTGATCTGCCCACCTTGGCCTCCCAAAGTGCTGGGATTACAGGCGTGAGCCACCACGCCCAGCCGGGTTATTTATGATTGCATTTATTTTCTTTTCTTTGAGGCACAGTCTCGCTCTGTCACCTAGGCTGGAGTGCAGTGGTGTGATCTTGGCTCACTGCAACCTCTGTCTCTGGGGTTCAAGCCATCCTCCCACCTCACACTCCTGTGTAGCTGGGATTACAGACGTATGCCACCACACCCGGTTAATTTATCTTTTTTCCTACACTTGATCTTTGCCAAAAGGATGAGATGTGATAATGTAGTAGAGACGGGGTTTCACCGTGTTGGCCAGGTTAGTCTGGAACTCTTGACTTCAAGTGATCAGCCCACCATGGCCTCCCAGAGAGCTAGGAGTACAGGGTGAGCCACCATGCCCAGCTGATATCATTGGTTTTAAAACACATTCCTGGCCAGGTGCGGTGGCTCATGCGTGTAATCCCAGCAATTTGGGAGGCTGAGGTGGGTGGATCACCTGAGGTCAACATGGCAAAACCCGGTCTCTACTAAAAACACAAAAATTAGCTGGGTGTGGTGGCAGGCACCTGTAATCCCAGCTACTCTGGAGGCTGAGGTAGGAGAATCGCTTGAATCTGGGAGGTGGAGGTTGCAGTAAGCCGAGATCATGCCATTGCATTCCAGCCTGGGTGACAGAGCAAGACTCCATCTAAAATAAATAAATAAATACAAATTTTTAAAAAAGCAGAAGAAAATAAATAAAACACATTCCTATCTTATTGAGGCTAAGCTGTACAAAATGTGTCTTACAAATGATACTAAAGATAACAAATATGTGCTCAATCTCTGGATGGGAAAGGGCTTTCTAAACTTAAAGACAAACCTCAAAGGAACATATCCATGGCTTTGACATCAAGAAATTTAAAACTTCTATATGTCCAAATATTAAAAAGCAATCATAGGCCGGGTGCAGTGGCTCACACCTGTAATCACAGCACTTTGGGAGGCTAAGGTGGATGGATCACTTGAGGTTCGGAGTTCCAGATCAACCTGGCCAACATGGTGAAACCCCATCTCTACTAAAAATACAAAAATTAGCCGGGTGTGATGGTGCATGCCTGTAATCACAGCTATTTGGTATTTTTTTCCTTTTTTTTTTTTTGCAATGGAATCTCCCTCTGTTGCCCAGGCTGGAGTACAGTGGCAGGATCTCTGCTCACTGCAACCTCCACATCCTGGGTTCAAGTGATTCTCCTGCCTCAGCCTCCCAAGTAGCTGGGATTACAGGCGCCCACCACCATGCCCGGCTAATTTTTGTATTTTTGGTAGAGACAGGGTTTCACCATGTTGGCCAACATGTCTGAAACTCCTGACATCAAGTTATCCACCCACCTCAGCCTCCCAAAGTGCTGGGATTACAAGTGTGAGCCATTGCACCTGGCATATCCCAGCAATTTGGGAGATTGAGGCACAAGAATTGCTTGAACCCGGGAGGTGGAGGTTGCAGTGAGCCGAGATCACATACCTGCACTCCAACCTGAGTGACGAAGTGAGACCCTGTCTTAAAAAAAAAAAAGGCATAAATCAGGGCCGAGCATCATGGCTCACATGTAGAATAATCCCAGGGCTTTGAGAGGCCAAGGTGGGAGAATTGCTTGACGCCAGGAATTCAAGACTAGCCTGGGCAACATAGTGAGACCCCCATCACTACAAAAAAAAAAAAAATTAGTCGGGCCTGGTTGAAAGTGCCTTTAGTCCCAGCTACTCAGGAGGCTGAGCTTGGAGGATGGCTTGAGCCCAGGAGTTCAAGGCTGCAGTGAGTTATGATTGTGTCACTGCACGGAACAAGACATTGTCTGTAAAACAAACAAAAAATACCACCACAAAACCACAAAAATAATTAAAAGGTAAGCAAACTGAGAAGAATGTCTGGGGCAACTATCCTAAGGGCTAACAGCCTTAATAAAGAGCTCTGTAAACTGTAAGAAGTATACGAAGACATTAGCCGGGCGCAGTGGCTCACACCTATAATCCCAGCACTTTGGGAGCCCGAGGTGGGCGGATCATGAGGTTAGGAGATCGAGACCATCCTGGCTAACACGGTGAAACCCCGTCTCTAGTAAAAATACAAGAAAATTAGCTGGGCGTGGTGGCGGGCGCCTGTCGTCCCAGCTACTCTACTCGGGAGGCTGAGGCAGGAGAATGGTGTGAACCCGGGAGGCGGAGCTTGCAGTGAGCGGAGATCGCGCCATTGTACTCCAGCCTGGGCGACAGAGCGAGACTCCGTCTCAAAAAAAAAAAAAAAAAGAAGTATACCAAGACATAAAGACCACTGAGGCAAGATGATGAATTTTTTTTTTTTTTTTTAAAGACAGAGTCCTGCTCTGTTGCCCAGGCAGGAGTGCAGTGGTGCAATCTCTGCTCACTGCAACCTCCACCTCCCAGGTTCAAGTGATTCTCCTGCCTCAGCCTCCTGAGTAGCTGGGATTACAGGCACGCGACACCATGCCCGGCTACTTTTTGTATTTTTAGTAGAGACGGGGTTTCACCATGTTGGTCAGGCTGGTCTCTAACTCCTGAACTCTTGATCCACCTGCCTCGGCCTCCCAAAGTGCTGGGATTACAGGCATGAGCCCCACGCGTGGGCTGATGATTAACTTTTTATTTAAAAAAACCTTTGGCCGAGCATGGTGGCTCATGCTTGTAATCTCAGTACTTTGGGAGGCCGAGGCAGGCAGATCACTTGAGGTCAGGAGTTCCAGACCAGCCTGGCCAACATGGCAAAACCCCATCTCAACTAAAACTTAAAAAAAAGTAGCCAGGTGTGGTGGCACACACCTGTAATCCCTCTACTTGGGAGGCTAAGGCATGAGAATTGCTTGAACCTAGGAGGCAGAGGTTGCAGTGAGCCAAGATTGCACCACTGTACTCCAGCCTGGGTGACAGAGTTAGACTGTCTCAAAAACAAAACCAAACAAAAAAACCTTTCATTGCCAGCCATGGTGGCTCACACCTGTAATCCCAGCACTTTCTCTGTGAGGCTGAGGTGGAATGATTCCTTGAGCCCAAGAATTCAAGACCAGCCTGGGCAACAAAATGAGACCCCATTGCTACAAAAAATAAATAAATAAATAAATAAATAAATAAATAAATAAATAATCTGAGCAAGGTGGCACATGCCTGTGGTCCTACCTACTCAGGAGGCTGAGGCAGGAGGATTGTTTGAGCCCAGAAGGTAGAGGCTGTGGTGAGCCATGTTTGCACCACTGCACTCCAGCCTGGGTGACGGGCTGTGTCTCAAACAAACAAATAAAAAATAAAAATTTAAAAACCTTGTTTTAATATAAGTTGGACAATTTATATATAAGAGAATTGGCTATAAGTGTATGAAATGTATTCTACCTTACTACTATTCTTTTTTTTTTTTTTTTTGAGACGGAGTTTTGCTCTTATTGCCCAGGCTGGAGTGCAATGGCGTGATCTCAGCTGACTGCAACTGCTGCCTCCTGGGTTTAAGTGATTCTCCTGCCTCAGTCTTGCCAAGTGGTTGGGATTACAGGCATGCATCACCATGCCTGGCTAATTTTTTTTTTTTTTTTTTTTTTGAGAGGGAGTCTTTGTAGCCCAGGCTGGAGGGCAGTGGTGTGATCTCAGCTCACTGCTTCCTCTGCCTCCTGGGTTCAGGTGATTCTCCTGCCTCAGCCTCCAGAGTAGCTGGGATTACAGGCGTGTGCCACCATGCCCAGATAATTTTTGTATCTTTAGTAGAGATGGGGTTTCACCATGTTGGCCAAGCTGGTCTGAAACTCCTGATCTCAAGTGATCTGCCTGCCTCGGCCTCCCAAAATGCTGGTATTACACGAGTGAGCCACCGCACCTGGCCGGACTCTCTTCTTGATTACCTCAGCCAAACTGCCTTCTGAAATGGTACCACAGGTGTGTGCTTCTAGTTCAGTTTGTAGTAGAGGGCCTGGTATGTACCGTCATTCACCCTGCCTGCTCCATCTGCATCCCCCTCACATCCAGCAAGAGTTTTCCTTTACACAGGGTTTACGGCTCCCCTGCTGATCACCTGCCAAAGCCTTCTCTCGGAGATAACACCCTTGCCAAGGCCTAAGTGGCCTTTGAAGATCAGGCCCTGCTTAGCTCTGGGCTCCTGTCTTTCTTTTGATGTCCTCTCTACTTTTTCTCAAACCTGTCAAAACTGGATTCGGACTCTGTGGCACTGGGGTTGGAAACATGCTTTGTCCGCATCTTCCCAGGGTGGCACTCAGGCTTGCACTAGCTAAGGTAGCTCTGCGGCAGGGTCCAGCACTACCTTATTGTTAATTTGTGTATTGTCTGTGTCCACTAAAGCTGGGGTGAGGAAGGCAGCCAAATCAGACATGGGGAGGCCTGGGAGGCTACGGCATCTTAGGTTTTGGGCAGTGCTGCTAGAAACCACGAACATTAGTCATCTCGCAGCATGTGTGCACATGGGGTGACCCGGGGGCCTCCTCGAATGCAGCGTCTACGCCTGGTGAATGGACGCACTCTTACCAATTCTGCTCTGGGAGATGCAGCGGTAACCTACCGAGCGCAGAGGCCGGCGCGCACCCGTGGAGCCCGCGCTCGCGATCCCTCCTCGTGCCAGGGCCCCAGGGCAGTCAAGGCCTGCCGACCGTTAGGCGGGTCAAGGGGTACACAGGGTGCGAATTCGTTAGGCAAAAGCTGGGTACAGGCGCGAGCCACAGGCACGGAAACCTCGCGCCGACCGGGGCCCTAGGCCCGACGACGGCAGGTAAGGGGAAGTGGAGGCACACAGGGCTGGGACGTGCCCCAGGCACCATCCGGGTGGCTTCGGGCGCGGGACGTCCGCAGCCCCGCAGCTACCAGGACGTTCGACAATCTGCAGCTGACCAGCTTCGGCCGGTTTGGGGATAAAGGGAAGACAGGCGGCGCGGGGAGTGGGAACGCCTGAAGGCCGCGCCCCTCCTTTCAGGTCGGCCAGGAGCGCGCCGGTAAGAGCCTGGGGGCAAGGGGTAGAAAGACGCCCACCTCATCACAACCCAGAGCTCGGGACTCCTATACAGTCCCATAGGGAACAGGCGGCCGCCATTCCCCTCCCCCACGCTGGCGGGTAAGGCTAGAGAACGGTTTCAAGGAAGACGCATGCGCATGAAATAATTATAAACCGCTAGGACTCCGAAGTTCAATATTCGCGGGAA
The DNA here is from genome assembly GCF_000001405.40 of Homo sapiens. Lineage (NCBI taxonomy): Eukaryota > Metazoa > Chordata > Mammalia > Primates > Hominidae > Homo > Homo sapiens. The sequence continues at coordinate 390,164 of NW_016107298.1, read as the reverse complement.
GGCGCAGGCGCAACAAAAAGCCCGGCGGGTTTATGGGTGGGGGTGCTGAGCCCAAAACCCAAGCGTGTAATAATCCGCCGGCGGGAGGTGGGCTGGCTCTTGAAATTACGCATGCGCCAGAGCTCTTTGTGACGCAACGGGGCGGTGCGGGCAGCTGGCTGCGCGTGCGCAGAACTCGCACAAGGGACCTTATTTAGGTTGCGCAGGCGCCCGCTGGCCATTTCGTCTTAGCCACGCAGAAGTCGCGTGTCTAGGTGAGTCGCGGTGGGTCCTCGCTTGCAGTTCAGCGACCACGGTGGGTACCGTTTTTGCGAGGATTGTTTGTCCCCATATCTCTGGGAGGGCCACGGGGACCTTGGCGAGCTGCAGGCTGCCGTCGAGAGCCGCGAGTGGTTCGCTGAATCTCGGCACCGCCGCTGAGGCCTGCAGGCCGCGCCGACTCTATTGTGTGAGAAGTCGGAGGAGGCGGAGCGGAAGCGGCCGCCGCCATTTCCTTTCCTCTACGCTGGCTCTCGGCCCGGGCCCCCACGGTTCGGGGCGCCGACAGCTGTTGCTCAGGACAGCTTTGGGGGTCCGGTCGCCGGACGAGGAGGTGTTGGAGTCGCCGGGGTGGGTGCATCCGCCCGGTTTTTGCTCCGTGGGGGGGCGGTGCGGGCCCGGGCGCGCCTCGGAGGCGAAGGACAGCTTAATTGGCGCTCTCAGTTCTGGTCCTCCCCGCTTTGCAGTTTGTTTCGACGCCGGACCGCGTAAGAGACGATGATGTTGGGCACGGAAGGTGGAGAGGGATTCGTGGTGAAGGTCCGGGGCTTGCCCTGGTCTTGCTCGGCCGATGAAGTGCAGAGGTTTTTTTCTGGTGAGTTAGAACTAGGACGCGGGAGTTCGAGTTCGAGGCCGGGGCGGGCGGGCTGGCGGGCGGCCGGGCTGGGGCGGGGCGGGGCGGGGCGGGGCGGGCCGGGCCGGGCCGGGTGGGACCCGGGGCGCCCCCTGGCGAGGCGCGGGCGACTACACTCACCGCTGTGCTGCTCGCGCCCGGCGGCCCGCTGTTACGCAATGGAAATTTCGAAAGCCCCGCCCGTCCTCCTGGCCCTTGGGGGAGTGCGGCAGGTTTGGCAGACTTTGTTTTCTTTACCTATCTTTGAACACCAGCTTTTCTTTTATGGGTGTCTTTTTTTCTTTTTCTTTTGAGTTGGAGTCTCTGTCACCCAAGCTGGAGTGCAGTGGCGCGTTCTCGGCTCACTGCAACCTCCGCCTCCTGGGTTCAAGCGATTCTCCTGCCTCAGTCTCCCGAGTGTCTGGGACTAGAGGCGCGCACCGCCACGCCCGGCTAATTTTTGTATTTTTAGTAGAGACGGGGTTTCACTATTTTGGCCAGGCTGGTCTCGAACATCTGACCTCAAGTGATCCGCCCACCTCGGTTTCCCAAAATGCTGGGATTACAGGCGTGAGCCACCGCGCCTGGCCCGGGTGTCTTTTTTCGAAAGGATAAATTGGCATAGGTGGGATTTCCTCCTCAATCTTGAGAAAATGGCCGAGTGATTAGACAAATAATAGTAATGTTTTGCAATATCTTGAAGTGTAACCTCTTGTTTCCAGTTTTGGTGTTTTCTTAAAAAGGAGCATTCTTCGGAAAGTTAAAATGTCACGTCTTAATTTCAGTTTTCCTAATCAAGATTTGATAATTGAAGAGTGTTTTCTTATCTAGTTCTTAATCTGGCTCACTATACAGTTGAAGACACTGAAGCCCAGGGAAGTTTTTTTGCAGTACATAGGTTTCCTGAATATTTTCTATCAGAATGTCCTTGTTCCTATTATTAGACTGGGAAAAAGAAATTAGACTGATTAAAATTCTATTTGGATGAAATTAACAGCTTTTGGCAAGACGTTTGTAGTATTGACTTACTATCTGAATTTAGCGTTGGTAACGGAAAGCGACCTGTAAAACAAGAACCAAGTACGCTGGAAGCCGCCTTGCAGGGGGCAACACTGGGTTTGGCTTCAGCTGTGCAACTTGGAGCATTTTAGCTTGGTAACACTGATCCCCTTTCAGGTGAGTATTGGGCTTGTAATTTGAATTTGAATGAGAAACCGTAATGTGGCTACTGGTAAGGTAAAACGGATAAATGCCCCAGACCAAAACAGCTCGCAACGAAGTATGTTTGCCGTAAAGTCACACAGTCCAGGCTTGATAATCTTCTGAGAAATTGATAAAAGATGTGTGATGTAGACATGAGTAGCAAGGACTAAAGAGATAAATTCATTCTGAAACTGCTTTGAATATTGTATGTTGTTGATGGGTTGGAAATATATCACCTTAGGAATGAGTTTGTTTTTTTTTAATTGGAGTTTTAGGAGTTGGTAATATCGTGGTCAGTATATATAGGCTTCACAAGTTATGTAATTTGTAGTGGGGACATGGAATAGACATTTCATCTGTGTCACCCAGAGGTGGTTTTAGGTTTTAAATTCTGTATTAACGGTTGTTTTCTTTCCAGACTGCAAAATTCAAAATGGGGCTCAAGGTATTCGTTTCATCTACACCAGAGAAGGCAGACCAAGTGGCGAGGCTTTTGTTGAACTTGAATCAGAAGATGAAGTCAAATTGGCCCTGAAAAAAGACAGAGAAACTATGGGACACAGATATGTTGAAGGTTTGATTTACATTGCCCTAGTTACAGTAAATAAAGCATTAAACAATAGAGGTCTCACCCCTTCTGAATTTTAGGTATTTGACTGCATGGAAATGGTCATCTAAGGGAGTTTGTGGCAGCTCTTCCTAGCTTATCTAAAGACCCAGGAAGTCTGAACTTTGTTATCTAATTTTCCAAAAGTGACTAATTCTAAGCACCTCTTTCAGTATTCAAGTCAAACAACGTTGAAATGGATTGGGTGTTGAAGCATACTGGTCCAAATAGTCCTGACACGGCCAATGATGGCTTTGTACGGCTTAGAGGACTTCCCTTTGGATGTAGCAAGGAAGAAATTGTTCAGTTCTTCTCAGGTATGTAGTCATGTTTGTTGCTGAGCAGTGAGTTTTGGCTAGCTTATGGCAAGGTGATTTAATAGACGTTAAAGTTGAGTAGCTTAGGTATTTCAGTAGGTTGTAAATTGCCAATGAATTAATGTTTTCTTCCTAGAGACCTTCAAATAATTTAAGCCCATCTTAAAGGTGGAAATGAAGTACTTCCAAAATGTTAACTTTGCCTATATTTAGTATTATAGTTCAGAGTAGATCTTTCATTGAGGATTGCCCTCAACAGCTTAACTACTTTCCTCACATTGGTGTCCAGCTAAGTACCTCAAGTTAAAGGTAAGATCCCTTTACCAGCAGATCATCAGTGCGATGAATTAGGTTGTTGTAAATTATGGCAAGTGTCTGTGTTGCAAGAGACACGTATTTGGGTCATGTGACCAGAAGCATCTAATGGTCTAATTCTCTTTAATGCAAAAGTCGGTTTATGAAAGACTTGGTTTAACCTGTGTGGTATAAACTTACTGAAAATCAGATGTAGTGAGAGTAGTTTGAATGCTTGTAGTCTCAGTATCTGAAATAAGTGTTTTGAAATTGTTCCTGGGCCTAAAGTATTTGAATGTTTTTATGCTGAAGAGCTGATAAGATTGCATGTTTAACAATGTTAGATAAGATATCGTATATTTTAAGTATTAATATTTATGATGTGATACACTGGAAGCAAGAAATCCTTTCATGGTTTAGTGTAGTATGTTAAAAATTGATATATGTATCGAGTCCTAATGTCAGAATTTTTAAAATCAAGTCTGTTTTGTTTTGACACTAAATTGGTGAGAATTGAATGCTGTCAACGTTAAATATGAACATAATTTCATATCTTCTAGGAAAGTGCTTTAAGTCCTTTTTGTAAGCTTGGGAATGTATCCACGGAAAGGATTTTTCATAGACGGAATTTCCAGAAGTGAATCATAACTACTGTTAGAGCATAAGCATGCATGATTGTGCTGTGTAGATCAGTTTTGTTGAAAGTTTAGATTGTTGTGTTTGTCAATTATAATTTAATGTTTCAGTTTTTATATGAAATGTTGTAAATGTATACCTTTTTAAAAACTTGAAGTTCCAATAACTTAAAGCATTGAAATATAAAATGAGGTAAAAGGTGTTTTGAATTTAGTAAAACTGTTATTTAATGCTTAAAACTTAATTGAATTGTATAATTCTCAACATTAAGTTGCATAGATATGTGTTCTTAAGTTGTTGAATTCTTAATGCATCCTGTGTTCAGCAAGTTTTTTTTAATATATACTGTACCATGGGTGTGTTAAGAATAGTTATACTTTATAATAATGGAACTTCATATTATTGCAATGCATATTTAAAGAGTACTTGTTGAAAGCATACCATTCACCTAAAGTTAAAAATTCTGGTTTATTTAAAGCTATAAGAAGAATCATTTCTGGGCTTGTGATGTTAATATTGCCCCCCTACTGGGGTTATTTGTCCTTGGGTTGAAGGGTTGGAAATCGTGCCAAATGGGATAACATTGCCGGTGGACTTCCAGGGGAGGAGTACGGGGGAGGCCTTCGTGCAGTTTGCTTCACAGGAAATAGCTGAAAAGGCTCTAAAGAAACACAAGGAAAGAATAGGGCACAGGTGGGGATGGATGGTTGGTTGGATATGTCACTTTTCTTATGGTAAACAATTAAATCCATATTCTCTCTGCTTAAAAGAAGAAATTAATGTTTTGTAGTCCTAGGTAATTGATGTTTTGCCATGATTTCCAAACTTGTGTCAGTCCCACGTTACACGCAAACTAAATTTTAGGTTTGAAATTTGTCCCTAGTTAATTGGTCTGCTTGACAATTTTGTGAGTCTTATTAACCCCAATCAATAGAGTTGAGAGACTATGGCTTTAAAAAATTAATGCAAACCTGGCTTTAGCTGTAATAACACCCACCTAGAATAAATTAATATTACCATAAGAAAATGTGATACTTTCTGATCTTGTTTTTAAAGTTGAAATGCAACAAACTTTTTCTTGCTGTATATAAATATTCTGCATAGTATTAATAAGCATAGCTTTCAAGAAATTGTCACAAAAGGTTTTATTCTCTTTGCTTGTGACTATTTTTCATTGAAGCATGCGCTTACCTATGCTGATTCTTACTAAAAGCATAGGCTGGGGTATTTATTGGCGAAAGGAAATGTGTAGTGTGGGCTGGACTGTTGGTGGAGGCTGGCTTTTTAGCCCACTTGCTATACATGCTGCCAATGGATTTAAGACTTGAAATGTTGAAAGTTGAGTGGAATTATTTCCCTCCTAAAACATTTATTTACAGTACTCCTCTCTACCCCTAAGGTTGGGCTCTGCCTCAGAGGAGTGAGTTTTTTTTTTTTTTCTATAAAGTTTACATTGTCTTACTATTTATTGAGTTGAATTTCTGGTCATTGCCTATGCAAATATAAGAAATCTGGCTTTAAATATTAGTCAGTTTCATGGCTATGACTAGATTGTTTTCTTGTATAACTAAATACCTGTATAAAATGAACTAATGTTTTCTCTCCCCTCCCTACCCCTTCCTTATGAACAATGCTTTAGGTATATTGAAATCTTTAAGAGCAGTAGAGCTGAAGTTAGAACTCATTATGATCCACCACGAAAGCTTATGGCCATGCAGCGGCCAGGTCCTTATGACAGACCTGGGGCTGGTAGAGGGTATAACAGCATTGGCAGAGGAGCTGGCTTTGAGAGGATGAGGCGTGGTGCTTATGGTGGAGGTACGTGAGGATTCGTAAGGTTCGGCAAGTCGTCTGTTCCTTTGTCTAGGTGTTTTATTTGATTGATTGTACTTTGTCTTTCAGGCTATGGAGGCTATGATGATTACAATGGCTATAATGATGGCTATGGATTTGGGTCAGATAGATTTGGAAGAGGTAAGGTAAGAATTGAATTTCTCAGTTGAAGGATGCTTACACTCTTGTCCATCTAGACCTCAATTACTGTTTTTCAGGAATGTCTGATCACAGATACGGGGATGGTGGCTCTACTTTCCAGAGCACAACAGGACACTGTGTACACATGCGGGGATTACCTTACAGAGCTACTGAGAATGACATTTATAATGTAAGTGTGAGATGAACTCACAAGTCAATATTTCAGTATGGCAGTAAGTCAGCCTTATTCTATAAATGTGAGCACTATGTTAGAAATTTTAGGTTTTTTTTGTAACGTTAGAAAGTTGGTTGAATTCTTTGAAATGCCTTGTGTTGTAGTTTTTTTCACCGCTCAACCCTGTGAGAGTACACATTGAAATTGGTCCTGATGGCAGAGTAACTGGTGAAGCAGATGTCGAGTTCGCAACTCATGAAGATGCTGTGGCAGCTATGTCAAAAGACAAAGCAAATATGCGTAAGTGTGATTGAGCATTTGTGGGCTCTTAACAGGTGATTGTGTGACTAACATTTACAATAGAGAAATGGAAAAATAAGGATATATGAGAAGTTTCCTCTCCAGTAATAGATTAATTCTTGGGGGATGCGGGGGCAGTGTGTTGAAGGTTTGGGTTTTAAAAATTAGTATAACGGATTTGTGATATGCACATCTTGAAGTGTATATCCTTAATTGACAATACAGATGAATATGTAAAGGCTAGATTTTGGAGTTAAAGTAGATCACCTAAGAGAAGTAGCTAGAATTTCTTTGCCAAAGTATTTGAAGTTCACAGATCTGCTTGTTTAAAAACTTTATAAAAGTGCTTATTCTGTTTTGTTTCACCAACAAACATTTTCAAACTTTTTTTTTCTCATTTCAGAACACAGATATGTAGAACTCTTCTTGAATTCTACAGCAGGAGCAAGCGGTGGTGCTTACGGTAGCCAAATGCTAGGAGGCATGGGTTTGTGTAAATATCACTTTAGTGTCTTTTTTTTAAGCTAACCTTGTATGCCTTTTCTCTCATTTCAGAACACAGATATGTAGAACTCTTCTTGAATTCTACAGCAGGAGCAAGCGGTGGTGCTTATGGTAGCCAAATGATGGGAGGCATGGGCTTGTGTAAATATCGTTAGTTTTTTTAAAAACCAAAACGTTTATATCTGTATAAGTCAATTATAAGTTAAGTTAATCTATTTATTTAATAAGTTTAGCATAAGAAACTTAGGCAAAGCAGTTTCTTGATATTTGAGTTTTGTATCTGGCTTACTTAAATCCTTGTGAGTTATGAAGTTCCTTAGGATAGATAATTCAAATTAGGTTTAAGTAGTCTTGGGGGAGGGGACTACGGAGTGAAACTACTTAAATTTTCTAAGTATAAAGTTTAAATCAATAGCAAAACAGGATTAAGATAAATGTGGGCATAATTAGGTGTATTGACATGCCTTTGATGTATCAAACTGAGGGGGAACCCACTAAATCCAGTCAAGCAGTTTCATAAGATCTTCACAAAATGCCTCTACTTACGGAATCATGTTGATTTTAGTCCTGCTGATGTGTGTACCGTTAGCACTTTGGTTTATCAATATTTGACTGGCTCAAATGATGGATAGAAGGGTGGCCTGGTTATAGACAGTAGGCAGAAGGAGGCAGAGGGTTACAGTAATGTAAGATCAAGACTGGAAAATGATAGCTATAGAATTACAAGCCCGGTACCACCAGGTACCACATCACATAAGAAAAAAGGTTCTAATGTTTTCTTAACTTAACAGCAAACCAGTCCAGCTACGGGGGCCCAGCCAGCCAGCAGCTGAGTGGGGGTTACGGAGGCGGCTACGGTGGCCAGAGCAGCATGAGTGGATACGGTAAAGCCTGTTTGTTACTGTACTTAGAGTAAGTTATGGTAAAGCCTGTTCGTTACTGTACTTAGAGTAAGTTATGGTAAAGCCTGTTACTGTACTTAGAGTAAGTCGCAGGCAGGTGCCTTTAGTTGGGAAGATGCAGGCTCCTTTCGGTGAAATTGGGTTATGAAATGTATGCTTTCAATCCAAATGTAACTGTTTTTACTAGCTAATTTTCAGAAACAATCATTGGGAGGGGGAAGTGTTCTTTGAATTAAGAACTAGTCATTGCAGCTTTGGAATACTGTCGAGCCAGAAAATATCTGCCTCCATGTATTAAAACATTAAATAAAGTTGTTCACTTTTTTGTCTTTTGGTTAGCATTAAGTCAGTTTTAGACAGAGGGAGAATTTGAAATAGTAGAATGGTGGTTGGGTTCAGGATCGTATTTATTAGTCAGTTAACCTAGGATTGGTTTTATTTATTTTTTTTCAATTGGTCTAAAGAATGGTGATTTTGGTATTATAGTCTTACCCTACAAAATCCTTTTGCAGACCAAGTTTTACAGGAAAACTCCAGTGATTTTCAATCAAACATTGCATAGGTAAATATTTTCTCAAAAAATATAAATTCCCAATAGCAAATACTGATATGTTGTAATAATGCTTTCTATAGCAGTCAATGGCTCTGACTTAACTCCATGGAGGCTGCCATTTGGGCACAGTGAGTTGCCTTTAGTCCAGCTTGGTTGTCTCACTTCCTGCCCACCATGAATAGGAAAAGCAAGAGACTTCCCCTGTGCTCCCTTTTCTCAAATGCCATTCGAGGGACACATTGTGAATGTTTATGTTAAATTTTTTTTAAAAATGCCTTGTTTAGCTTTAAAAATACGAAGTAATTTTGCAATTTTTGAAAAACACTAGTTTTCCTTTAAACTTAATTTTTCATGTTGATCCTGAAGAATCCGTTAAAATGGTAGCACAAGAGTCTGGCAAGTTGGTACTGCAGAGAAAAGGGGTTAATTGAGGCTTGTTTGGAGTCGGGATTCCCCTTTCCCAAACATGCGTCTCGCCACTTGGACAGCAGCCATTTGTACTCGTATACTTTTTAAACTTTTTCTTGGAATACTATATTTTATTTGACTGGTAGTCTGATATTACTCCTAACTTGTCAAATTGATCTCTTTGCAGGTAACCAAGGAGCAGTGAACAGCAGCTACTACAGTAGTGGAAGCCGTGCATCTATGGGCGTGAACGGAATGGGAGGGTTGTCTAGCATGTCCAGTATGAGTGGTGGATGGGGAATGTAATTGATCGATCCTGATCACTGACTCTTGGTCAACCTTTTTTTTTTTTTTTTTTTTCTTTAAGAAAACTTCAGTTTAACAGTTTCTGCAATACAAGCTTGTGATTTATGCTTACTCTAAGTGGAAATCAGGATTGTTATGAAGACTTAAGGCCCAGTATTTTTGAATACAATACTCATCTAGGATGTAACAGTGAAGCTGAGTAAACTATAACTGTTAAACTTAAGTTCCAGCTTTTCTCAAGTTAGTTATAGGATGTACTTAAGCAGTAAGCGTATTTAGGTAAAAGCAGTTGAATTATGTTAAATGTTGCCCTTTGCCACGTTAAATTGAACACTGTTTTGGATGCATGTTGAAAGACATGCTTTTATTTTTTTGTAAAACAATATAGGAGCTGTGTCTATTAAAAGTGAAACATTTTGGCATGTTTGTTAATTCTAGTTTCATTTAATAACCTGTAAGGCACGTAAGTTTAAGCTTTTTTTTTTTTTAAGTTAATGGGAAAAATTTGAGACGCAATACCAATACTTAGGATTTTGGTCTTGGTGTTTGTATGAAATTCTGAGGCCTTGATTTAAATCTTTCATTGTATTGTGATTTCCTTTTAGGTATATTGCGCTAAGTGAAACTTGTCAAATAAATCCTCCTTTTAAAAACTGCACTCTGTCTTGTCTGTGCTTCAGTGTCATGTGGACTGAGTCTTGGTGCTCTGTGCCCACCTGGGGCCTAGGGCCACATCTCTGGCTTGGCAGTTGAGGCTGTTGCGTAGATGTCTTCAGTCTTCCCTCCAGTGCAACTGAAGGTAAACTCGTCTTTGGGGCCCTGGTGGAAGGGCTGTATGTCATTTGGCTGCACAGGACCTGATCTGAACTGCCTGTAACTCATTAAGCACTTGCACAAAACAAAGGGGGAGGCGCCAGTGCCCTCACTGCATGCCTGCATGTCTTTGAGGCCTTCATGCTTGGCTGGGAAGGTGCCGGAGGCAAGGGAGGTGTGATGAATATGTGGGTTTCTTCTAGCTCATAAGCTCATAGGTTTGTTTTTTTTTTTGAGGCAGAGTTATATTCTGTTGTCTCAGGCTGGATTGCAGTGGCGTGATCTCAGCTCACCTGCAACCTCCACCTTGTGGGCTTCTGCCTCAGCCTCCCAAGTAGTTGGGGTTACAGGCGCCCACCACCACTCCAGGCTAATTTTTTTTGTATGTTTAGTAGACACGGGGTTTCACGATGTTGGCCAGGCTGGTCTCCAACTCCTGACCTCATGAGATCTGCCCACCTCGGCCTCTGAAAGTGCTGGGATTATAGGCTGGAGCCATTGCCCAGCCTTCACAGATGGTTTTCAAATTGAAGTTTTGAACTTCTGTATTTTTGGGTCATTCCTAAAAATCAATTCCACTTGGAAGCAAAATTCCATGTAAGTCTCCTAAGGTAGAACGATAGGTAGAGATTGAGAGCTAACATGACAAGTTTAAATGAACTCTTAAATATATCACGTTTTGGTAGTTCGAAGCTCCAACATGATGATAGCAAGTATTCAAGCTGCTTCCAAGTGGTGTACCTGAGCGAGTTAGAAACGCCACACTTGGAGACGAGTTCAGGAGTCCTTTATTAGCCGGCGACCGAGAGACGGCTACCGCATGAAAGTATCTCGGCCTCGAAGAAGGAGCTAGATTTTCTTTTATACTTTGGTTTGGAGAGGGGAGGGGGATTCTAGCTGCAGCCATCTTAGGGAAGAAAAACAGACAAAAAAGTTAAAGACAAATGGTTACAGGAAAACAGTTCCAGGTGCAGGAGCTTCAAATTCATCACAAAGTGACAGGTGAGGGGGCTCTGGGTGTTACCTACCGGACAAACATGGGGGGTGTTATCTACCGGACAAACATGGGGGCTTGATCTCTGAGTAAATTGCTGGGAACTGGACATCGCTTGCCTCAGCACCTTATCAGTTAACTGCACTCTTTGATACGTTGAGAGCTTGCACAAGTTAAAGTCCTTGAGGAAAGGGGGGTGGGTAAGGAGCCCTTGATGTCTTGTAAATGAAGGAGCCAAATGGAGTTGGCCTGGTTTTCTCAGCGAAGGGAGTCTTCATATTAAAAACAAGGTTAGGCATGTAAGGGAGAGTCTATTCGTGTTAATACAAGGTTGGGTATCACAAAAGCAGTCCTGAAAAGCACGCTCCCGGGGTTCCTTCAGCAGATGCTCAGGGGTGCTGCAGTGTGGGAACTGCCGCTACTACTTTCATCCCATTAGATTCAAGTCCCTGATAATGAAATTAGAATGTAGTGTCTGAACTAGGCTGTCACATAGGCTTGTGCCTTTTTTTTTTTTTTTTTTTTGAGACGGAGTCTCGCTCTGTCGCCCAGGCTGGAGTGCAGTGGCGGGATCTCGGCTCACTGCAAGCTCCGCCTACCGGGTTCACGCCATTCTCCTTCCTCAGCCTCCCAAGTAGCTGGGACTACAGGCGCCCGCCACTACGCCCGGCTAATTTTTTTTTGTATTTTTAGTAGAGACGGGGTTTCACCGTTTTAGCCGGGATGGTCTCGATCTCCTGACCTCGTGATCCGCCCGCCTCGGCCTCCCAAAGTGCTGGGATTACAGGCGTGAGCCACCGCGCCCGGCCGCCCTTTAAAGCGAAGTGTGGATAAGCTTTCTCTTTTCTGCGATTACACGAGCTTTTCTTGAGTTTGTTGTTGGGGTAGAGCTAGGTAGGGTGGACAGAGTGGCTTAGTATCGGTCATTTCTAACCATCTGCCCACAGGAGCAGTGCATGCAGGAGACATGGAGGGGAGGGCTTTGCAGATCTACCTTGCTTGCCCTACCAGGACTGGACACTAGCAGAGGGAAGGGTCTGGAATGTGTATTGTTGGTTTTGTCTTTGGCAGGTCTAGAGAACAGCAGTTGTCGGGGGAGGCAGTGTTGAGAGTTGTTGAGCTGTGTTCTAAGCTTGGTTACTGCCCTTGAGATCTTGCGTTAATAGTTTGGTACTGAGGCCCAGTATTGAGAAAGATTGAAGGTCCCTTCTCTGGGTTCTTTAGTTAACTGTGGTACATTTAAGGATAAAGCTTGCCCTGTTAGAGAAGGGAGTAGAACTAGAAACTTGGAGTAAGGTTAAACTAAATCCAGAGCCATACGGCTAGTCTAGGGCAGGGGCGGTGGCTAACGCCTGTGATTTCAACACTTTGGGAGGCTGAGGTGGGTGGATCACCTGAGGTCAGGAGTTCGAGACCAGCCTGGCCAACATGGTGAAACCCTGTCTCTGCTAAAAAATACAAAAATTAGCTGGGCATGGTGGTGCACGCTTATAATACCAGTTACTGAGGCAGAGGTTGCAGTGAGCCAAGATCGTGCCATTGCACTCTAGTCTGGGTAACGAGCGAAATTCCTGTCTCAAAAAAAAGTCTAGAAGCATTATGGTTCTTTGGAATCTTATGCTCCATAGCTTGTTTGCAGTAACTTAACCTCCTGACCTTGTCAGTTGGAATCTGCATTTTAAACAAAATCCTGACCACTCACCCCTACCTCAGTTGACTTGGGAAGTGCTGCCTTAAAACATCTATCTTTCATTTCTCAGGCCTGGGTAAAGGTGGTATGGTAGCAGACCAGGGACTGGAGATTCCAGAGTTAGGGCTTGGAATATATTTCAGTTTCTGAGTAGGGAAGTTATCTTGACCAAATATTGCCAACTTTGAAAATTTCACTTAAACACTTGTGTTTATACCCAAGTGTCAGGCACAGAGGTGGGAACCTCCTGCATGTTTTTATACTGAGCTGTCAGAACAGACTTGAAGTAGGGGAGGGATAGATTATTCTGCTTTTGTGTGTGCAGATGAGAGCTAAGACTCAAGTGAACTGACTTGCCTAAGGCTGCCCAGCAAGTTAGGGGTCCAAACTGGGTGTATTGAAAAGGCACAGATGTCATATATGCCAGTTAGGGGTAGTGAGTGATAGGCAGTTTTTTCTGAAAGTTTGGCCCTGTATGAGACGGCAGCTGTTACGGTGAGGGGTGAGGAAAGGGGAGGGCTGCCAATGTGCTTGCCTAATAGGGTTGGAACCCTGCTAGGACATGGCTTTGGAGCAGGGCGGACCTCGTCTTGAAGTCTGGCCGCACAGTCCTAAGCGGTATAGGATGGAGGGGGAATCCTTGAGTCTTGCCCAAGCTCCCACCTTTTCCATCTTCAGAGCGGTTTGAGGGGAGGGAGCGGCAGAGGAGGAATTCAGTTGAGGGTGCCATGCAAGCATCTACCAGGGCTGACCAGGTCGTGGGGGAGCCTGCTTCGGAGGAAGAGCCCAAAGGAGGAGTGGAATCCTGAGGCCTGGATTTGGCGAGGGTAGGAAGCCCGTGGGAAGGGAGGGTAGGGTCGCGGACAAGGTATGTGTATAGAAGGTGGAGAAGGATGAGGCCTGGAAGACTTGACTGTTGGCTGTCTGGACTTGATAATGCTGTTGTCTCTACCGGAAGGGAGCCCCGGGCCATTGGATCTTTGGGGGTGGGGGCCTCCGAGGGAGGGACTGGAAGCCAGTCGTAGCGCTGCATTTGAAATGTGAAAAATGGCTGCCTGGCACGTGCCTTTTCACAGGTGTCTCCATCTGTAACCTATCAAACTCCCAACTATGTACGTGAACGACTCTTGCACTTTGGTGACAGGCTTGGGGTCACCTCCTCTGCCTGTTGACGGCAGGCTGACCCTGCAAACTGCCCTTGGCTCACCAGGCTGCCCTGCAGGCTCTGGGGCAGCACCAGCAGCCTCTCACTCACACGGGGCTCGGGCACGAGGGGCGCTCTGAGGCCTCCTCCGGTGCGGTGGGCTCTTTGGAAGTTGACACAAGCTTCTGCACGCACCAGAGTGAAAAATAAATGATTTTATTGCAGGGCCAATGATAGGTAGTCACAAGGGCATGAAATGGCAGATCTCTTGTCTGAAGCAGAGAAGGCACACTGGCAGACTCCATGTGTGTCAAACGCTGTGCATGAATCAGGTTTTTAGAAGGAAGGTAGGAGAGGAAAACTACTCACTAGCAGAACTGAACTGCTGTAAAATAGGTTAAATTCTTTGAAAAGTGAAAAATGATAGTAGCAAAATCATGAAGTTGTATCTGAACCAGAGCCGTGATGTAACCAAGTAAGATGGAAGTTTCCATCCAGAGGAGTTAATTCCGAACAAGTCACAGAAAGGTGAGAGCTGCCGGTTCCGGCACGCTGTCTTCTGGAGTGCCAGTGACCGGGCAAGAAATTTGATTCTTTCCTTTGATACTCTTGGGAAAGAACACATTTCCCAAGCCCCTGGAGACCCACAGGGTTTGGCACTGTCCGTGAGGCTGTGCTCCTGAGGACGGACGTTCAGGAGGCCGTGGAGGAGCAGCGCTGCAGGAGCAGGGTGTGGCAGCTGTCGCACACTCGCACCGGCTTGGGGTAGGAGGGCAGGGCCAGCTCGTTGCTGGAGCAGGTGTTGCAGAAGATGTGGCCACAGTTCCGGCAGTGGTGCTACAGGACGGGAAGAAGGCGGTCACAGGACACCCGGGGAAAAGCCATCCGCACACCCTCCCTGCTTCCTGACCCAGAAGCGCATCATTTGCTGGGAATGGGTTCTTATGTTTCTGTGGGGTGGTGAGGGGCTGTGTGCAAACAAGGGTCTTTTTTTTTTTTTTTTTTTTGAGATAGAGTCTTGCTCAGTCGCCCGGGCTGCAGTGCAGTGGCGCGATCTCAGCTCACTGCAAGCTCTGCCTCCCAGGTTCACGCCATTCTCCGGCAGTAGCTGGGTCTACAGGTGCCCGCCACTATACCTGGCTAATTTTTTGTATTTTTAGTAGAGACGGGGTTTCACCATGTTAGCCAGGATGGTCTCGATCTCCTGACCTCGTGATCTGCCTCCGCCTTGGCCTCCCAAAGTGTTGGGATTACAGGCGTGAAACACCGCGCCCGGCTTTTTTTTTTTTTTTGAGTCTCTGTCGCCCAGGCTGGGGTGCAGTGGCGCAATCTCGGCTCACTGCAACCTCTGCCACCTGGGTTCAAGCGATTCTCCTGCCTCAGCCTCCCAAGTAGCTGGGATTACAAGTGCCTGCCACCGTGCCCGGTTAGTTTTTGTATTTTTTTAGTAGAGATGATGGGGTTTCACCATCTTGGCCAGACTGGTCTTGAACTTCTGACCTCGTGATCCACCCACCTCAGCCTCCCAAAGTGCTAGGATTACAGTCATGAGCCACCGTGCCCGGCCTAAGGGTGTTTTTAAGACAAAAAGTTTACTTTTGCTGTACTTCATCACTAAGCCAGTGAGCTGCTAGTCCATGTTACAGGAAGAGTCTGGTTCGTTCTCTTTGCTGCATTCCAAGGGGGTGGAGTAGATCCCTTTCTAAACAGGTTCCCTGGGTGCCTGATAAGACATCAAGATGAGCACCTGTGCAGCCTCTGCTTCTGACTCCACAGATGGGGACAGCCAGGCCTTGTAGACACATGTGATCTCAAAGGCAGCCTCAGGACGTGGTTTCTAGCTCTGAGCTTACTGCAAGGCACTGCCTGAAACTCGGGTTGGGGAGCGGGTGGGGTAGCTGTGGCTTCCTCTCTTCCACAGAGCTAGGCTGTTGATGGGAACAGACAGAACATGGCTGTGGCAGAAAGGTGGGTGGCGCTGGCAGTGTTTCCTTTAGCTCCCAGTTTTGCTTATACCCAACTCTTCCCCTACCCAGCTGGTCTTGGTGAGACTGTTAATAAGGCCCAGTCAACCCTAGACCCAAGGGTGAGCCTAGGACCTTGTTTCCAGAACCTAAAGGGCAGGGGCAAGCACGCTGCCTAGATCACTAGTGATTTTTGGTGACCTGCTGCCCTGTAGGTTCCCCATAGATTGTTTTTGCCTAAGTTGGGCCAGATTTTGTTCCTGCCGCATACAGAGAATTTTCAATGACACTCCCCTAGAGCAGCTCTGCACACAAGGAGCCCCATCTCCCCAAAAATCATTGTCAATCACTGAAAGGATGTGCTGGAGACCAGGGGCCTATGACTGGCCAAGGCCTCCCAGAAAGAGGGTGCCAGGATGGAAAGCCATCTGCACAGGCAAACAGGAGAGGCGGGGCTGCCCATCTGCCACAGTCAGCACAGTCACCGGGCAGTGAGCCTGCTCTGATATGGGCTTCTGGAACCAGAGAAAGGGGAATCCAGCGGGCAACGACTCAGGGCACTGGGAGGGTGGGTGGAGCCCCCACGTACCTTTCTCCGGGAAATGGAGAACTCCTTCTCACACTGCCTACAGTGTGTCGCTTCGTCATCTTTCAGCCAGGCGTGGCCCTGAAGAGGAAAGGACATTCTAGAATCCACTTTCTGTCTAAGCCCCTGATGAGTGGGTAGCTGCGTTCTGGCCACATCCATTGTCCCTCATAGCACCTGTTTCCTAGTGAGGCACTGTTTCTCCATCAGATGGGGCCTCACAGGACTGTCATCAAGGGGCTCTTTCCCCGTCTGGCCGCAGCCGGGATTTCTGCATCCTAGCTCCGTGCTCCACCTCTTGGCCTCTGCAGGCTGCCCTGGGGCCTCCAGGCGGTCTCCAGCATCTGCTCACTCAGGCACACTCCCACTTTCAATCAGTTCCCTTTGGCTGAAGTAAGCAGAGTGAGCTTCTGGTGCCTGCAACCCTAGACCCTGCCTGAGACACTGGCCGAAGTGCTAGCTGAACTGGCAGGCGCGGAAGAAGGGCCAAATCTGAGTGAGACTAAGACACTTGTTGACGCTGATCCTTGTGGAGAGACAGAAGGTGATGGACAGCGGGCACTGCGTCCCACAGGCCTGAGGAAGCCCTTCTCCATGCGGGCCAAAGCCCTGATTCTTGACCAGCCCTGGGGAGCACATGGACTCCATTCCACAGGGGAGGCGGCTGAGGCTTTGAAAGGTGGCCCCTCAGAGGGCTTTCTCAGGGCGAAGCAGCACCTGTGATTTATTTGGGCTTAGGGACTGGGGTGTTCCAGAGAAGTCAAAGGCATGAGGTACTTTTCTGGCCTGTTAACATCTGCTGGACAAGATTTTCTTGCTGACAAATAGATCCTCACAGACTGAGCTAGAGCCATATACCCTTGGGGCTGCCAGTGTGTGCCCAGGACATTCATCCTGACATCAAAGAGCTCTGGCGGCTCTAGAGTCCTGTTTTATGATTTCTATCCTCTGATGCTGTGAAACTGATATTACCTAGAAGTCCCGGCTGCTGTTAGTTGCTGCCCCTGACCTGGCACTTGGAAGTTAGATGCCCAGAGACATCAGGGTCCCTGCTCTGCACCACGTGGAACAGTGTGCAAAGGGACTGCTTTTGCATTGCTGCCACGGCACAGCTGAGGCCGAAGCGGGGTGCTCCTGCAGGCAAGGCTGTCTTGAAGGCCAGGCTGCCGTGCCCCCGAATGTCTGCCTCCTCTCCCACACTCTCCGCCCTGCAGCTCAGCCTGGCACCCGCACCCACACCGGGCCACCTGCAAACTCCTGCTCTTCGGTGGAATGTGTCATTCTGCCCTCCCCACCAGGGTGCGGAAACCTGGCCCAACTCAGGGCTTGGCTTGAGTGGTCCCTAGCAATGGCACAGGGCACTGCAGTGGGGCTGGCTGGCCTCTGGCCCCTCACTTCAACAGAAGGGCCTGTTTTCCACTGTTTAAAGATATCCGCGGGTCCCTCCTCTCCGCCACCTGCTTCCCCCTTAGGGAATGCCCATCAGGCCTATTTTGAAAGCACAGCTGATGGTGGAGGAACTGGAGTCGGAAGACCTAGGCTCAGCTTCGGCCACCTGTCAGCATCGCCCTCAGCCGAGGGACACGTTTCTGAGCAGCGTTTGGCTTCTCTGTCAATACGTCATCACCACTGCCTCAACCACACGCTCTCACCTGACTGTTGGGATACTTAAACGTACGAGCACACGGGCAGTCAGCACAAGCTGACAGCAAAGAAGTGGTTCTTAGCAAGGCAGTACCTTCAGTGCCTGGTTCACTTCTTTTATATCTTCCATCTTCAGCTTGGACCTAAGGAAAAAAAAAAGGCCATTTCATAGCAGTGAGAGAGAGTGAGGCTCTGAATCCCTAACACAGCTGGCTCTCAGGACTAGCTTTGTGAGGATACCGGACTTGTGAGGAGACCCAGAACATGAGTTGTTA
Source organism: Homo sapiens (assembly GCF_000001405.40). NCBI lineage: Eukaryota > Metazoa > Chordata > Mammalia > Primates > Hominidae > Homo > Homo sapiens. The sequence goes on along the minus strand of NW_016107298.1, from coordinate 372,004 downwards.
AAATGCCTTCCGCCTCTGTACAATCCCAGAGTTGCCTCATCACACTGGCTCCCGTCTGCTGAGGGCTGAGGCTGAGCCTGGGACTGCATCTGGCACGAGAACACACTGCTTAGCCTGCAGGGGCTCAAAAAGACTTTGAGGGAGGCTGAGGCGAGAGGATGGCCTGAGGCCAGAAGTCCAAGACCTGGCCCTGTTCTGCACTAGTCTCTACCGCTCTCCCCAGCAGGAACCTGAGTCTGCAGGCTTCTCCCCGGCCTCCATTCTGCTGCCTGCTGTCTGGAAGGGGGAAGGCTCAGATGGCACAGCCATTTGTTCTTGCTCCATTCTTGTTCAGTGTCAGAACAATTCCTTTGTTTACACAAGAGACAGGACTGAACATGGTCTAAATTGGCAGAACTAAACCAAATAAAATGAAGCAGTTTGTGCAATTGAGGGAAACAGTCTGATCCTTTTTTTTTTTTTTTTGAGACAGGATCTTGCTATATTGCCCAGGCTGGAATGCAGTGGTGCAATCATGGCTCACTGCAACCTTGACCTCCTGGGCTCAAGTGATCCTCTCACTTTAGTCTCCCAAGTAGCTGCGACTACAGGTGCATGCCATCACGCCTGGCTAATTTTTGTATTTTTTCTAGAGGTGGGGTTTTGCCATGTTGCCCAGGCTGGTCTTGAACTCCTGACCTCAATTGACCCACCTGCCTCAGCCTCCCAAAGTGCTAGGATTATAGGCCTGAGCCTTTTTCTTTTTTTCTTTTTTTTTTTTGAGATGGAGTCTTGCTGCATTGGCCAGGCTGGAGTGCGGTGGTGTGATCTCGGCTCACTGCAACCTCTGCTTCCTGGGCTCAAGCAATTCTCCTGCCTCAGCTTCCCAAGTAGCTGGGATGACAGGCGCCCGACACCACACCCAGCTTATTTTCTTGTACTTTTACTAGAGATGGGGTTTCACCATATTGGCCTGGCTGGTCTTGAACTCCTGACCTCAAGTGATCCACCTGCCTCGGCCTCCCAAAGTGCTGGGATTAGAGGCCTGAGCCCCCACGCCCAGCCTGGCCTGGGTCTTTCTTAAAAGCTGAGATCAGTCTGAACTATCATCAGATTAGACTCATCTCAGTGACAAAATGGCAGGTCTCTGGGAAACACAGGCTAGACTTCTAAGGGAGGGATTAGAAAACAGCATCAGGGCATTTAGAAAAATCCCTGTGGCTTTTACTAAAGATCGGGAGGCAGCTCCTTCCCTTCCTGGTCCGGCTGCAGAAACAGGAAATAGGCCAGCAGATTGACAGGATGAGAAGAGGCTGCGCAGATGGACAGACCTTGGGAAGCCAGGTCAACAAGGCAAACTGAACATACAAGAACTCTGGGAAACACAATTTAGGAAGAATCCAGATGTTCCCAAGCCAATGAAACTGGAAACTGTTCCTGTAGCTAATGTAGGGCCTGCGAAGAGGCTTTGCCATCTCTGTCATCCGGTATAGGCTTGCAAGAGGAAGAAGGGAAGAGGGGAGAGAGCACAAAAGCAACTCCTCAGGTAGTCCTGTCTGGGTTTGCAAACACCTGATGCTGTGACACCCACAGCACTCGCTGGGAGGGAATGGTGGCCAGGCAGCTCACACTGGGATTTGGAAGCTAGGTTAGCCGGTAGTGCCAGGCGGCCACAAAGTGCAACAATACATTTGTTTGTTTGTTTTTGAGACAGAGTTTCACTCTTATCGCCCAGGCTGGAGTGCAATGGCGCGATCTCGGCTCACCGCAACCTCCGCCTCCCAGGTTCAAGCGATTCTCCTGCCTCAGCCTCCTGAGTAGCTGGGATTACAGGCGCGCTCCACCATGCCCGGCTAATTTTATATTTTTAGTAGAGATGGGGTTTCTCCACGTTGGTCAGGCTGGTCTTGAACTCCTGACCTCAGGTGATCCACCCACCTCAGCCTCCCAAAGGGCTGGGATTACAGGCATGAGCCACCACACCCGGCCACAATGATACATTTTAAAGATCAGAGACCAACCACAGTTTCGAGGTCTATGGTCCACTAGGAGGGGACCTGTGACACTGCCTTGCTGTCCATCCAATGTAAAGAGGAAAACACTGGCTGCAAACCCCAGAAGCCAGCTCCACGCCAGCTCTGTTCCACGTCTGCTTCTGGTGAGTGCTCTCGGGATGCCCTCACAGCTGGCCTATGCTCTGAGCATGGGGACAGACACTGGGCCTTGCGTCCCTCAAGGAGCTCCCTGGGGGTTGGGAAGGAACGGGCCAGAGCACGGCAAGTTGACAGGCCAGACGGGAGCAGCACAGGGCACTCAGCTGAGTGGGTGGCAGGCAGGGCGGAGGGTGGGAGGGGAGGAAGCAGCGGCCATGGGCTAGTCTAGAAAGGTAAGAGGCACAGGAGAGACGGCGAGTGGCCAGCACCTGCATCTGGGAGTGGGCAGACCGCATTCCCACCAGAGACATCAGATTCCCTGACCAGCTATTTGTTTTTTTTTTTTGAGATGGATTCTCACTTTTGTTGCCCAGGCTGGAGTGCAGTGGTGCAATCTCGGCTTACTGCAACCTCTGCCTCCCGGGTTCAAGCGATGCTGCTGTCTCAGCCTCCCGAGTAGCTGGGATTACAGGTGCCCACCATGCCTGGCTAATTTTTGTATTTTTAGTAGAGACGGGGCTTCACTATGTTGGCCAGGCTGGTCTCGAACTCCTGACCTCAGGTGATCTGCTCACCTCAGTCTCCCAAAGTGCTGAGATTACAGGCGTGAGCCACCGCACCCGGCCTATTTTCTTAATAGTACTAGACTCTACAAATTTCTGGTGCAGACCAGGCTGTGCTGAGGTCGTGAGCCCCATCTCCTTGGTCATGGTGCTTATGTCAGGCATGGGTACTCGGGAGCAGGGTCAATCTCGGGTGATCCTGGCAGCTATGCACAAAGAAGAGGGAGTTTGTTCCTCTGATAGATGGCCTTGCTGAGTGCTGTTTTGCCCCTGCAGGGTCCAGACCCACCTGTGAGGCAGACAGGATAGCAGAGGTAGGAGACAGAGACCGATTCCTGATGGCTTCTTTTGCTTAAGCCACTTTGAGTTGGATTTCTGTTACTTGCAACCATGCGCCCTGACTCGAGGAGAAAAGCTACCCACTATGTTGAAAATGCAGAATCATCACACAAATGGGCAAGTTCCACAGTCCGCAGTGTGATCCACCCCAAGGCCCAGGCGTCCACAGCAACCTATCTAGACTGGGACACCAAGGAGGAGAGCTGTCAAGTCAGAGGGGAGCAGAACTACCAGGGTCTGCACCCCATCAGCACCTGCAGCAGAGACAGACAGACTCTGGCGGATGCAGTGGCCAGTTCCCCGAAAGGAAGGGGGCTGTGCTGTGCAAGGCGGGTGAGTGCACCTCTACTGTGCCAGGCTTCCGTTCCCAAACCAGCCCTGCTCCCTCTGGCCTGACTGTAGGCTGACCAAGCGATCCTCTCATTGCCCATCTGTTCCCTCAGGCCCTGGATATGAAGCTAAGGAATAGGAGTGTCCTGGTCACTAGGAATGAACGTGCTTCCTGAATTAACTAAGAGCTCGCTGACACCCCATGTGGGTAGCAGAGATCAGTGCTGGGCCCCTCTGAGGCCGGGCTTCCTGAGAGCTCATCCGTGAACGGCGGACTGAGCTCCTAAATGGCCCACCCTCCGTTCGCCAAAAGGAGGTAGGTTTGGGGCCTGAGGGATGTGGTGGGTAGCCTGGTGTGCCTGCAGTGGCAGACAAGGGGAGTGGGGTTCTTACTGGCTGAGGTGCAGGCCCATTTCCTGGAGGGCTTGTTCCTGCTCCTCGCAGATCTTCTGCAGCTCTGCCTTCTCGTCCTGAAGCTCCCGCAACTCCTAAAATGAACAAACCAACCAGATGCTGGACAGAGGATTACACGGTCCTTTTTTTTTTTTTTTGAGACAGGGTCTTGCTCTGTTGCCAGGCTGGAGTGCAGTGGCACGATCTTGGCTCACTGCAACCTCCGCCTCCTGGGTTCAAGCGATTCTCCTGCCTCAGCCTCCCAAGTAGCTGGGACTACAGGTGCCCGCCACCATGCCCTGCTAATTTTTGTATTTTCAGTAGAGACGGGGTTTCACCATGTTGGCCAGGATGGTCTCAAACTCCTGACCTCGTGATCTGCCCGCCTCGGCCTCCCAAAGTGCTGGGATTACAGGCGTGAGCCACTGCACTGGCCTTTAAAAAAAAAAAAAAGATTCAGCAACCAGAGCAACAAGCAGATCAGAATGTTTTTCAAGAGCAAAAGGTGGCCAGGCACAGTGGCTTATGCCTATACTTCCAGCACTTTGGGAGGCCAAGACAGGTGGATCACCTGAGGTCAGGAGTTTGAGGCCAACCCGGCCAACATGGTGCAACCCTGTCTCCACTAAAAATACAGAAATTAGCTGGGTGTGGTGGCAGGCACCTGTAATCCCAGCTACTTGGGAGGCTGAGGCAAGAGAACTGCTTGAACCCGGGAGGCGGAGGTTGCAGTGAGCCGAGATGGTGCTACTGTACTCCAGCCTGGGCGACAGAGCAAGACTCCATCTCAAACAAAACAAAACCAAAAAAAAGAGCAAAATGCAGTCCTGTATTAATGTCATTCAAGATTATTTCTTGCTAGCTTACTCTTGACACTGGGCAGCTAAAAGGCAAGCACTCGACGAGGGCTCTGCAGCTGGGGACAGAGACATGGGACAGGATAGTTACATTCATCAGCCACATTAAAAATAGTTACCCTCAGCTGGGCGCAGTGGCTCACACCTGTAATCCCAGCACTGGGAGGCTGAGGTGGGCGGATCACCTGAGGTCAGGCATTCAAGACCAGCCTGGCCAACATGGCAAAACCCCTCCTTTAGTTAAAAATACAAAAATTAGCAGGGCATGGTGGCACATGCCTGCAATCCCAACTACTCGGGAGGCTGAGGCAGGAGAATCGCTTGAACTGGGGAGGCGGAGGTTGCAGTGAGCCGAGATCACACCACTGCACTCCAGCCTGGGCAACAGAGCAAGACTCCGTCTCAAAAAAAAAAAAAAAAAAAAAAAAAAAAGTTACCATCATAGGACAAATGAGGCTTTGCCTATTTGAGCTTCTTTTTAAAAGATAAACATTTTACAAAACAGATTGCTATCTCAAAAAATCTATAGAAGAACTGTACACAAAATCACACGAACCTTGCATCAGCAAAGACTAGTTTGAAAGGTGGTTTCCTGTTCAATTCTGAAAAAGCTGCTTTTTTGGAAAGCACTGGTCAAGGATGATGAAGGGGGTGACCTGGGACCTCATTTCATGGCTAGACCACTTGGAGGCTGGCTAGACCATGTGAGGAGCCCTGCACGGAGGGAGTTCCCCAGGGGGCAACGGCACTGACACCTGGGGCCAGTGCACCTTGAGCCAGTCTGTTAAGGCCAGGATGGAGACCCAGAAAGTAACTGGGGTTTCTGGGACCACTGGGAGCAGCGGTGGAGCTCGGGCCCGAGTGGCGGGGTGGCTCTCTGCACACCCTGTGCCGTAGCTTCTGCTTCCATGCACAGGCTTGCAAAGCACAAAGCTGTGGCTTAACTGGGGTTATTAGACATTGTTTTGTTCCTATTGTTGGGGCGGGCTGTAATTGTGTAATTCGAATCTTTTGACAGAAGCATTCTGAAGCAGAATAAAGGAGGTATGCCCCGTGATGAGGCGGGACTTTCTGAAAGTCCTCTTCTGCCCTCCACTTCCTCCCTTCCACTCTCCAAGCCTGATCTGGCTCTTGAGGAAGCTCTCCCTTCCCCAACAACTCCAGGCACTTTCCAATGGAAATCAAAAGGGCCTTTCCTGACTCGCTCGAATCGTGCAGTGTGTCCATTACCACGTTCAACACAACAAAATCCAGGTCCAGAAGCCACCCTGGCCCTGAAGGCCCCTCCGGGGCAGGTGCCGAGGGGAGGTCTGCTTTGGGCTCAGTTTTCCTGCAGCGCTCGGCAGCGCAGGGGCCTGAGAAGAGGGCACGCCATCCCCACGTGGGAGGAGCCCCCCAGAGCGCCCCAGGCTGCAGTCAGCTCCATCCAGGATCGCAGAGCCTCCTCCCCTCTGGGAAAACAGCCGATGATTTTACATTAGGGCAAATGTTCCACACGGCCTCGGAGTTTCCTGGGAGGTCCAGTTCCACAGCCAGACAGTGAAGGCCTGCTGGACCCCACTTCTCTCGCCCTCTGAAGCCCACAGCATCCAGGCCATGCCTCCAAGTGAGAGGGTCCTCCATGGAACTGAGGTGATGTAGGGGAAGTGGAGGGCTGGGGTCGGTCTGCTTCCCAGGGATGACCCGACCCTGGGCACAGTGGCTGAGGTGAGGCTGGCATGTGGTAGGAGATGTTTACTGGTTCCTCCCAGCTTCCTCTCCTGCGAGCCTACCACCCACTCTCCACACAGGAGCCAATGACCATCCGCAAACAGAACGGATCCTGTCCCTCCACCAGCTGCCCACTCTGGTAAAATAAAACCCACGTTCCTTCCCCTGGCTCCCAGGGCCCATGAAGGGCTTCCTCCTGCCTGCCGCCTGAGGCCGCCTCTTTGCTCCTCACACTGCTGTCTGCTCCTGCAGTCTCCACCCAAGAGGTGCTTTGCAGGGCATAACTCACTGGAGCCTCTGCTCACCGGTCGCTCCCTCCCCAGGCCCCTTGCACACGGGTGAGGACACTGTTCTGCTTTATTCTCTTCATGGCACTTGCCTCTATCTGAGCTGCCAGCAGGCTTAGTGGTTTATGATTTGTCTTTGTCTTATGCTCCTAAAACAGGAGCTCCCTAACAGCCTCCCCACACCCTGGAGCCGCCTGGCCCCCACACAAAGGGTGCGGGGAGAGGAGCCTGCCCGGAGCATGTTAGGGGTTTCTGGAGGCTGCCAGAGGCTCTCCTCTCCCGGGATGGCCCACCTCACCTTTTTCAGTCCTTCCACTTGTTGCAGCTCCATCCTGAGTAGAGAGGAAGTGTCTTTCTCGTGCTGTAATTCGCGCTGAAGAGCCTGTCTTTGCTCTTTTTCTGATTTCAATTCTTTCTCCAGGCTTGAGCTGTTTTCCCAAAATGAACTTGAGTTAGTCTCAGTGGGAGACTTTCACGGAAGATTCACAACCCAATTCACCGCCCAGGAAACAGGGAAGTCTCTGAATTGCCTCTTGAGCATCTAAAGCCTTCGGCAACGCTTCCCTCTCCTCCAGGGTCACCTGCCCTTCCACAAGAAAGAGCAGGAACCAGGGAGAGAAAAGCCTGCAGGCACACACTTGACACTTACGCAGGGGAGAAGGAAGAGAGCTCTAGAACACTTAGACCACATAAGCAGAACCCTCCCGACATGGAGACCTGAGGAAAGGAAGCTCAAAATTCGTTCTTTTCTTTTTTTGAGACAGGGTCTAGCTCTGTCACCCCAGCTGGAGTGCAGTGGCGCAACCTCAGCTCACTGCAGCCTCGACCTCCTGGGCTCAAGTGATCCTCCCGCCACAGCTTCCCAAGGTGCAGAGATTACAGGCATGAGCCACCTCACTGGCCAATTCATTCTGCTTTTTGTTTTTTTTTGAGACGGAGTCTCGCTCTGTCGCCCAGGCTGGAGTGCAGTGGCACAATCTTGGCTCACTGCAACCTCTGCCTCCTGGGTTCAAGCTAGTCTCCTGCCTCAGCCTCCCTAGTAGCTGGGATTACAGGCACACGCCACCACGCCCAGCTAATTTTTTGTATTTTTAGTAGAGATGACGTTTCACCATGTTGGCCAGGCTGGTCTTGAACTCCTGACCTCGTGATCTCCCTGCCTCGGCCTCCCAAAAGTGCTGGGATTATGGGCGTGAGCCACCGCGCCCGGCCTCATTCTGCTTTCTACAACCTACAGCCAGACTGACAATGAAGGATCCTGGAGGGAGAAGGCCAGGAGGGAGCCTCAGCCTGAAGCTGACTCTGCCCTTTACCAGCTGAGTGGCCCTGGGGGCACTGCTGGACCGCCTGGAGTCTGCTCTCTCTTTGTGGGAATAAAGATGTCTCTTCTCTCTTCTCTCAACATCAGGCTTTTAACTTGGCATATATATTATCTCAAAAAATCTATAGGCCAGGCACGGTGGTTCACACTTGTAATCCTAGCATTCTGGGAGGCCGAGACGGGTGGATCACTTGAGGCCAGAAGATTGAGACCAGCCTGGCCAACATGGCAAAACCCTGTCTCTAATAAAAATACAAAAATTAGGCTGGGCGCAGTGGCTCACGCCTGTAATCCCAGCACTTTGGGAGGCCGAGATGGGAGGATCACGAGGTGAGGAGATCGAGACCATCCTGGGTTAACACAGTGAAACCCCGTCTCTACTAAAAATACAAAAAATTAGCCAGGTGTGGTGGCTGATGCCTGTAGTCCCAGCTGCTCGGGAGGCTGAGGCAGGAGAATGGCATGAACCTGGGAGGCAGAGGTTGCAGTGAGCCGAGATCGCGCCACCGCACTCCAGCCTGGGCAAGAGAGTGAGACTCGGTCTCAAAAAAAAAACAAAACAAAACACAAACACAAAAATTAGCCGGGTGTGTTGATGTACACCTGTAGTCCCAGCTACTCAGGAGGCTGAGGCACAAGAATCGCTTGAGCCCAGGAGGTGGGGGTTGCAGTGAGCTGAGACCGCACCACTGCACTCCAGCCTGGATGACAGAGTGAGACTTAAAAAATAAAAAATCTGTAGATGAACTGTGCACAAAATTATATGAAGCTTGCATCAGCAAAGGCTAGGTGAAAGGTGACTTTCTGTTCAACACTGACAAAGCTGTTTCTTTTTAGAAAGGGTGGTTAAGGGTGATACAGGCTGTGACCTGGTACCATGGTTTGAGAGTGGCCAGATCTTCTGGAGGCGAGCTGGACCACGTGAGGAGCCCTGTGGGGAGGGAGCTCCCTAGGGATAACATACGAACCCTGCAGGGGTGAGTGGTGAAGCAGGATACCACCTGCCCCCCCGCCCCACCTCCTCCCGTTCGTGCTGAAGCAGGATACCACCTGTCCCCAGTTCTTCCCAGTCCCTCCTGAGCCACACCCCAGCCCAGGCTCCCTGCAGGGCCCCTACCATTGCTCGTGCAGCTGGGAGAGCTGCAGCTGCAGGGCGCCGATCCTCCCGCCCAGCTCCTGCTGCAGCTTGTGGCTCCGCTCCTCAGCCCCCTGCCTCGCCCGCTCCGAGTGCTGCAACCTGGATGCGACACCAGCAAGAGTGCAAATGAAGCAAATCTTTGTAAGGAAAGGATGACTTTTGCTGGCTGAAATTCATTTTTAAAATTACCATACAGTAAAATTAACTCTTGTGAGTTTTAACACGTGGAGATTCAGCTCCACCACAATCAGAATACAGGACGGTCCCACCACTCCCAAAACTCCCCACCTCAGCCCCTGGCAACCACTCATCTGTCCTGCAACAATATGGCTTTGGCTTTTTGAGAATGTAATCTCAATGTAATTATACATTATATAACCTTGAGACTGACTTTTTCTCAGAATAATGTCTTGGAGATCAATCCAAGTTTCCATGTGTATCAATGGTTCATGCCTTTTGTTTCCTCTCTGAACGTCCTGAAAGGGCAGTGGTTCATTCCTTTCTACGGCTGAGTCATACTTCACCGCACAGACGTACCACTTTGTTTATCCATCACCCAATGCAGAACATTGGGATTGCTTCTAGCTTTTGGCAGTTATGAACGGAGCTGCTATAAACATATGTACTAGTTTTGGTGTAGACATAAGTTTCATTTCTATTTGGATCATATGGTAAGAGGACGTTTAGCTTCTTGAGAAACTGTTTTCCTGAGTGGTTGCACCATTTTGCATTCCTACCAATAAAGTATGAGAGATCCATTAGCTCCGTGTCCTCATCAGCACTTGGTATTGTCATTAAAGAAACGGTAGCTGGCCAGGTGTGGTGGCTCATGCCTATAATCCCAGCACTTTGGGAGGCCTAGGTGGGCAGATCACCTGAGGTCGGGAGTTCGAGACCAGCCTGATCAATATGGAGAAACCCCATCTCTACAAAAATACAAAATTAGCCGGGCATGGTGGCAGGCACCTGTAATCCCAGCTACTTGGGAGGCTGAGGCAGGAGAATTGCTTGAACCTGGGAGGTAGAGATTGCGGTGAGCTGAGATCGCACCATTGCACTCTAGCCTGGGCAATGAGAGCGAAACTCTGGCTCAAAAAAAAAAAAAAACAAGAACAAACAAACAAAAAACCAAAAAGAAACCGTAGCTGCCCTAACAGATGTGTGGTGGGACTGTGCCACTCACTTCTCTAGTGGCTCATGATCTGAATATCATCTCATGTACTTTTTTGCTGTCCATATGTTGTCTTTGATGAAGTATCTGTTTCAAGTCTTTTGCCCCCTCCTTTTTTTGTTTTGTTTTGAGATGAAGTTTCTTTCTTGTTGCCCACTAATTTTTTGTATTTTTAGTAGAGACGGGGTTTCACCGTTTTAGCCGGGATGGTCTCGATCTCCTGACCTCGTGATCCGCCCGCCTCGGCCTCCCAAAGTGCTGGGATTACAGGCGTGAGCCACCGCGCCCGTCCTAATTTTTAGTATTTTTAGTAAAGACAGGGTTTCACCATGTTGGCCAGCCTGTTCTTGAACTTCTGACCTTAAGTGATCCTCCCGCGTCGGCCTCCCAAAGTGTTGGGATTACAGGCGTGAGCCACCGCGCCCAGCCTCTCCCCTGCACTTTGGAGAGGGACTCTGAATAAGTCTCCAGGCCCAGGGAATGCTCAGAGCCTTCCCGAGAATATCTGCCAGGGGGAAGTGATTACCTTTCTTCCATTTGTTTCATGCTGGACATAACTTGGTTGGTTTTTCCTTCAAAGGATGTGATGGCTTCATTCTTCTGCTGCAAACTGCTCTCTGCATTCTACAAAAGCAAAGGAAGGGTTCATACTCTGCCTGTCCCACATCCTTGCACCTGCTCTGGATTACAAACAGGGCTTATTTGCTTTTTTTTTTTTTTTTTTTTTTGAGACAGAGTCTTGCTCTGTCACCCAGGCTAGAGTGCAGTGGCGTGATCTTGGCTCACTGCCAGCTCCGCCTCCCGGGTTCACGCCATTCTCCTGCCTCAGCCTCCCAAGTAGCTGGGACTACAGGCGCCCGCCACCACATCTGGCTAATTTTTTGTATTTTTAGTAGAGACGGGGTTTCACCATGTTAGCCAAAATGGTCTCAATCTCCTGACCTCGTGATCCACCTGCCTCGGCCTCCCAAAGTGCTACGATTACAGGCATGAGCCACCGCGCCCGGCCATATTTGTTAACCTTGTACCTTTGTGACACTTTCAAGAGTATTCTACCAATTGCTGCTCTTCCCCAGAGCCCTGGAAGACAAACTGACTCAAGGCTCTCAGCTTTGTCAACAGAAGGAAAGGTAGAGAGGGGAGGTCCGGGAGTCTTTGCTCCTTTTTGACAGCGTGTTCCAGAGTCGGGTCAGGCTCAATGTTCGCCAGCTGTCCCCATGTGCCAGGCACATCCACTAGTTCATCTGAGCCCTGAATGGTTCTCAAGGAAGATGCTCTCACCCCACTTTTCCCATTGAGAAACTCAGAAGAAAGCGACTGGATGAAGGTGAAGAGCAAATGAGGGGTGCAACTGGGTTCACACCCACCATCTGTGTGCTTTTCTCTAAGTACAGCTTTTAGCCATGACAGACACAGAGTGGCCAGGAGGGGGCACTGTGTGTTCCTGTGTGTGTACAAGAGACACCCTTAAAAAGCCTGAAGATAGGCGGGACGTGGTAGCTCACGCCTATAATCCCAGCACTTTGGGAGGCCAAGGCGGGCGGATTACCTGAGGTCAGGAGTTCAAGACCAGCCTGGCCAACATGCTGAAACCCCATCTCTACTAAAAATACAAAACTTAGCCAGGCGTGGTGGCAGATGCCTGTAATCCCAGCTACTCGGGAGGCTGAGGCAGGAGAATTGCCTGAGCCTGGGAGACAGAGGTTGCAGTGAGCCAAGACTGTGCCACCGCACTCCAGCCTGGCCGACAGCGTGAGACTCTATCTCAAAAAAAAAAAAAAAAAAAAAAAAAAAAAAAAAAAAAAAAAGCCTGACGACAAAAGTCCTAATAAATTCCTGAAAAATAACATACAGACTGTATTCTCTTACCTTAATGTAATAAAATCAGACATTAATAACAAAAGAACAGCTAGAAACACCTTGTATCTGGAAACCAAATAGCATATTGCTAGAAAAGATTGAGCTAAAAAACGGGAAATTATGGGCCGGGCAGTGGCTCACGCCTGTAATCCCAGCACTTTGGGAGGCCGAGGCAGGTGGATCACGAGGTCAGGAGTTTGAGACCATCCTGACCAACATGGTGAAACTCCGTATCTACTAAAAATACAAAAATTAGTTGGGCATGGTGGTGGGCACCTGTAGTCCCAGCTACTCAGGAGGCTGAGGCAGGAGAATCGCTTGAACCCGGGAGGCGGAGGTTGCAGTGACCCGAGATTGCACCACTGCACTCCAGCCTGGGTGACAGAGCGAGACTCCAGCTCAAAAAAAAAAAAAAAAAAAAAAGAATAGATGATTTATCAGGAGGGTGAAACTATTTTCTTCCTATTTTTTTCTTCCTTTTTTTTTTTTTTCTTTTGAGATGGAGTCTTGCTCTGTCACCAGGCTGGGGTGCAGTGGCGCGATCTTGGCTCACTGCAACCTCCGCCTCCCAGGTTCAAGGGATTCTCCTGCCTCAGCCTCCCAAGCAGCTGGGACTACAGGCGCCCGCCACCACCCCCAGCTAATTTTTTGTATTTTTAGTAGAGATGGGATTTCACTATGTTGACCAGGCTGGTCTCGAACACCTGACGTCGTGATCCGCCTGCCTTGGCCTCCCAGAGTGCTGGGATTACAGGTGTGAGCCACCACGCCCGGACTAGATGCTGTTTTTCAAAATCTGGCATGATTGGTTCTGTCTGGGACAGTTCCCTTGGACCACCCTGAAATGACACAGGAGAGGCAACCAGCTACCTATGTGGCCCGGAAGACTCAGAAAGATTAACTTAGCGGCAAAGTTTGAAAAGACAATACTAAATGACTTTTTTTTTTTTCCCCCGAGTTGGAGTTGCGCTCTGTTGCCCAGGCTGGAGTGCAACGGAATGATTTCGGCTCACTGCAACCTGTCTCCCGGGTTCAAGCAATTCTCCTGCCTCAGCCTTCTGAGTATCTGGGATTAGAGGCGTGCACCTCCATGCCCAGCTAATTTTTGTATTTTTAGTAGAGACGGTGTTTCACCATGCTGGCCAGGCTAGTCTCAAACTCCTGACCTCGTGATCTGCCCGCTCGGCCTCCCAAAGTGCTGGGATTACAAGCGTGAGCCACCGTGCCTGGCTCTAAATGACGTCTTTAATTCTCTCCTCCATGCTTGCTATAAACAATAAATCGTTGAAATAGAAGAAAACAGACAGTGGAGGGACAGTGAAGGTGGATGGACAAAGTTTGGGTTTGGGTTAAAAAGACCCACGTCTCCCCTTAGAAGCTACGTCACCAGGGGCATGTGACTTAGTGACTTGGCTCTGCCTTGTCACTTACATTTCCCCCCATTTCTCAGGGACTGCCATGAGGATCAAAATCATAATAGGTCCTAGGAGCAGGTCTGACACATACGAGGGGCTCTATGTGTCTACTCGCTCATTTTGTAAGAAGAATGACACAAGACTGGCGAGCAGCAGAAACCAGGCTGTGCCATGGACACAAAGCCAACTCCCACCTGAGCTTTGTGAAACATCTGTAAATTAATCGCTTTGACTTCTTCCAGCTGCTGGCGGAGGGCAACTAGTGTGTCCTGCTTCTCGTGGGTGTCCTTTTCCAGTAACTTCATTGCAATTTCCATTTCGGTTTTCATTCCAATTTGTAACTCCAGTTCTTTTTCCAGTTCCTTAAAAGGATATTTACAAGGAAAATGTTATTAAAATAGATCACAGAAATGTATTTAACTGGGGTTGAATCTCAGGTAATGCTTAAAATACAAACTGAAGGCTGGGTGTGGTGGCTCATGCCTGTAATCCTCAGCACTTTGGGAGGCTGAGGTGGGCGGATCACTTGAGGCCAGGAGTTCGAGAGCAGCCTGGCCAAGATGGCGAAACCCCATCTCTACTAAAAATACAAAAATTAGCTGGGTGTGGTGGCATGCGCCTGTAATCCCAGCTACTCTCAGGAGGCTGAGGCAGGAGGATTGCTTGAATCCGGGAGGCGGAGGCTGCAGTGAGCCGAAATCACACCACTCCAGCCTGGGTGACAGGGTGAGACTGTCTTAAAGAAAAAAACAAACCAAAACAAAACAAACAAACTGAAGGTGAGAATAGCTTAGGGAGATTGAAAAGAGTCTGTCTGGGGCAGGAGTAGATGGTGTTTGCCCTTTTCCTCACTGCACGGTTAAAGCTGACTCCACATCAAGTCAACAGAAAGCTGGTCAGTAACAGGATGAGCCTAGGTTCCAGCAACCATGTTTTCCATACCCACAGATCAGAATGCATGTTTTCAAAGAATATCTGTCTCGTTTGAGTGCTGGAAGAGATCTGATAGTGCAATGTTAGAATTTCTGGAATGGTTTGCTAGTTTATAGCAACAAAAGTGCAACCATTTCGAAATGGTTCTGTCCTGACCCAGGACATGTTTCCCTGCATCCATGCAAAGAAGCAAAGAAATAAAGCAGGTACAAGAACAGTGTTTACAAGTAACTCTGGTCACTGATGCACAGGTTGAGTGGAAATAAATAGGCCAGAGGTTATGACGGAGAGAATTGTATTGTCAAAGAAACCGTTAATCTGGTCTCATAGCAATCCCTGTAAAGATTTATAAAATGGCCAGGCGCAGTGGCTCACGCCTGTAATCCCAGCACTTTGGGATGCCGAGGCAGGTGGATCACGAGGTCAGGAGTTCAAGACCAGCCTGCCCAAGATGGTGAAACTCCGTTTCTACTAAAAATACAAAAAACTGGCCGGGCACGGTGGCTCAGGCCTGTAATCCCAGCACTTTGGGAGGCTCAGGCGGGCGGATCACAAAGTCAGGAGATGGAGAACATCTTGGCCAACATGGTGAAACCCCATCTCTACTAAAAATACAAATATTAGCCAGGCATGGTGGCGTATGCCTGTAGTCCCAGCTACTCTGGAGGCTGAGGCAGGAGAATTGCTTGAACCTGGGAGGCAGACGTTGCAGTGAGCCGAGATCACACCACTGCACTCTAGCCTGGGCGACAAGAGTGAAACTCCGTCTCAAAAAAAAAACCAAAAACCAAAAAATTAGCCGGGTGTGGTGGCGGGTGCCTGCAATCCCAGCTACTCGGGAGGCTGAGGCAGAGAACTGCTTGAACCCAGGAGGCAGAGTTTGCAGTGGGCCAAGATCGCGCCATCGCACTCCAGCCTGGACAACAGAGTGAGACTCCGTCTTGAAAAAAAACCCAAACAAACAAAAAATATTTATAAAATGGGAAAAAATATGAGTGACAATGCACAACTGAGTTGTAACCATAGACTTAAAAAAAATTTTTTTAATGAACAGCTTCTGACTTTCTATGACCATCAGGATGGTGAAGCATGTCTATGAAAAGTGTTGACAGAATTAACACTACGGGGAAACTCTTTCTAAAGACACTCGGTCTTGCACACTCACCAACCGGACTTTCTTCTCCTCTTTTAGCTGCTTCCACACATCACTGTACATTTCATCCAGACCTTGCCGAGTTTGCTTGTAAGTCTCCAGCTCAACTTTGGTATCCTGTTTTGTTATCTGTATCAAACAAGGACACCAAGAGGAATTGTTTGCTTATGGAAAGCAAGCTAATTATGAAGTATTTCAAAATATACCACAATTTTAAAAAATGTAAGGTAATTTTTATTTTTTAAGCATGGTAGAAAAAGGTTAAAACTTGGCTGGGCGCATTGGCTCACGCCTGTAATCCCAGCACTTTGGGAGGCCGAGGCGGGCGGATCACGAGGTCAGGCGATCGAGACCATCCTGGCTAACATGGTGAAACCCCGTCTCTACTAAAAACACAAACAATTAGCTGGGCGTGGTGGTGGGCGCCTGTAGTCCCAGCTACTTGGGAGGCTGAGGCAGGAGAATGGCGTGAACCCGGGAGGCAGAGCTTGCAGTGAGCCAAGATCGTGCCATTGCACTCCAGCCTGGGCGACAGGGCAAGACTCCATCCCCCCACCAAAAAAAAACAAAAAAAAGAAGAATGAGAATAAGTCAATAGATATTTGAAAAGTTAAGTTCATAGGCTGGGTGTGGTGGCTCATGCCTGTAATCCCAGCACTTTGGAAGGCCAAGGCGGGAGATCACTTGAGGTCAGGAGTTTGACACCAGCCTGGCCAACATGGTGAAACCCTGTCTCTACTAAAAATACAAAAATTAGTCGGGTGTGGTGGCATGTGCCTATAATTCCAGCTACTTGGGAGGCTGAGGCAGGAAAATCGCTTGAATCCGGGAGGTGGAGGTTGCAGTGAGCTAAGATCACGCCACTACATTCCAGCCTGGGTGACAGCAAGACTCTGTTTCCAAAAAAAAAAAAAGTTACATTGATAAAGCAATTTAAATTTAATTTTCTTTAAAACAGAACAAGACTTGGCCGGGTGCGGTGGCTCATGACTGTAATCCCAGCACTTTGGGAGGCCGAGGCGGGTGGATCACGAGGTCAGGAGATCGAGACCATCTGGCCAACATGGTGAAACCCCGTCTCTACTAAAAATATAGAAAAAAATTAGCTGGGCGTAGTAGCAGGCGCCTGTAGTCCCAGCTACTGGGGAGGCTGAGGCAGGAGAATGGCGTGAACCTGGGAGGCGGAGCTTGCAGTGAGTCGAGATCACGCCACTGCACTCCAGCCTGGGCGACAGAGGGAGACTCTGTCTAGAAACAAACAAACAACAACAACAAAAACAGAACAAGACTCCATTCGCAGGAAAAACCCTCATTCAACTCATCATCCAGTACTTATGAACATGTTTTTAGCACTGAGTGAATTTAGAAGTCAATCAGATATGGTCTCTCTTTTTTTTTTTGAGACGGAGTCTTGCTCTATGGCCCAGGCTGGAGTGCAGTGGCGCGATCTCAGCTCACTGCAAGCTCCATCTCCCGGGTTCACACCATTCTCCTGCCTCAGCCTCCCGAGCAGCTGGGACTACAGGCACCTGCCACCACGCCCAGCTAACTGTTTTGTATTTTTAGTAGAGACGGGGTTTCACTGTGTTAGCCAGGACAGTCTCGATCTCCTGGCCTCGTGATCCGCCCGCCTCGGCCTCCCAAAGTGCTGGGATTACAGGTGTGAGCCACTGTGCCCGGCCCAGATATGGTTTCTATCCTCAAGTCATCATGTGATAGAGCTGCAAGCCAACAATTCTACAAAACAGCAAAGGGACTGTATCATGGAAGGACACAAAGAGCAATGGGAATACAGGAGGATGGCCCAGGCCCGCCCACGGCTCCTGGGATGACATCATGGAGGACATGGCAGGTGAGTGGATGCTGAAGAACGAGTAGGAACTTTGGCATGCAAAGGCCCACAGGCCATGAAGGGAGTCCCCGTCCAAGGGATCCAGGTGGTCTGAGAGTGATGTGGGCAGGGACCGCAGTGAGAGGCCCTTTCTGACATAAGCAAGGCACCTTTGCATTCTGAAGACTGGGTTGTTGTTAAGCCATGAGCTTGAGATTGACAATAGGTGTGTCTGAGTGAGAAACATGCTGCCCAAATGTAGGTCAATTTCTCACCTCTACACTCTTTTCACTTCTTTCTCGAATTAATTCATTTTGTTCTCTTAACTGCTGCTGTTCTTCTTGAAGTGAGCAAATTCGGTCTGTTGCAGCTGAAAGCTGATTAAGGAAAATTTTTACAGTTCTTAACATCAAAATTAATCTTATTGTTCAAATTAAAAACATTAATTTGGCATCTTCACAGTTGACAATGTATGTTCACAGGTTTGATATTTTATTTCCTTGTTTTCAATAGGTAATAATACATGGTTCCAAATTCCAAAGACATGAAAATGTATGTAGTAAAATCTCTCCTCCGCCCTTGCCCCTAGCCATCTCTGCCCTCTCCAGATTTTCTCCCTCTACAAAAATGATAGCATATTGCTGAATGTGGACAAAGATTTATAGACACAAAAAATTAGAAACAGCCTGAATGTTCACTATTAGGGAAATAGTTACATCATAGTGGAAGCATAAAACAAACATGTACTCAATAAAATGTTTACAAAAACTTTTAATCACTTGAGAACATACTTAAGATATAATACTAATAAGGAAAAAAGGTTATATGGTATGCTCTCACCTGTATTAAAAAAAAATCAACTAGGTTAAAAATGCTTAAGAAAAGATGGAGTGGCTGGGTACAGTGGCTCACACCTGTAATTCCAGCACTTTGGGAGGCTGAGGTGGGTGGACTGCTTGAGCCCAGGAGTTCGAGACCAGCCTGGGCAACATGGTGAAACCCCATCTCTACAAAAAACACAAAAATCAGCCAGGAGTGATGTCTCATGCCTGTAATTCCAGCTACTTAGGAGGCTGAGGTGGGAGGATGGCTTGAGCCCAGGAGGCGGAGGTTGCAGTGAGCTGAGATCATGCCACCGCACTCCAGCCTGGGTGACAAAGCCACAGCCTGTCTCAAAAAAGAAAAAAGAAAAGTTGGGAACAATACAAATCAAATAATAAAATGACAAGAATAGTTGTCACTTAGTAAAGGGGTTATGGGCTTTTTTCCTGACTCTTCTTTCTTTCCAGTTTTTCCAGCTAATGATCGGTAAAAGTATATTTAAATCACTAGAGGGAGAATTAAAGAATTTGCAGGGAGGAATAAAAAACAAATCATTGAAGATATGCCCAAGAGGACCTCTTATTCCCCTGGAAGGACTTCTCATGGCTGAGGGAAAAGCATAGAGAAGCAGGACGCTGTCCAGGACCTGCCTAAGGAGAGGCTGTCACAAGAGGCAAGGCAGATGAGTAAACACACCAACCCATCCCTCCTCATTCCAGCCTCATCACACAGCTTGCAGAGAGGAAGGTGCAGCTGGGGAGAAAGAAGCAAGATCTCTGTCCTTGGTGCTTGGCTGGCTCTCGGCATCATTCACTAGTGGAGGGACCTCGAAGCACTGAACTCCTCACTTTCTCTGTCAACAGTGTCTACACCCCCTGAGAATTCCTCTCCACTTAGACTCAGAACCCAGGCCTGGGGTTTCTACACATTAACTGCTGTGCCCAAAAAAAGAAACACCAAGGCTTGAAAGGGCGTGTTACTTGCCCGAAGGGAAGAAGCAGGCAAAAACCATAAGCTAATTCCCATTCCACTCTCTGGAGATGCAGAGAGCACACCCTGAAGAGGGCTACGCTTTTCATTAAGCACATTTCTTTGTTTTTTTAATTGAGACAGGGTGTTACTCTGTCTCACTGCAGCCTCCAACTCCTAGGCTCAAGTGATCCTCTCACCTCAGCCTCCCGAGTAGCTGGGAGTACAGGTGTGTGTCACCACAGCTAACTTTTAAATTTTTTGTAGAGACAGGGTGTTGCCATGTTGCCCAGGCTGGTCTCAAACTCCTGGGCTGAAGCAAGTCTTCCACCTTGGCCTCCCAAAGAGCTGGGATTTACAGGCATGAGCCACCACACCTGCCTGAAGCACATTTTCTATTACAATCATTTGCCTTTAAAGAAAACATAACCTGGCTGGGTGCAGTGGCTCATGCCTGTAATCCCAGCACTTTGGGAGGCCGAGGTGGGCAGATCACAAGGTCAGGAGATTGAGACCATCCTGGCTAACATGGTGAAATGCCATCTCTACTAAAAAAAAAAAAAAAAAAAAATTTAGCCGGGCGTGGTGGCGGGCGCCTGTAGTCCCAGCTACTCGGGAGGCTGAGGCAGGAGAATGGCGTGAACCCGGGAGGTGGAGCTTGGGAGCTTGCAGTGAGCGGAGATCACGTCACTACTGCACTCCAGCCTGGGAGACAGAGCAAGACTCTGTCTCAAAAAAAAAAAAAAAGAAAGAAAGAAAGAAAAAAGAAAACATAACCGAAGCTGGGCTCAGTGACTCATGTCTGTAATCCTAGCACTTTGGGAGGCCAAGGTGGGTGGGTCACTTTAGCCCAGGAGTTTGAGACCAGCCTGAACAACAAAGTGAGATCCCGTCTCTACAAAGAGTTAAAAAATTAGCCGGGTGTTGGTGGTGTGTACCTGTAGTCCCAGCTACTGGGAGGTTGAGGCAGGAGGGTCTCTTGAGCCCAGAAGTCTGAGGTTACAGTAAGCTATGACTGCGCCACTGCACTCCAGCCTGGGTGACAGAGTGAGACCCTGTCTCAAAAAGCAGAAAAACCCCACATAACTCTGCTTAGTTTCAAAAGCTCAATTGGAGCTTCATCAAAGCACGCCATCTTGACTGAGATGCAGGGAATCTGCTTGTTCTAAAATCAAACAACTCGAGTGCTCCCACGTGGCAAGTGTTGTCCTGAGCACATTTACCAGATATTCGTCTTAATCTTTGCAACAGTAAAGGATGTATTATTACCTAATTTGGAGGTGACAAAAGTGAGGCTCAACCACCGACCTGCCTGACCTGAGGCTCAAAGGCCTGCCTACCAAGGTGACTGTGAAGCCTCCAATCCTAAGTTCCATGAAGCTTCTCCCATGACACCCCCATCTGTGACACCGTCTTGAATTTCCTTCTACTCACACAAATCTGAGCTCCTTTCCTGAAGGCCTTTCAGGGCTGGCGCCTCAGGAGGGAGCAGTCAGCTTTAAGGGAGGCTTACACGGGGTCCCTCATTACAGAGATGGGCTCTGAGGCTCTCTTCTCTGCTGTAACCCACCTCCATGCCGTGGAGGTGTTCCTTCTCAAGCCCCTCTCAGAGCCCTTGTCCTTCTAGGTGGGAGGCCTGGGCAGCCGGGGACTGCTACCTGTGGAAAGCCTCAGAAGGGCTGAGCACCCCCCTCCTGCTAACAGGAGACAAGATGTGTCCAGCAAGGAGACTGCCGGGCAGCTGGCAGCAAGCTCTCTTCCTCGGCTCAGCCCTCCTTTGTCCTGTCCTTTCATTCTCTCTTCCTAGTGAGAAAGCAGAGAAAGACCGCACTGTGGGGAGGCTGGTTGCATGCTCCTGAGGCCAAAGCAGAAGGGGTGGGCTGGATACTTATTCCTTATGACAGAGTCTGTGCTTTCTGGGGCAGCAGGGAGGCACACGGCATCATGGGAAGGGCAGAAAAAGAGGAAGACACGGCACTTCCACAACACAAGCTGGGCTCTTCCAAAGAACAATTTCCTTCTATGGGATGACTTTGAGGTGATAAAATCTAAGTCACTTAGAACTGGCTCGTGATCCGCTGCAGTGTCTCACTGGGAGCCTCGGACAGAGCAGAACACAGACATTCTCCTGTCCCACGTGGGGTAGCTGGAGGCTAGCAAGTCCCCTTCCTACCAGCAGGAAGCTCTGCTATCGCAGACCGACTACACAGATTCTCTTAACCTTGGGTCATTCTGTTTTGTCTAAAAATTTCAATAAAACTTACAAACCTCTTCTTGAAGCTTTGAGTTAGTCTTTTCCAAGCCATCTATCTTGGTTTGAAGATCCCCAACTGTGCAGCTGTAGAAAATAAGAATATTAAGTAAACATAAACTTATACAAGCTGACTGTTTTCTCAATCTGTAAACAGTAAGAGAGATTCCTAGATTTCCTGTATGAAATGGAAAGGCAGAGGGTCTCCAATTAACTCAGAGAAGATGAGAATTCTAAATATACATTTGCAACATACTTTTCAATAAGTTTTGTCCCGAAAATTTAATCTTTCTTTTTTTATTTTGAGGCAAAGTCTCGCTCTGTCGCCCAGACTAGAGTGCAGTGGAGTGATCTTGGCTCACTGCAACCTCTGCCTCCCGGGTTCAAGCGATTTTCCAGCCTCAGCCTCCCGAATAGCCTAGACTACAGGTGCGTGCCACTGCACCTGGCTAATTTTTTTGTATTTTTAGTAGAGACAGGGTTTCACCATGTTGGCCAGGCTGGTCTCGAACTCCTGACCTCAGGTGAGGCTGCCCACCCTGGCCTTCCAAAGTGCTGGGACTACAGGCATGAACCACTGTGCCCGGCCTATTTCTTTTTTAGTCATCTGGAAAGAGAATTTTTTTCTCCCAACACAAATGGTGATAGAAACCAAAATGTGTTGGCAGTCATATACCTAAAGTAAAATTCATTAACAAGGTATTAGTATTTTTGGGTAGAAGGATCCAAGGTGTTTTTTGTTTGTTTGTTTTGAGACAGAGTCTTACTCTTTCGCCTAGTCTGGAGTGCAGTGGCGCGAGCTCAACTCACTGGAACCTCCACCTCCTGGGTTCAGGTGATTCTCCTGCCTCAGCCTCCCAAATAGCTGGGACCACAGGCGCCCGTCAACATGCTCGGCTAATTGTATTTTTAGTAGAGACGGGGTTTCACTGTGTTAGCCAGGATGGTCTCAATCTCCTGACCTCGTGATCTGCCTGCTTCGGCCTCCCAAAGTGCTGGGATCACAGGCGTGAGCCACTGCGCCCGGTCCCAAGGTGTTTTTAAATCCCTTTTACACCTTCCCCATTTAAAAAATATTATTTAATAACATGTACTACTTTTTTTTGTTTTTGAAACAGGGTCTTGCTCTGTCGCCCAGGCTGGAGTGCAGTGGTGTGATCATGGCTCACTGTAGCCTCAACCTCCAAGGCTCATGATCCTCCCACCTTGGCCTCCCACCTTGCCACCAGGCCCAGCTAATTTTTGTATTTTTTTGTAGAGGTGAGGTTTCACTATGTCACCCAGACTGATCTTGAACTCCTGGGCTCAGGTGATCCTCCTCCTGCCCCAGCCTCCCAAACTGCTGAGATTACTGGCATGAGCTTCCACACCTGGCCTCTAAGCACTTTAAATGCATCAACTCATTTAATCTTCCCCACAATTCAATGAGGTAGATCCTACTGTTAGCCCATTTTACAGACAAGGCAGCCATAATTTTATATAAAAGAATTCACTCAAGTTCACATATCTACAAAGGGGTGCTGGCATCTGAACCCAGGGAATCTGGCTCTAGAGCCTGTACTTCTGGGCAACAGGTCATGCTGCCAAAGACCAGTCCCTGTTGCCAGTGAGTGGGGGACAAAGAAATAAACTTAGCAAGGCTAATGAACCAAGGCTTAGGAACCGGGGGACAAATATAAAAATACAAAGACACAAAATGAAAAAGGGAAAAAAACCAAAAGATACAGAGGGAATGGAAAGTTTTAAGAGTATACAATTGTCAATTCTGTGCCAACTTGATAATTTAGAAAATACCCCCCAATTGTATATTTTTCTTAAAAATATAGGCCTGACGTGGTGGCTCACGCCTGTAATCCCAGCACTTTGGGAGGCCGAGGCGGGCGGATCACAACGTCAGGAGATCGAGACCATCCTGGCTAACACGGTGAAACCCCGTCTCTACTAAAATACAAAAAATTAGCTGGGCATGGTGGTGGGCGCCTGCAATCCCAGCTACTTGGGAGGCTGAGGCAGGAGAATGGCGTGAACCTGGGAGGCGAAGCTTGCAGTGAGCGGAGATCATGCCACTGCACTCCAGCCTGGGCGACAGAGCAGGACTCTGTCTCAAAAAAATAAAATAAAATAAAAAATAAAAATAAATAAAAATATAAATGACTGGCCGGGCACGGTGGCTCAACACCTGCAATCCCAGCACTTTGGGAGGCCGAGGCGGGCGGATCACGTGGTCAGGAGATCGAGACCATCCTGGCTAACACAGTGAAACCCAGTTTCTACTAAAAATACAAAAAATTAGCCAAGTGTGGTGGCAGGTGCCTGTAGTTCCAGCTACTCGAGAGGCTGAGGCAGGAGAATGGCGTGAACCTGGGAGGCGGAGCTTGCAGTGAGCCGAGATCGCGCTACTGCACTCCAGCCTGGGCGACAGAGCAAAACTCCGTCTTAAAATATATATATATATATATATATTTATATGAGAAAAGATATATCCTCAAAAGAAAACCCAGATGAACTAAGTAAAAACTGAAAAGCTAGCAACGTATTGCCTCATAAATGCTTTCAGCTTCATAAATTTTTTTTTGAGACAGAGTCTCACTCTGTCACCCAGGCTGGAGTGCAGTGGCGCAATCTCAGCTCACCACAACCTCTGCCTCCCAGGTTCAAGTGATTCTCTTGCCTCAGCCTCGAGCAGCTGGGACTACAGATGCCCGCCACCATGCCGGTTAATTTTTGTATTTTTAGTAGAGATGGGGTTTCACCATGTTGGCCAGGTTGATCTTGAACTCCTGATCTCAGGTAATCCATCTGCCTTGGCCTCCCAAAGTGCTGGGATTACAATCGTGAGCCATCACACCTGGCTGCTTCATATTCACAAGGGGCAAATAATGCCCATGATCTAGAAGCTAGCTGTTCCCAGGCATAAGGAAAAGCTTACTAATTCATTTTGCAATGCTACATAACCCTGATATGATGGCGGAGAAAGAAAACTATAAAATTTCAGCAAGTCAGGTTTATTTTTATTTTTATTTTTATTTTTGAGATGGAGTTTCGCTCTTGTTGCCCAGGCTGGAGTGCAATGGTGCAATCTCGGCTCACTGCAACCTCCGTCTCCCGGGTCCAAGCGATTCTTCTGCCTCAGCCTCTCGAGTAACTGGGATTACAGGCACGCACCACCACGCCTGCCTAATTTTGTATTTTTAGTAGAGATGGGGTTTCTCCATGTTGGTCTCGAACTCCCAACCTCAGGTAATCCACCCACGTCGGCCTCCCAAAGTGTTGGGATTACAGGTGTGAGCCACCACACCCAACCAGGTTACATGTTAAAAGGATAATTGAATTATGAAAACTATGATCCTGGCTGGGCGAGGTGGCTCATGCCTATAACCCAGCAGTTGGGAGGCTAACCAGGGAAGATTGCTTGAGGCCAAGAGTTTGAGACCACCTTGGGCAACAAAGTGAGACCCTGTCTCTACAAAAAATACAAAAAATTAGCCAGGTGTAGTGGTGCATGCCTGTAGTTCCTGCTACTTGGGAGGCTGAGGTGGGCAAATCACCGGAGCCCAGGGAGGTGGAGGCTGCAGTGAGCCACGATTGTACCACAGCACTCCAGCCTGGGTGACAGAGTAAGACCTTGTCTCAAAAAATCATAATAAAAAATATTATGATCAAGTGGAGTTTATTCCTGTGATACAGGAATGGTCCAGTATGAAGAAGTCTATTAATAAAATACACCACATCAGTAGATTATGGGATGAAAACCATGATTACATTAACGGACACTAAAAGGTATTTTCTAAAATTTAATATCTATTTCTTATAAATACTCTCAATAAACTAGTAATCGACCAAAAAACTCTTTCAAAAAATAGCCAACATCACAGTTAAGAAGAGCCTCAGGCTGGGTGTGGTGGCTCATGCCTGTAATTCTAGCACTTTGGGTGGCTAAGGTGGGAGGATTGCTTGAGCCCAGGAGTTTGAGACCAGTCTGGGCAACATGGCGGAGCACTGTCTCTACAAAAAATACAAAAATTAGCCAGGAGGGGTGACGTGTGCTCGTAGTCCCAGCTACTTAGGAGGCTGAGGTGGGAGAATCAATTGCCTGAGCCTGGGAATTCGAGGCTACAGTGATCTGAGATCACGCCACTACACTTCAGCCTGGGCAACAGAGTGAGACCCTGTCAAAAAAAAAAAAAAGAAAAGTAAAAACAGCCCCAGAGCAATGTGTCCGTAACTGCACCGGGAGGAACATGCCAGCTTCTTCACCTGGCTTTTGGGGCCGGAGAGGTGGCCACTGTGGAGAACTGTAATGTGCAATGTACTCTCTAGAGGGGACTCAGAAAGGGAATAACATGTCTCTCCACATTCCCCACAAATACCTCCAAGGATTAGTGTTTCATGAAACACATCCACAGATTTCCAGCAAAAAAAAAAAAAAAAAAAAATCAAGATAAAGATGCCGGTGATCACTAGTACATTGCTCTGGAGGGCCTAGCCCAGTGGTTTTCAACTCTTTTTTCCTGGCCTAATGCACTGGGTGCTGTGTGCTGATTCCCAGCAGCAACAGTGCTTGCCATGAAGGGATTTCCAGCCACGTGGCTGTGGGGCGAGGAATGGAGAGTCAAGGTTTAATGTAGTTACTTCTGTGTATTATGTAACTGCAAAAAGCACAGAATAAAGATTTCCCAAGAGTTTATCAAGAAGAAATCATACTTCTTCAGTTTGTACAAATAAATGTTGCCTGAATGATGACCCTTTTGTCTTGGTTTGGAAACAAGTTATTTATAAATACGTGGCAACTCGAAGTTCCATGAAGCAATGACAGGATACCGAGTATGTAACTGTCACATTGAAAAAAAAAGGAGTCTTACCTCAAGTGCCGGTTAAGTTCTTCCACATAATTTTTTTGATCAAGGACATCAGTAATTCTTTCATGCCTTTTAAAAGGAGCATAAGAAGGAAGAACTTTTTTTTATTAATGGTTAATACTTTGTAACTGTTCCCCAATATTCCAATCACCTTGTAGAAGTACCAATGTCTTCAAGAAACCAAGAGACAGCCAGAGCTCAGTAACATCCACATCCCAGAGTACAGAGAGAAAGCCAGCCTGGGTCACAGTAGTCAGCGTCTCCAGGGCCAGGCTGCCAGGAGAGTGGGCTCCCTGCAGACCAAGGTTTCAGGATGAGCAAGCAAGGTGAAAACACCAACTTGCCACACGCAAATGGCTCGACACAACCCTTATACTACTGAAGGAAAGGAGCGCACGGGACTTTTCAAAACACGAAGCTCATCAGTCTAAAGTCTAGGCCAGTTTGGATTAAAAAAAAAAAACAAAAAAAACTGGCCAGGCGTGGTGGCTCACGCCTGTAATCCCAGCACTTTTGAAGGCCAAGGTGGGCAGATCACGAGGTCAGGAGATGGAGACCATCCTGGCTAACACGGTGAAACCCCGTCTCTACTAAAAATACAAAAAATTAGCCGGGCGTGGTGGCGGGCGCCTGTAGTCCCAGCTCCTCGGGAGGCTGAGGCAGGAGAATGGCGTGAACCCGGGAGGCGGAGCTTGCAGTGAGCCGAGATGGCGCCACTGCACTCCAGCCTGGGCGACAGAGCGAGACTCCGTCTCAAAAAAAAAAAAAAATATACACACACACACACACACACACACACACACACACACGGAATTTTTTGATTTGTTTACAAAAACGGGATATATGTACTCCTCAGCATCATACTTTCCTCATTCAATATAGTATAGTCTCATTCAATATACCAGTAGATACACTTTATTCTTTCTTACGTCTGCAAAATATACCACAGTGTGGAATATTACATATGTTCCATAATTAATTCAATTATTTCCTGACTGGTAGATACTCAGTTTATTTTCAGCTTTTGACATTAAAAGTATATTCTGTGGCTGGGTGTGGTGGCAC
This sequence comes from Homo sapiens, assembly GCF_000001405.40. Taxonomy (NCBI): domain Eukaryota; kingdom Metazoa; phylum Chordata; class Mammalia; order Primates; family Hominidae; genus Homo; species Homo sapiens. The sequence continues at coordinate 344,605 of NW_016107298.1, read as the reverse complement.
ACACCTGTAATCCCAGCACTTTGGGAGGCCGAGGTGGGCAGATCACCTGAGGCCAAGAGTTTGAGACCAGCCTGGTCAACACGGTGAAACCTCGTCTCTACTAAAAATACACACAAAAAATTAGCTGGGCGTGGTGGCATGCACCTGCAGTCCCAGCGACTCAGGGAGGCTGAGGAGGAGAACTGATTGAACTCGGGAGGCAGAGGTTGCAGTGAGCCAAGATTGTGCCACTGCACTCCAGCCTGGGCGACAGAGGAAGAGATTCCATCTCAAAAAAAAAAAAAAAAAAAAAAAGAAAAAGAAGAAGAAAAGGGTATATTTTGTTAGGCCAGGCACAGTGGCTCATGCCTGTAATCCCAGTACTTTGGGAGGCTGAGGCAGATGGATCAGTTGAGGTCAGGAGTTTGAGATCAGCCTGGCCAACATGGCAAAACCCCGTCTCTACTAAAAATACAAAAAATTAGCCAGGTGAGGTGGCGGGCGCCTGTAATCTCAGCTACTTGGGAGGCTGAGGCAGGAGAATTGCTTGAACCTGGGAGGCGGAGGTTGCAGTGCGCTCAGATAGTGCCGCTACACTCCAGCCTGGGCAATAAGAGCGAAACTACAAAACTGTCTCAAAAAAAAAGAAAAAAGAATATATTTTGTTCCTCTGAAGTATTTGGCCTGATATGAAATAAAAGAATATATTTTGTTTAAATTTCAAGTGGGTGAGCCCTTGTACTTAGGATGCATGAAGCTTTAGTGTGGTTCTTGCTGGTCCATTCTTTGGTAAGGTGCACTGCCAGGCACTCAGACCGTGAGAGTCCTCAGGAAGACATGGAAGGGCAGGTAACATATGCGCAAGGTGAAATATTCAAACGCGATCCCAAGGTTTACAGTGAAAACCCCCTCCCATGACTGCCTCCACAGGCAATCACTACTATAAGGTTGATACGCCACTCTAGAAATGTTCCATGCATACATATGAAAGTAAAACATATGTATGCATATCCTTTTTTATTATAACATAAATGGGGCCGGGAGCAGTGGCTCACGCCTGTAATCCTAGCACTTTGGGAGGCTGAGGCAGGCGGATCATCTGAGGTTGGAAGTTCGAGATCAGCCTGACCAACATGGAGAAACTCCATCTCCACTAAAAATACAAAATTAGCCAGGCATGGTGGCACATGTCTGTGATCCCAGCTACTCAGGAAGGTTGAGGCAGGAGAATCGCTTGAACCTGGGAGGTGGAGGTTTCGGTGAGCCAAGATCGTGCCACTGCACTCTAGCCTGGTCAACAAGAGCGAAACTCGGTCTCCAAAAACAAACAAACAAACAAACAAACAACATAAATGGTAGTATGTTATACATTGTTTTTTTCCCTTGGGTAACTGATTATAAAAGAATACCCTTGTTAACAAGGGTGAGGGAGAGCTTCATAATGGCATAAAAAGATACTAGACTGGGCGCGGTGGCTCACGCCTGTAATCCCAGCACTTTGGGAGGCCGACGCAGGTGGATCACCTGAGGCCAGGAGTTCAAGACCAGCCTGGCCAATATGGTGAAACCCGGTCTCTACTAAAAATAAAAAAAAAAAATTAGCCAGGCATGATGGGGAACGCCTGTTATCCCTGCTACTCGGGAGGCTGAGGCAGAAGAATCGCTTGAACCGGGGAGGCGGAGGTTGCAGTGAGCCGAGATTGCACCACTGCACTCCAGCCTGGGCGACAGAGCGAGAATCCATCTCAAACAAAACAAAACAAAACAAACAAACAAATCTAAAACACTATGATTACAGAACAAGTCCAAGGGCAACTTATATAATACTATCCCATTTATATTTGACCAATGGTAAAGCAAAATAGACGATCAACAAATACCTGTAAGGCATTAAACAGTCTTCCTTTGAGGGGAGGAATGAGATTGACATGGAGGCAAGGGGACAGTGTGAATGGGGAAATTTCACCTGTACACTCTATTCTTCTGCAGAGCCAAATTCCTTAAACAATGAGAATAATGCACTGCTTCTATATTTAAAAATAACTAAACAAAACAGAAAATCTCAAAGCAAAAACAAGAAAAGTGTTCTTTGCCAGAATTTTTTTTTTTTTTTTTTTTTTGCTGCAGAGAAGAGCCTCATTACCCGTTCGGCAGGCGGGGGACACCACCCGATGTGCGCACATCCAACTCCGGCGCTCCCACCGCCTCCGCCGCCCGACCACCGGTGAGTGTGAAAGGAGCGGACACACCTAACCTGCCCTGCCCACACCACCGGGCCCAATCACACAGTCCAACCCGGATTTGCTCTTTCGGCTGAAACTCCCCACCCCCGCCCTCCCCTCCAGCCCCGGATTTGCTCTTTCGGCCGAAACTCCCCACCCCCGCCCTCCCCTCCAGCCCCACCACGCCCGGCCTCGGAGCCTCCGCTAGTCTTCGGCAATTTCCGTCCGGAGACCCGGCCCTCCGCTAGCCCCAAAGACCCGCCTTTGCCAGAATTTTATTAAAAATGTGACGTGGCTGGGCGCGGTGGGTCACGCCTGTAATCCCAGCACTTTGGGAGGCCGAGACGGGCCGATCACGGTCAGGAGTTCGAGATCAGCCTGGCCAATATGGTGAAACCCCGTCTCTAAAAACACAAAAATTAGCTGGGCATGGTGGGGCGCACCTGTAGTCCCAGCTACTCAGGAGGCTGAGGCAGAAGAATCGCTTGAACCCGGGAGGCGGAGGTTGCAGTGAGCCAAGACTGTGCCACTGGACTCCAGCCTGGGCGACAAAGCCAGATTCTGTCTCAAAAAAAAAAAAAAAAAAAAAAAAAAAAAAAAAAGTGACATACAACGCAGTACTTACTCCTTGCCACCATCAAGATCCTGCACATCCTTAAGGTAGAGGGAAAAATCTATTACTCCAACCTAAACGAAATAAAATGCACAAGTTTAAATAAAATGTCCTATTTTTCATAAACTTTACAACCTTTGAAATTCAGGTATTTCATTCTTATCTCTTTCCTATGAACATTTATTTAGGTCAGCCAGCTCTATGAAGTGGAAATCAATTGAACAAACCAAAAAAACCTAACCCTACCACCTTCTAGAAGAAAAACTTACTAGATATCAGATTTCAGAGACTATTCTGAAATTTCACGACCTAGTTTAGTTTTCTGTTTATTCAATAATCACATTATTTACAAAGATCAACAAAATTATTTGTGTACAAAGTAATTAATAATAATAATAAAAAGTTCTGGATCTCTAAAGTGGTGACCTGGCCAGGCGTGGTGGCTCACGCCTGTAATCCCAGCACTTTGGGAGGCCGAGGCTGGTGGATTGCCTGAGGTCAGGAGTTCGAAACCAGCCTGGCCAGCATGGTGAAACCCTGTCTCTACTAAAAACACAAAAATTAGCCAGGCATGGTGGCAGGTGCCTGTAATCCCAGCTAATCGGGAAGCTGAGGCAGGAGAATCGCTTGAACCTGGGAGGCGGAAGTTGCAGTGAGCTGAGATCGTGCCATTGCACTCCAACCTGGGCAACAGAGCGAGACTTCATCTCAAAATAAAATAAAATAAGATAAAAATAAAGTGGTGACCTTAACTGACATTTCTGAGTCCTTCTTCCCCCAAATCTTGGTAAAATGGTCTAATCAATATTTCAGGAAAATTCTCTATCCCTTAGGTACAAGGGAGAACCAAGACCCCTTACACATCTAAACATCAACGGCTTTGCCAAGAAATAAAGCACTTGAGAATGAATAAGTGAGGTCATTCTTATCTGAAATACAGGAAAACTGGGTGTACCCTAAATGTTCATCAATAGAGAAAAGTTGAAATCAATCATGTTACAGCCATATCACAGAACCTATGCAACTATAACAAAGAACGCAGTAGATACATTTGCAGAAATATAGAAAAGCTGGGCACGGTGGCTCATGCCTGTAATCTCAGCACTTTGGGAGTCTCAGGAGGGTGGATGGCTTGGGCTCAGGAGTTCAAGACCAGCCTGGGCAACACAGTGAGACCCTGTGTCCACAAAAATACAAACATTAGCTGGGTGCAGTGGTACATGCCTGTAGTCCCAGCTACTTGGGAGGCTGAGGTGAGAGGATTGCTTGAGCCCAGGAGGTTAAGGCTGCAGTGAGCTGAGATCATGCCACTGCACTCCAGCCTGGGTGACAGAGTCAGACACTGCCAAAACAAAACAAAAAAAACAACAAAACTCCAGGATACAATTTCAAGTCAAAGAATCATATGTACAATCTCATTATAGTAATCCTACTTATGTTGCAACCAAGGCTATGTGTAACGGTTCTAACACATGTCTGCAACCTCTCTGACACACCTACCAAAAGGAATCCATCCATATTTCCAACCTTCAACTCTGGGGGGTCTTAGTGCCTGTCTCGATGAGTAAAATGCAGTAGAAATGATGCCGTGTGACTTCTGCAGCTAGGTTAAAAAGGGCAATACAGCTTCCACCCAGCTCTTTCTCTTGAGGCATATGCGTTTGAAGTTCTGAGCTTTCATGTAAAAAGTCTTGACTTCCCTGAAGCCACAATGCTGGAGACCATGTAAACATGGAGATGTCCAAGAAACCCCTGCCATTCCAGCCCCCAGTTCCTTGGTCTTCTCAGCACAGCAGACAGACGAGGAGAGAGCAAGTCTTCAGGTGATTTCAGCCCCAGCCATCACCTGACTGTAAGCACGTGCGCTCTTGAACAAGAACCGACTAGCTGAACCCAGTTAGCCCCCAGCTGTGAAAGATACAGTGATTGTTATTGTTTAAGTGCTGTTGCTGACTTGTTACACAGTAATAGAAGACCAGAAAATATTTAATTTAAAACAAAACCTACGTGAACATAAATGTATAGAAAAAGTAGAAAAGCTTCTAGAAAAATTTTCCCCAGAATCTTTACCATCACCTGTGGGAAAGGGAGGAGGACTGCGGCTGGGGCGGGGGGTGGGGTGAGAAGAGGAGGTTCAACTTCTCTTTTCACATTATATACTTTGGTATTGCCTAACTTTTTTCAACAAGCAAGCATTTCTTTTATAATAAAAAACCAAATCATAAAAAAATACAGCCAGGAAAAAGCAACAGAAAGATGAGAAAGAATTAATACCCAAAGCAAAAATCAATGGATTAGAAAGCAAATAAAGCCCTACTCCCAAAGTAGAATTGATAAATAAGACAGCTGGTTTGTCAAAGTTCAACCAAGTAGACAAATTTCTACTAAGTGTGATCAATATTTAGCAAATACACATTATAAATGAGAACAGTGAGATTTTTCAAAAGCTGTAAGAGAATACTTTCATACAACTCTAGCTTAGTAGAGCTGAATGAAATGGTTTCTAAAAAAATTATAAATGACTTTAAAAATTGTCTTAAGACTTAGGAAACCAATAAATTGATCAAAACTATGCTAAAAGTTAAAGTGGTCAAAGAACAAAGACCAAAAAAGGCATAAGGGTGAAGTGGTCATACCAGTAAGTTCTAGCAAGCCTGCACAGAAAAAATAATTCCTGATCTAATAAGCTGTGGTAGAAAACAAGAAAAGGAAGGCTATTTTCCAGTTTATTTTATTTTTATGTTTATTTTTTTTGAGACGGAGTTTTGCTCTGTTGCCCAGAGTGGAGTGCAGTGGCACGGTCTCAGCTCACTGCAGCCTCTGCCTCCCAGGTTCCAGCGATTCTCCTGCCTCAGCCTCCTGGGTAACCGGGATTACAGGCACACGCCACCACGCCCAGCTAATTGTTGTATTTTTGGTAGAGACCAGGTTTCACCATGTTGGTCAGGGCGGTCTCAACCTCCTGACCTCATGATCTGTCCACTTCGGCCTCCCAAAGTGCTGGGAGTGTGAGCCACCACGCCCGGCCTTCCAGTTTATGAGGCTAATACAATTCTGACACGGAAAGGTGGCAAAGGCAGTATAGAAAATTCAGAATAGTTTCACTTACAAGCAGAGACACAAAAATTCCAAACAGTAAACATATCAAATCCAGGGTTTACAATGATCAGGTAGGGATTATTTTAGAAATTCAGGGATAGTATTCAATAAGAAACCTATGAATTAGTTCAATTATATTTATGGGTTAAAAGCAGGTTGACATGTTGATAGATCCAAAAAAAGTATCTGACAACATTCAACATTCATCTCTTAAAAAATCACAAAGTAGGCCGGGCACGGTGGCTCACGCCTGTAATCCCAGCACTTTGGGAGGCCAAAGTGGGCAGATCACGATGTCAGGAGTTCAAGACCAGCCTGGCCAACATAGTGAAACCCCATCTCTACTAAAAATACAAAAAATTAGCCGGGCATGGTGGCAGGCACCTGCAATCCCAACTACTCAGGAGGCTGAGGCAGGAGAATCACTTGAACCCAGGAGGCGGAGGTTGCAGTGAGTGGAGATTATGCCACTGCACTTCAACCTGGGCGACAGAGTAAGACTCCATCTCAAAAAAAAGAAAAAAACAAAACGACAACAACAACAAAACACAAGGTAAACTGGAGTGGAAAGCACTCTCTAAACGTGAGAAACCGCATCCCTCAGACATCAGCAGCAAACATGTATACTTTATGTATACTATTATGTATATGATTATGTATACTATAGTGTGTTTGAAGAACACACTATAGGCACTGCCATTCAAGATAGCACTAGACCAGATTGCTCACTCATGTCTATTAATTAATTAAAATCTCAATGGAGTTTTTATTCTGGAATTTGACAAAACGATGTTCAAGTTCATCTGGCAGAATGGATGGCCCAGAAATATTTGAAACAGAAGTACAGCAGAGTAGGCAGGCGCTTAACTACCAGAGTCTAGAATATACTATCTGGCTCCAGTCATTAAAAGAATGTGTCACTGGCATAGGAACACAGATTCAGATTTACAACAGAAGAGTCCAGAAATAAACCAATGCATATTATGGATATTTCACATATGATAAAAGTGGAATTTCAAATTAGTAGAAAAAATATATTACATGATGATATTGCAAAAACTGGTTAACTATTTGTAAAAGAAATTTAGATTCCTACTTCACACTATGCCAAAACAAATGGCAAAAATGTGTAAAATTTACACATTTTTTACACATAAAGTGTGTAAAAAATTACCCAGGTAGAAGCAGAAGGTCTTGGCCTGGCCCTCCAGGGTCCCAGACTGTGGAGATTGGAGGGGCAGGTCTGGCCTTTCCTGGGTTAGCACAGGGTACCCAGTAGGGGCACAAGCTCACTATCCATCGGCCAGCCTAGTTGTGTTTGAAGAAGTATTCCTTGTCATCCACATTGGGCTTCATTGTCGCTACCAGGCTTCCAGCCAGTGGGACAAACTTTCCCGTGCTCATCTGCGTACTGGAATGCCTGGACCAGCTGCAGAGCCTCATCCATGGAGCACCCCAGAGGCAAATCATTAACAGTGATCTGGCAAAAGTCACCCTTGCCATCGATGATAAAGAGGCAGGGTAGGCAATGCCCTCATTGGTTTTCAGCACACAGTAATCTTCAGACAAGCTTCCCGTCACATCAGCGGGTGGGGGATGCTCGGGGGCCTAAGCCTCCCTACTTCTGGGGGTTGTTGATCCAAGCCAGGTGGGTGAACTAAGTCCACCCAGACACCCAGCACTTCGCAGCCCAGCTTGCGGAAATCCTCGGCATGGTCGCTGAATGCGACGTTCTCCATGGGCCACAGAAAAGTGAAGTCCAGAGGGTAGAAAAAGAGGACGACGTACTTCCCTTTGTAGCCCACAGCTTCACCTCCTGGAAGGCGCCATCCACCAGGGCAATGGCCTTGAAGTCAGGGGCTGGCTTTCCGAGCTGCGACTGACTGGAAGCCATGACTGAAAGCTGTGGCGGTAAAGGCTGGACAGACTGACAACCAGACGCGTGGACTCAGGTTCCAGCTCCCCACATTTGATATTAAAAGTTAGGGTAATTTTTAGATAGGGAAGGACCTTCAAAGCACAATACCTTAGAAGGTATAAAGGAAACATCTGCTAAATCTGGTTGCCAAAAACTAAAAATAAAAAACTTACAGGGCAAACCACCACTGAGAAACCAGAAAAAAAATTTATAACAAATAATTCTGAAAAAGGGTCAATGTGCTT